>NC_000010.11:92718852-93021883 GCF_000001405.40 Homo sapiens | reverse complement strand
CACCATAAAAATTCATATACAACTGAGAAAATATCACATGAGAAATTTCAAACTTTCTATAAACAGATTATTCATATACAATGAGAATTATTCTCAAATCATCTCCTCTTAAAGCTGTCCTTTGGATTGGAGAATATGTTTACGTCCTTGCAACTTACACCAGTAGGAAACTTACCCCACTAAGTGACCTTAAACTAACTGGGAAATGAATATACAATCAATCCTGTTTTCAACTTGCTAAAGAATCCTGTTTTCAATAGTACATCACCTTGTTCAGGGAAATAGCACTGCAACAGAGGGAACTCCTTCTAAAGGAAATGGATCTACTGTCAACAGAAAGAATCTCTTCTGGTAAACCGGAATGAAGTTGAGAGTTGTAGGGATAAAGCGAAAACTCCCTCACCCTTGGAAGTTTAACTGAAACATCAACTAACAAAAGGCAAATTAATAGGAGAAATGCCATATACATTTATTAGCATGCATGAGAGAGAATCGCAGAGTGATTTTTCCACTATGCAATGGGGTATAGATGGTTACATGTTTTTGTTTGGTTTGTTTTGTTTTGTTTTAGAGGTAGGGTCTTGCTATGTTGCCCAGACTGGTCTTGACACCCGGCTTCAAGTGATCCTCCTACCTCAGCCTCCCAAGTGCTGGGATTACAGGTGTGAGCCACCATGCCTGACCCTGTATCTTTTTTCTTATGGGAAAGGGAGATGGGGAAAGTGTGGATGATTTTAGGAGGGTAGTGAATGATTTCTAGGGGAACTTAATGGGAATGAAGAACATACAATGGTCTGGGACAAAGTCTGTTGAGCCTATGTGACAAAAGTCTGCCCAGGTGTGTTGACAGACTTCAGTCTTTCTTCTTGCATGAGTTTAGCTAATACAAGGGAAGGAACCAGAGGTAACCGTTTTCTTCCTTGACAGGTCCAAACTTCAAGCAGATGAGGGAATTTTAGAGAACAACTTTATCCTGTACTTTGGGAGAGACAAAGTATTGAGAGATGGTGGGGCAGTGGGCGGGGGTGGGAAAGAGGCCAGAGAGACCTCAGTGCTGCTTCTTCCGTTCAGCATGTCAAAGCACTGTATTTTAGAGTACTGGTTTCTGAGCCCCAACATTTCCCTGTCTAAAACTTCCCTAGAAGTTTCACATATTAAAAGCTGAGTTAGTGGCTGTGAAAAGACAAATCAAGTTAGTAACTCAATGGCAAAAGATCTCATCAAATCAGTCTCTTATTTTGGGGAATAGGCCAGTCCAATTAAACAGCTGTGTCTTATTTTAGAAGACAGCATTGCAGATGGGCCCTCGAAGCTAGGCCTCTATATGTAAGGTAGGCAAACATATTTTTAATAAGAGGCATCTCTACAGAAACAGAAGAAAAACAATGGTCCATGTCTGGAGTAGTCTATAAGCTAATTATTGGAGTCTCTGAAGCATCTTCAGGTTGCAGTGGCAATCTGACACATTTATTATTATTATTATTATTATGGTTTGAATCAGGTATTCAAGCAAACTTTTTGCACAGTCCATATATCTGTAGGCATAAAGGCTGTTAATATGTAAGTTGCTCTGGTGATTTTTGTTGAAGTTTATATTAAGTTCTAGCTTTAGGGCTTTAAGAAAAGCAGTTTTAATTTTTAGTGATTTTAAGTGAGAAAAATGTGAAAACATTAGTTTGGAGACTTGTAGCTAAAAAAGAATTTAGGATTTGTTCTAAATTGCAGGCAAATAATAAAAACTCAAAAATAATGGACAAGGCTAGAATCTAATACATGTATACTATGGTTTTTCCTTTAATATGTATTTTTTCTAGTCCCCCTTTTAAAAAAATCAAATACAAATTATACTAGGACCAATTTATTTGTAAAATAAATT
This sequence comes from Homo sapiens, assembly GCF_000001405.40. Lineage (NCBI taxonomy): Eukaryota > Metazoa > Chordata > Mammalia > Primates > Hominidae > Homo > Homo sapiens. The sequence goes on along the minus strand of NC_000010.11, from coordinate 93,020,007 downwards.
TTAGTCTTACCATATTTGGCCTGATTATTTGTATAGTGCAGCAAGAATAGTGATTCACCATATGGACTTTTTAAAAACGGACTTCACTGGAACTTTTAATAAGGAATTTTGGATTAGACTTTTAAAAGCCTCAAGGGTAGGAAAGCAAGCTGAGCATTTGCCATCAGACTGTGCCTCTAATATCGGTATGAACTGGGTGAAATTTTCACTTTTCGAGGTCCTTGAAGTATCTTGAGGTTCTCAGGCCTGCCAGAAAGTGACATTTTTTACTTATCCCAAGGTCAGGAACCTTATAAGGGAACTGTGTGGATAGGGTACAGGGCCAGTCTCTTTTTTGTTTTTTTGTTTTTAAACTTTATTGGCTTTATAAAGTCAACCTCAATCCCTCAAAGCAGTCTGGTCATATATGAAAACATGACATTTTAGTCAAATCCTTGGTAAAATAACCAGTGTTTTCAATGTGTCCTGTTACAAAAGAAAAGATTCTTATGGAACTTATGTAAATAATTAGATTGTCATAAAACTAGAATATTTATGGATAGTTTCTAAATTCTGGAGAAATCATCTAGAGAGAAAAGTAAATGTTTTGATTTTGTTCATAAGTATATTTTAACTAATTGCTGTAAGTTATGAATAGCTTAGAAGAAAAAATTTTCTTGGCTCTGGAAAACAAAACATAGAAAGAATCAGCAATGTTTTAAATAAAAAGTCAACAAAAAATCATTTTGGGCCAAGTGTGGTGGCTCACGCCTGTAATCCCAGCACTTTGGGAGGCCGAGGCGGGTGGATTGCTTGAGCCCTGGAGTTCAAGATTAGCCTGGGCAACATGGTGAAACTCCATCTTTACCAAAAATACAAAAACTAGCCAGTCTCATAATCTGGTCTCAAAATAAATAAATCAATCAATAAATAAATACATAGATTAACATTTAAAAATAAAATAATAATAAATTATTTTAGTCCACCATCAGTTCAGTTCCATGTAATTCTTGTTTTGCTTGATGTTGGGTTAGCAATCTTTATGAATGTATCAGCTTTTTAATTAGAGTCCTGGAAGTTTTTTTACCTAGTCCAGTGGTATGATTTCCAAAGTCACCAGACACCTGTATGTAAGAGCATTTGTCAGGGTCTTTTATTTTTTTAATTTAATATTTTTATTTTTATTATGAAAAATTTCAAACATATATGAAAGTAAATAGCACAATAAACCCATCATCCTCACCTCCCAGATTCAGCTACTATCAATAATTTTTCTTTTTAAAGTATTTTAAAACAAACCACAGAATACATTTCCCTGCTTTCTCCCACTGATTTGTCTGAATTGGGATCAAAACAAGTTACACACATTATATTTGAGTTTTATGGCTCTGAAATATCTGGTAAAAAAAAAAAAAGTTCCTTTTTAAGATTTAAGAGGCAAACACTATCTGAAATACAAAGAAGGAATTGTGAGGACAGTATGCCAGCAATCATATTTTGGTAAGGGTAGGAGCATGGATGAGGAAAAAAATTAATGGAAAAAGACCAGCAGGAAATAAAACAGAATGCCAATAATGATGTGTTTGGGTAGAAAGACTATGAGTAAATTTTTCTACTTTTTTGTATATTCTAATGTTTTTTTGAAAACATGTATAACTTATGTACGTGTACTTTTTCATTTTACCTATAATATTTTATTATGCCTCTAGTAAGGCATTTAAAAAACATATTCACCATGTCATTATTATACCTTTTAAAAATAATTTAATACCAAATATCTAATATCCATATTTCCCTGATTATCTCAAACCTGCCCCCTCCCTTTTTTTTATAACTGGTTTGTTCAAATTAAGATGTAAACATGGTCTGTACATTGCTGTTGGTTATGAGGTCTTATTTAATCTTTACATATAGGGGGGTGTGATTTATGTCAAAGATGGTTATGTGATGGTCTGCATAAAGAATGTATTTCTTTTTTAAAATTTTTATTTTTATTTTATTTCTTTTTTTTTTTTTTTGAGACAGAGTTTCACTCTTGTTGCCCAAGCTGGAGTGCAATGGCACAATCTCGGCTCACTGCAACCTCTGCCTCCCAAGTTCAAGTGATTCCCCTGCCTCAGACTCCTGAGTAACTGGGATTACAGGTGTGCACCACCACGCCCAGCTAATTTTTGCATTTTTAGTAGAGACGGGGTTTCACTGTGTTAGCCAGGACGGTCTCGACCTTCTGACCTCATGATCCGCCCACCTCAGCCTCCCAAAGTGCTGGGATTACAGGCATGAGCCACCACGCCCAGCCTTTTATTTTATTTCAATAGCTTTTGAAATATAAGTGGTTTTGGTTACATGGATGAATCGTATAGTGGTGAAGTCTGAGATTTTAGTGTATTCATCATCCAAGTAGTATACATTGTACCCAATATGTAGTGTTTGTTTGTTTGAGACAGAGTCTTGCTCTGTCGCCAGGCTGGGGTGCAATGGCATGATCTTGGCTCACTGCAACCTCCATCTCCCCAGGTTCAAGCGATTCCCCTGCCGCAGCCCCCCAAGTAGCTGGGATTACAGGAACCTGCCACCATGCCTGGTTAATTTTTTGTATTTTAGAAGAGACAGGGTTTCACCGTGTTGGCCAGGATGGTTTCTATCTCCTGACCTCATGATCCACCCGCCTCAGCCTTCCAAAGTGCTGGGATTACAGGTGTGAGCCACCGTGCCCAGCCCCCAATATGTAGTTTTTATCTCTCATCCCTTCTCCCACCCTCCCCCTTTTGAGTCTCTGGAGTCCATTATATAACTCTGTATGCCAAGAAGCAAATTTTGGACTGTAGCCAATTGTAAACTGCTTTTTGAGGAGAATCAAGAAAAACAATTAATATTCTGTAGATGACAAAAGACTTAGAATAGCCATGGTTAGGCTGAGTGCAGTGGCTCACACCTGTAATCCCAACACTTTGGGAGGCCAAGGCAAGTGAATCACCTGAGGTCAGGAGTTTGAGACCAGCCTGGCCAACCCGGCGAAACCCCACCTCTACTAAAAATACAAAAAAAATTAGCTGGGCTTGGTGGCACACGCCTGTAGTCCCAGCTACTTGGGAGGCTGAGGCAGGAGAATTGCTTGAACCCAGGAGGCGGAGTTTGCAGTGAGCCAAGATCGCGCCACTGCACTCCAGCTTTGGTGACAAGAGCGAGACGCCATCTCAAAAAAAAAAAAAGAAAATAGCCATGGTAAAAGACACCAATTGACAAGGGAATTTTGTTATTTTTGTGACATATAATAACATAATAATTATGACTGATAACATATATCAAGACATCAGAATTTCAGGAATCCAATATAATTTTGGAACACATGAATATTTGTATAAATATAATTCAAAGCAAGTTAAATACCATTTCTTATTTGACAATGTTTCTCACATGATTTTCTTATATCGAATAAGCCCTAATATGTCTCTCTTGAGCTTCCAGGGGCCCTTTCCGGAATATCCAAAAGTTTGAGTTCAAAAAGACAATTTTAGAATCTGAAATTTGGGGAAGTATGTCAAATATCAAAGGTTTAAAACACTTGATTAAAATAGGATCACAGGTGGTTGGGCGCTGTGGCTTATACCTGTAATCCCAGCACTCTGGGAGGCCAAGGCAGGCGGATCACTTGATGCCGGGAGTTCGAGACCAGCCTGGTGAACATGGGAAAACCCCGTCTCTACTAAAAATACAAAAAAAAAAAATGAGCCAGGCATGGTGGTGCGTGTCTGTAGTCCCAGCTACTCAGGAGGCTAAAGCAGGAGAATTGCTTGAACCCTGGAGGCAGAGCTGCAGTGAGCTGAGACCATGACACTGCATTCCAGCCTGGGCAACAGAGTGAGACTCTGTCTCATAAATAAATAAACAAATAAATATAGGATCACAGGTGACTGTAAAATAATAGTCATTTACTTAGCCAGTGATAATTTAAAGATTTCAAAAAATAAAATTTTTTTTATTCTTTGATAAAGAGAAGACAGTTTTTTAAATAGTCAAATGACCTAATAAAGACCACCTTCTTCACTTTCTACTATCTTTCCCAACTCAGCAAGGTTAATCATCTACAGATCTAGGTCACCTATAACAGTGTTCCTTGTTTGACGTAATATCTGAGCACTGACTGCAAACAAAAGTACATATGAATATATTTTATATGTACCATACTTTACAGACATAATTTGGAGATAAGAATGGCTTTTTCAGTCTCCTTCTAAACCTGACTTGAAGATATACCAATTATTTCCACACGACTCATTGTCTTTTTTTTTTTTTGAGACGGAGTCTCGCTCTGTCGCCCAGGCTGGAGTGCAATGGCACAATCTTGGCTCACTGCAAACTCCACCTGCCATGTTCAAGGGATTCTCCTGCCTCAGCCTCCCCAGTAGCTGGGACTACAGGCATGTGCCACCACGCACAGCTAATTTTTTGTATTTTTAGTAGAGATGGGGTTTCACCGTGTTAGCCAAGATGATCTTGATCTCCTGACCTTGTGATCCATCCGCCTCGGCCTCCCAAAGTGCTGGGATAACAGCCCAGCCGGCAACTCATTGTCTTATAAGGATTCCTAACCAGTTTATGTTTTGCTTCTCTAAAGCATGTTTAAGCTCCATCAGGATAAAACTATTTCTTATATTACTTTTATATTTATTTCAACCACATCTTTCCTCTGCAAATAATGAATATATAATAGACAATAAGTATTTAGGAAACAGTGGGTTGGAATTATCTATATTCTCAAACATTTACTGAAGTCAGAGTTTCTTAACTGCTCAAACTGGTGCTGCTCCAAACATCACTGTGGTAGAGTCTGTTCATACCAATGATGAAGCCTCATCTCTATCCCCTAAAGGGAATGGGAACCATTAATAGACTGATACCACAGTGGCTTTGTTTTAATTCAATCTCCATATGGTTCTTCTTGCAAAGGCCACAGTCACTCCTACTGTCTATTCTAGCACTCCTGAGCCCTCTAACTTGGATCCTCCTTTCCTACTATGACCCCCTTGTGACTCCCCAGCTTTATTAAGCTACTTAATAATAGGAATTAAAAAAAAACAAAAAGAGGAAGAGAAAAGAGGAGGAAAAGAATAAAAAAAAATAAAGAGGTGGAAAAAGGGAAGAAAATAAATAAAACGACAATAGATATGTCAGAGTAGCAAAATGAATAGAGTTTTTAAATGACCATATTTGTTACTACACTTAGAGTATTGTGGCCAGAAAAGAATTGTGTAAATGTCTCATTACATTTTTAAAACTTATTTTATCCTTCTTTCTGGGATCAACAGAAAATTTATAAAAATAGCATTCTTTACCATTGAAAAAATTTTATGCAAGGGGTTACTTTCTAGGTTGTAATAATTTACATTTAACTTGGGTCCTGACATTAATGTTAATACCACCAATTTTCATATATGACCATGAGATTATTAAGAAATAATTTGAACATCAAGTGTCATTATAGCAAGCTACAAAGTTATGATTTAGTAATGTGCTTAGCAGGTAATGACTATTAAATAAATTGAATATTCACTGATGAGAATGCTCTATGAAGTTGAGGTACTGAATGCATTACAGGTTCAAAGAGATGTGCCAAATACATAGTTACCAAGGAAGGATTTTTCTTAAGATAGGTTGTTTCAAGGCAAACAGGCATTCCTGTAGCATTAATAAAAAAAAAAAGTGAGGGGAGGGCAAGAGTTAGAGGGCAACAAATGGGAAGTACATTATTATATCTTACTTGTCTGAGGTCAATGAATGCTAGCTGCAGGGTATCCCCCTGGAATCCTGGCACAGGCTCAGAGCTGGCAAACACTATTAAAAGAAAGAAAAAAAAAGAATAAAAATGAGATCACAAAATATACAAGAGTTTAACTGATAAATTAATTTCTACTCATTATAAATGCATTATAATATTTACACATAATCATTTCAAATGAAGATTATTTATAAACTTCAATTTCCACTACTGAGAAAGTTCTCCACATCCATTACCTCAAGTGTTTTAATAATTTTAAATTTCTAATCTGCCATTTAATCACTGTAATCCTAATCACAATAAATTTAGGAGGGTTTTCTTACTAAAATTTAACAGTAACGTACTTCAATCAAGTAAAGCTTTCTGACCCTTTTTAGCCTTAGGTGAACGATTGTAGAAGCATTTAAAAATGATACCAATTCCATGGCTGTCAACATATTTTGAAACATTTGCTTTGGTAAAGAATAGGTGCTATTAAAAAATCCCACCTCTAGCTAATAGCAATAAAAGGCAGACACCAAGGTAAGAAGTCAACTTTACATGCAGACAATAAGTAAAATGTTCTAAGTAGAAAAATCAGGATGATGCAGGAATGTCTGTTCATGCCTTTTAATTATTTTTATTTTTATTTTTATTTTTTTTGAGACGGAGTCTCATTCTGTCACCCAGGCTGGAGTGCAGTGGCGCCATCTCGGCTCATTGCAACCTCTGCCTCCCAGGTTCAAGTGATTCTCCTATCTCAGCCTCCCGAGTAGCTGGGACTACAGGCGCATGCCGCCACGGCCGGCTAATTTTTTTTGTATTTTAGTAGAGATGGAGTTTCACCATGTTGCCCAGGCTGGTCTTGAACTCCTGAGCTCAGGCAATCCACCTGCCTCGGCCTCCCAAAGTGCTAGGATTACAGGTGTGAGCCACCACGCTCGGCCAGTGATTTTTTTAGAAAGGATTCATGCCTCAACTAAAAAAAAATCTCAACGAGAATTTTTAAAATTTCCACAGATTCCTTCAATAATTTTTTGTGGTTTAAAATTTTTAATACTACTAACATAGCTTACTTAATTAAACTAAAGACAATTCCAATATTAGTTATTTTAAAAACTTAAAACACTTGGCTCATAAAAAAGACCCTGTCATTTTACATGCAAGCTTCTCTGATAAGAATGCCTGTAATCATTTTCCCACCCCATTAATTTCTAATTTTCTTTTCTTCTTCTTTTTTTTCTTTTTCTCGATCTGTCACCCAGGCTGCAGTGGCATGATTATAACTCACTGCAACCTCGAACTCCTGGGCTCAAGGAATCAGCCTCCCAAGTAGCTGGGACTACAGGCATGCATCTCCACACTTGGCTAATGATTTTTTTGTTTTTTTGGGGGTTTTTTTGGTAGAGATAGGGTATTGCTATGTGGCACAGGCTGGGCTTGAACTCCTGGCCTAAAGCAACACCCCTGTCTTGGCCTCCCAAAGTGCTGGATATTCTGATTTTTTTAGAGAACATTATAGATGTTCCATTTGTGAATTTATCTGAGCTAGAATTTTGGAAGCTATTTAAAATTTCAGCCTATATAGTTCTTGGAATAACAAAAGCAATTCTTAAATTTAGTGTATTCTGTGTGAAATATAGTTTAGAAAGGCTCAAAATCAACAATTAAAAACAATAAATAAATGAAAATTTGCACAGCTTAATTTATCTGGCATCTCTGGGGAATGTTGCTGTTGTATAATTTTTGCTTTAAGCATCAGAATTTTTCTTTAATCTTAGGCATATTTTACAAAATTCTAAAATGTATCGTAATTCTCTGGGTCACCATTAAGAATACATTTTGTTCTATAAAGTAAAATTCCCAGGGGCTGTTATGGAAGTAAGAGCTGTTTTTTTGTTCTATTAAAAAGCTGCGCTATTTGAGTTCTTGTGTCTAGCTTTTCTAATTTTTCTGCCTTCTCCCTGGTAGTTTTAACATGAATTCTTACTCCCTACTCTCTCCCTCATCTGTCTTATTAATTTTATCTTTACTCTTCTTGAGCAGGTAAGCCAGCTAATCAATTACTAGAATTATGTCTAAAGTAAGAGCAAATACAACCTAAGTAAGGGCCTCTCCTACTAGTAAGGTTAATAGGTTTTATACACGTTCCTTTGAGCACATGTACCTTTTGAGAATGAGTAACCTTTTGGTTACTCAGAGATGCACCACTTTTCCCCCTTTGTTCTTGGTTCTCTGCTAGGTTATGGTCATTAGATAAGTGACTAAATTCACCATTCTCAGACCCCTTTTTTCTAGAAAACCAAAATTTAGTGACCAAATCTAGCCACACTTTTCAGTATTTAGTACAATTTATTCATATCACTGTCTTGTTAGACAATAAGTGGTATACTTTCATACAGTGGTATCACCATTACCCTAGACAATAAGTGGTATACTTTCATACAGTGGTATCACCATTACCCCCTACTATGCCCTAGGTAGCTGAGTTGCCTTTCTCTAGTATCATTACGTCTTAACTGAAAATGGCCTAGGTAGCTGAGTTGCCTTTCTCTAGTATCATTACATCTTAACTGAAAAACGATAAGCAAAATTATACCTTTTATATTACATAGTAAAATACATTATTTTATGTTGGCCTTTTATATTATAATCATAAAAGGTGTTTAAATTAAAGGTGTTTTCTAACTTTAAAAAAATACTTTTTTTGGCTGGGCATGGTGGCTCATGCCTATAAATCCTAGTATTTTGGGAAGCCAAGGCTGGAGGATTGCTTGAAGCCAGGAGTTTAAGACCAGCCTGGGCAACATAGCAAGGCCCCATCTCTACAAAAAAAAATTAAAATTAGCCAGGCATGGTGGCATGCACCTGTAGTAGTTCCACCTACTGGGGAGGCTAGGGCAGGAGGATCACTTAAGCCCAGGAGGTTGAGGCTGCACTGAGCCATGATCGTACCACTGCACTCCAGCCTGGGTGACAAAGCAAGATCTTGTCTTAAAAAAAAATACTTAGGACCATCCAGCATTTTATTGGCCTTTTTTTTTTTTTGGTCACAAAAAAAAACCATAAATCCCTAGTGGTTCTCAACCAAGGCTGTAAATGTTACCATAGCTTCTACCATCACCATGGATAGATACACATATACTCATAAATAAAGACTTTCTATGATGCAGGGAGACTCATTTTATCAGGCACAAAAATAAGCTCAATTTCAATTAGACATATAGTTATTATCTACTTAATGCTCAGAATTTTTCTACATTAAAAATAATCTTAAAATAATTTTTCTTCTCCCTAGGTTCCTGTTGAAGATACTATCATTTAACCAAAGAGCTCAATGTCAAAATTAATGATACTATAAATTTATATAGCACTTTATACTTTACTAAGCACTTTCTCACACACCATCTGCTCTGAGCATCACAATAACTTACTTGAGTAAATAGGGCATGCAGATGATGGATCATAAAATCTTGCAACTGAAAGAGACAACCTCTTTGAAACACGTCCAACAGTCCCCTAAAGACTCAGTTTAAAAGTTGCCGAGTCCATTTTTTTTTTTTTTTTTTTAAGAGATGGAGTCTTGCTTTGTCATCCAGGGTGGAGTGCAGTGGCGCAATCTTGGCTCACTACAACCTCCTTCTCCCAGGTTCAAGCGTTTCTCATGCCTCAGCCTCCCAAGTAGCTGGGATTACAGACGTATGCCACCATGCCCGGCTAATTTTTGTATTTTTAGTAGAGAGAGGGTTTCACCATGTTGGCCAGCTGGTCTCAAACTTCTGACCTCCAGTGATCTGCCTCGGTCTCCCAAAGTGCTGTGATTACAGGCGTGAGCCACCACACCCAGCTGAGTCCTTCATTTTACAGGGCAGAAAAATTAAAAGGAAAGTGACTTGCCCGGGATTATATAACTAATTCAGGTTTTCTGGCATTTACTCCATTAATCCAGAATCTGATTAAGTATTCAGTCTCTCATCTTTTATCACATCTCTCATAAGAATCTAATCAATATGGAAGTGAAATTCACTAGATTATAACACTCAGGGCTTTTTCTCAAATTTTTTTAGGGGTAGAAGGCAATTTAGTGATCTGATAATCATCTGGCACAGAGGACATTCGTAATGATATGCTATTGATTCACAGCTTCGTATTTTTCCCTTTATTTCTTTAAAACTCAACTGCAGTCAATCTTGTTGTTTCTACTTCCCAAAATATCTCCTGAGTCTGAATTTGTTTCTACCTTAGTACAAACTATCATCATTTCTTGCTTGGATTACTGAAACACACCCTATCTGATCTCCCTGCTTCTGGTGCAACCTCTCCATCCACTTCTTCCAGTAGGATTTACACAGATGTGACTTGTGCCACCTCACAGTTTAACATCCTTCAATAGTTCCCCATCATCTTCAAATAAAACAAGGCTAAGGTCCTTTGCAATCTAGCCTTTGTCTATCTGCCAGCCTCATCTCATCATTTCCCTAGGGGCACCTTAGTTTCTATACCACACCAAACTACCTGTACTTCCATGCATATACCACTCTCTTTCCATGATGCTTTGATCCCTCTGCCTACAGCATCCTTCCTCTTATTTTCCATCTGGGTAAACTCTTATTTATCCTTCAATCATCGTCTTCCTTGGGAAGACTTCCATTATCCCTGCAGGTTGGCTTATGTCCTTTCTCTGTGTTCTCACTGCAACTTCCTGTGCACAGCCTAACTTCAGCACTCACTTTGCTGCCTTGTAATTGTTTATCTGTCTGGGTCTTCCCACTAAATCATGAACTCCCTGAGAGCAGGGACGGTAACTTCACTTCTACATTCTTATCACCTAGCGCAATGCCTGACTTATAATGAGTATTCAATGAAAGTTTCTTAAATGAATGAAGAAAAACAGAACCATAAATAAATTCTAAGGAATGTCATCCAGTATTGGATAGTGATATATTATGTAGCTTGTTGATTAGATTTAGAATGGTGCTGTCCAAGAGAATGTTCTGCAATAATGAAATGTAATATCCATGCTAAACTTAATTTTTGGTTTTATTTTAGTTAATTTTTTTTGCGACAGGGTCTCACTCTGTTGCCCAGACTGGAGTGCCATCACAGCTCACTGCAGCCTCCCTCAACCTCCTGGGCTCAAGCAATCCTCCCCTCTCAGCCTCCTGAGTAGCTGGGACTACAGGTGCCATCATGTCTGGTTATTTTTTTTATTTTCTGTAGAGACAGGGGGACTATGTTGCCTAGGCCAGTCTCAAACTCCTGGCCTCAAGCAGTCGTCCTGCCCTGGCCTCTCGAAGTGCTGAGATTACAGGTATGAGGCACTGCATCCAGCTTAATTTAAATTTCCTAGCCATATGTATTTATTTAACAGTGCAAATCAAGAACATAACTGTATACACTTAGTGTATTTATATAAAAGTAATTTAGGGTGGGTGAAAATACTCCTAATAGTTTCTTCAATTAAAACTAAATCATGAGCTCTTCCACTAAACAAGAAGCTCCTGGGAAGTAGTTACATACACCATACCTGTCACCTAGGAAACAGTCAATAAATGTGTGTTGAATGAATAAATAGTAATACAAATCATTTCTACTAATATTGTCTATGGTCCCAATAATTCATGGGGTCAATTTTAATCTTTTAAATTTTTAAAGAATTGATGACTAATTTTTGAAATCTCTAGAAGTACTATCGTCAAATTACTTTTTGGCTCATTCAGATTCTCATTTTGTATATAATTTGTCATATTTTGGGGATTCCTAATTCTCCTCCCTTGGACCATCTTTAAAATTTTAAAAACAATAATGCCCACTTCCCCCCCTATTATGGTGTCTTTGTTTTTGTCATTTAGCCATGCCTTTAAGGGTATTTTTAAATAACACACATTGATCCTGGTTTCCCAATAAGATATGTAAAAATCATTTCCAGACTATGAAGTGTTCTTTTTTAAGAGATTCCAAATCTTTGTTTTTTTCTCTTAATGCCTCCAATTTGACTATTTCCTTTTTAATAAACAAAATAACTTCAGGATATTCATTTCCTCTTATTTTCTGCAATAATAAATGATTTCAAATTTTCTTTTCTTTTCTTTTTTTGAGATGGAGTCTCACTCTGTTGCCCAGGCTGGAGTGCAATGGCACAATTTTGGCTCAATGCAACCCCTACCTCCCAGGTTCAAGCGAGATTCTCCTGCCTCAGCCTCCTGAGTAGCTTTGATTACAGGCATGCACCACCAGGCCCTGCTAATTTTGTATTTTTAGAAGAGAAGGGGTTTCACCATGCTGCCCAGGCTAGTCTCAAACTCCTGACCTCAGGTGATCCGCCCACCTTGGCCTCCCAAAGTGCTGAATTACAGGCGTGAGCCACCGCACCCGGCCTGATTCCAAGTTTTCAAATATTCTTAGATTAGAGAAGGAGGTGTCTGATCTTATTGGGAAGGTATATTATAACAATAGAGTAAAACTCTGCTATATCAGCCTAACTTGGAAGAAGACTAGTTTGAATCAATTTAGATGAAAGTGGGAACAAAAAATAATGTATGCGGGGTAAGCTGTGATTATAACAAAACTATCTTCCAAATTGGCAATCGATGAAGTTGGGTTTTTGTTTTGTTTTTGGAGACGGAGTCTCGCTCTGCTGTCCAGCCTGGAGTGCAGTGGTGTGATCTCGGCTCACTGCAACCTCCATCTCCCGGGTTCAAGCAATTCTCCTGCCTCGGCCTCCAGAGTAGCTGGGATTATAGGCATGTGCCACCACACCCAGCTAATTTTTTTGTATTTTTAATAGAGACGGGGTTTCATCATGTTGGCCAGGCTGGTCTTGAACGCCTGACCTCAGGTGATCCACCCACCTCGGCCTCCCAAAGTGCTGGGATTACAGATGTGAGCCATTGCGCCCAGCCGGCAATCTATGAAGTTTTAAGAGAACAAAGAATACCTGTAGGCAAAACATGAGTTATTTGTATATATAAAAAAAAAAAAATTTTTGAGTAGGAAAACAGGCCCTTCCCCTCAGGATCTATGCAAAATGTAAAGGGTTTGTTACGAGGGGGGAAGGAAAATTGCCAAGATGTCAGGCCATAAGTATTTATCTTGACTGGAAAATATAAAACCTACTCTGAAATTAAACTCAGAGGGAATTAAACTCAGAAGTCCTTGAAAAATCTTGTTCTAGGCAGACAGTTATCTTTATCATAAGGCAGAGAATGTAGATTGTTTACAATGTAGATATAGAAAACATCCATACAGGGTAGGAAGAATTGTCAGGGGGTAAAGAGGGTGGGGGAGAAAAAGGGCCCATGGAGTCATAAGAGGGAATACATCAGAAGCTTGACAAAAGACTGAAAGAAAGGGGAGGAGGCTAAGCTAAAGTTTTAAGATCTTGCTTGCAAATGACCACACAGGTGCATATAAAATGGAATAATTCTGTAACTAAATAAATGGCTGAATATGAATGCCAATATTCATTCTATTTGAAGATACTTCTTGTAATTTCATTTCTATCTAGATCTGAATATTAAAGTAGCTAGTAAGAACTCAAGTTTTGTTTAACAAACTTTGTTATTAGACAAACAAAGTATCCCATGTGAACCAGCTGTGTCGTTAGAAGGAATGACTAAGAGCACCATCTAGTGGTTTTTCTGGTGGTGAAGAACTTATGCCTGGGAATCAGGAGAGTTAGGATTCTTGGCTTTTAGATGTATTTTCTGCTGTATGCGGTCAGCAACAGTGGGATGCAAACCTCGAGGACCAACTGTTACTCTACCTTCATCACCTCATTTTTATATAAAGTAGTATCTAGTTTTCTCCATTTCTTGGAATTAAACCTGGGCAAAGTATCCTCCATCAGATAGGTTAGGTATCAAATTCAGGTATCCAAACCAGGAACAAATTCAGGTATCCAAACAGTGTAACAGCATCCAGCTTACTTTTTAAAAAGGCACTGAAATATTCTTCTCTTACCATCCAGATGATTTTGCCTTAATACTTTTATTATGGGGCACAGCCCTTTTTCAAGGCTAGAATTAGAGGTCATAGTCGCTAAAACTCTATAAACAGCATCCTTTTTTTTTTTCTTTTTTGGCTAAGCTTTCTTGTTTTGTTTTGTTTTTGAGACAGGGTCTCACTCTGTCACCCAGGCGGGAGTACAGTGGCATGATCACGGCTCACTGCAGCCTTGACCTTCCAGGCTCAAGCAATTCTCCCACCTCAGCCTCCTGAGTGGCTGGGACTACACATGTGCACCACCACATCTGAGTAATTTTAATTTTTTTTGCAGAGATGAAATCTCCCTATTTTGCCCAGGCTGGTCTCGAACCCCTGGGCTCAAGCGATTCTCCAGTCGTGGCCTCCCAAAGTGCTGGGATTACAGGCATGAGCCATTGTGCCCAGCAGGTTAAGTTTTTATCCAAAAATTAAGAAAGACCAAGGCTTTCACATTAAGAAACTTATCTACTCTCCAATAACTCACCATTGAAATAGGTGCCAGCACTCTTTAATCTGGAGCTATTCTAATGCCTTTTCTAATACCTACAGATTTCAGATGTTAAACCCTTAGGAGCTAATAACCTAACTTAGACATTTGGGCAGAATGAATTTAAAAATGTATTCTAGACCTACTCTGGATACTTCAAATATAGAATAGGTCTTTCTGATTGCCTGATGCTTGGGAAATAGTCTGTATTTTCTTAGTAACAGGAAGAATTTCTGTGACACCTTTGTAAGAACTTGTTTAGAAGACATATTAATCTTTTCTTCTATATGGTTATATCTATAAGGTATCTATATTGGTACCCAATATATAATAAGTATTTAATAAATATAAAACAAAGTACATACACTGATTCAGAACATCATTCTCATACCTTGGCAAATGCTCCTCCAAATAAGAAGACATTTATCTTGAACTTGTATAAAATTTATACTAAGATCAAAGGTTCAATGTAGCTTTCAGAGGGAGCTATTTTTGCAATTTCCAAGTATGTATTCCTGGTTATCTTCCTGACTGTCTCCAAACATGCAGTTATACTAGCATGATGGTTATGGTCAAATTAACCAAAAGTTAACCTCTATATTCATACATAGATCCTACCTAGTATTCTCATACCATATACTTTTACAAAGTTTAACAATTTATAGTCATATTTATTAATGAAGTTATTAATTACTGTTTCCCCACTGGACTTAAACTCCAAGAGGGTAAAGACCTTTTCTGTTTTGCTTACCACTGTATTCCCTCAATGCCATGCACATAATAGATATGAAGACATAATTAATATATGACTTCAAAGCCCCACACTCTTCAATGTCTTAACATTTAACTGCCTTTGAATCTTAGAACCAGGACGTTATCTTGAAACATTTATCAATTCCAAATTCCATGTGTTATGGGAAAAATTTAGGCCTCTTGATGGTTGAAGGGTTTGTCCAAGTCAACTTGCTCAAGTTAGAGGCAAAGCCAGGACTGGAAGCAAGGTCTCAACTTCCTGACATGTACTCAGACCATCTTAAGACTGATCTGAAAGCAATTTAAAAAAGAAAAGTTCTATATAAGTTCATATAATTCTATATTCCTGAACTTAGACATTGTATCCACTTTGACCAAGTATAGGTTAAAAAAGTAGAAAAACAGGAAAAGATCCAAAGAAAATTTACAAAAAGGCATGTGAAAATACCCTACAAGGAAACATTTTAAAAAATAACTACTTAGCTCAGAAAGATAAAGTTAAAAGGTCATTCTTCAGTCATCAAATATGTGAAGAATTTTTATGAAAGAAATAATGATTAGTTTTGTTTAGATCAAGGAGTTAAATGGTCTTGAGTTGAAATACAGCAGTATCAGCTGGGTCTTAACTTTCTGACAACAAAGGTAGAACTCTAGAAGAGACCAGTGTTGGTTACAGAGAGTTCCTGATTTGTTACTTTGTTAATTTAGTCAATAAACAAACATCTGTAGACCTTTTATTATGAGCATAGCACTCTGTAAGATACCTGCAATTTCAAATCTTCTATGTTGAATTTAATTAAACTATCCATCCTGGATGGTTAAATCATATCAAATTGTACCTTTACTCATTCACTCTTTTTATGTATTCCCTCCTCCAAAATGCCTGGAATCCATACTCTCCATTCCCACTGATGAAGGTTAAGCTTTTTTTGTATTTCACATGGAAAAGTTCAACAGCCTTTTAACAGGTCTTCCTGCTTTCAGTCTCTGCCTCATTCCAGTACAAATTTCTAAATGACACTAGAGTTAACATTCTATGACACAGATTTAATCATGTCATGGTCCTAATTAAAAAGCTCCATTTTGTAGTCCATCCACATATGATTATTTGAAGATTCCCTAAACATTGTCTTATCACAGTGCTTTTGTCTGTCTCATTCCCTCTGTTCAGAATGCCCTTCCCTGCTTTTGGTGAAATCTTATCCATCTCAATTTTTACTTTTTACCCAGCTCAAATTTTACTTCGGTCATAGTCAATCTTCTCAATCCCACAGCATACAGAATTAATTGCCCCCTCTCTACACATAATACATATTCTATAAACAATTAATTATGCTCTATTACAGTTATGTACCTGTCTCGTACCCAGCCAGACTATGAAATCTTTGAAGTTTATCTTTGATTTCCCAGTATATAACAAACATATAATAGGTTCTCGTTAAACATTTGCACAAATGAATCTTCCTATAAAGAAGTTGACTTAACATGGGAAAAAGTTCTGTTTCATAATTACAGACTGAAATTTTAGCTCAAGCTAATTTAACTCACAGGTACGTGTGTCACCCGTCACAAGGAATACCAAAAAAAAGAGCACCAACACATTGTTTCAAAAAACAAATGAGCACATAGATGGGTCAATGCTAATTCTTCTTCATCATCAGAAAAATAAAACGAACAAAAACAAAAAGTACATGGCTGAATGATGGTATAGAATAATTTGTCAGTAACTGAATTATTTCCACCTTTCCACCTCCCCCACTACATCTAGATGTGCTATTTGTTTCTACCTGCAGATTGACATTTTGAGGCTGAGGAAATACATGTATGATGTTTTTCACAGAGTAACAAGAATGGGAAAATAAACATTTGGATTCTGATTAAACCAAATAAAAGGAAAATCTAGCACAGAATAAAGGCCATTGTTGGTGCTTATATTTCAATCTTGTAAATGAAACTCACTTCTTATTGCTTAAATTTTATGATTTAAGCATCTTTTCTGAGTTGCCCAGCATTTCTTTGGTGGCTCATGATTTCCAATCTGAGTTCCTGATCCTTGCTACTGGACTTCCTTGGACTATGGCTCTCTTGCTAGCATATCACAGACTAGCAGGATTTTATGTTAATCCTGAGAACCAATCACAGGCTATTAAGTAAAGATTTCTGAGAGTCTTCAAGAGAAAGTGATCACTATGAGTCAATACGGATTTATGACGAATCCGAGTAATGTCATTTTCTTATTTGAAAGGGTAATTAGACTGGTAGATAAGGAAAATTCAATTGCTGTTATTAACTCTTCATGCTAGCAAGGCTTCTGACAGAAGCTGCTCATAACATGGAGCAAGATGCCAAACTGTGAGTTAGATTCAATCAGAGGATTAGCAACTGGCTGAGAAATCTTAAGGTACCCATAAGGTTCTGAATAATTGACCTAAATAGATACAAAGGAGAGGTCCATGTAATACAGCGGTTCTCAAACTTTATCATGCAACAGAATCAACTGGAGGGTCTATTCAAGCAAATTGCTGGGCCTCATCCCCAGAGTTCCCAATTCAGCAGGTGGGGCCCAAGATTTGCATTTCTAACAAGCTCCCACATGATGCTATTGCTGCTCATTTGGGGACCACATTTTGATGATGTACTGTATCTCAGGATATTGATGTTCTGTATCTAAGGATATGAATAACAGGTTTTGTTCAATATTTTGCTAATGACTTTGTTAAATATGTAGAAAGAATGATTACAAATCCACAGATATTAACTTTTGATATAAAAAGATCTCAACAGGCTAGCTATGGAACACATCTCAAAATTTATTAGGGATAACCTTAAAATCCTAAAATAAAAACCAACCACATATATATATAGGATAAGAAAAATAGAGCTTAGCAATCACCAAAAAAGGGGGGGAGGAATACACAGAGATAATAGAATCCTGTAGCTTCAATGATTTGGAAGTATATTCTAGCTACTGAAAAAGGTTTAACAGTTTTGGCTTTATTAATCAATTATAGAATATGAAACAATGTATTTGATAGCAAAGCTACATAATTATACTTGTTCTGTACACCTGAGTATCTCTATATTTAATCTGGGGCATCAGATATGAAAGAGAAGATAGTTAAACCAGTTTGTTCAGAGAAGATTTTTGGATCTAAAACTATATCACATAAGAAGAATAAGAATAAGGAATTATTGATGTCTGGCCTTCAGAAGATTTAGAGACATGTAAGAGCTGTTTTCATGTAACTGGCTTGTGGATAAGGATTTGTTTTTTCCTGTGTGACCCTAAGCCAAACTTCAGATATAGTTGTCAGGCTGCTTGCTATACACAGGTGCCCAACTGAGGAGAAAAATGGGAAGGAGAGAGCTAAATCCAGCTAATGTTTTATTTGATAAGCTATGTGCCTTCGTAGGGGCCAAGTCCAGATGGGAAAATAGTAACTTTCTCTAATTCCGATAAAGGGGGCAGGCAGCTCTAGAGGGTTTTTTCCTTTTACTGAGAACACCTTTTCTAATTTGCACAAAAACACAATATAGACTGGTGGTGACTCTAACCCTAAGGTAGAACTAGGTCTATTAAGAGAAATTTAGAGAGAAAGTGGTTTCAGTTCAGTGTGAGAGATTGATAGAGTGATGTATTGTATCGAAATGTATTTTCTGAAGAGTAATCTCCCAAATTGGATGTTCAAGGAATGGCTGGACAATTACTTGGCAGGTTTATTATAGAAAGGATTTCAAGATGGAGGAGTGTGTGAGCATATCTATGTTATTAACAGGTGTGTGAAGAAACTCAATGATCTTTTAGCTTCTAGGATTCCCCATCTGAACTACCTGCCTTTCCTCTTCTTCATATTCCAGTTGATTTCCATGGTATCCTGACCTTTTCTCTTCACAGACTTACCAGGCACTCTAGCCTTTCTACTACCTAGCCAGATTTTTCTTCTTGCCTCCCTTTCTTCTCCTTTCCCTGCTCTAATATGCAGAAAGCATACATACTGCATTAAAATTGAGAATAAGCTTTGTATATTTAAAGAACTACTTTCCTCCAGATTTAAACAGAAATACTTAACATGAAAACTTATTTTTAAAATTCTTTTAACATATTTATTAGAGAAAGCTAAGTTTCATTTTTTAAACGATTTATATATCAATCACTGAAAGTCAGAAGTTGAGGGGTGGATGGTTTTTTTGCACCAGAAAGACTTCTTTATCCATGCTATATTACTTAAGTAAAAAGATGTCTTTTGGAAAAGAGAACACCAGAGATAGTGAAATAAACACAAAAATTTTTAATCAATTTTTTTTGTCCCATCAGTAGTAAATGCATGTTACTGTATTCAGAAGTAATGATTAAGGTAATACAGAAGTATTAAGAAGTAGAGCCAACCATAGGCAAAATCTTAAAGGAATCCGAGTTGTCTTCCGTGGTTTGTCTTTGGAGTCCTGGTCTCTCCCTTTTCATATCTACAGTGCCAGGACCTTAACCCCCATCAGGCTAGGGTTTACCCCTCTTGCAAATGGCCCCAGGCTTTTTTGAGTTATAGCTCATACTCAGGACCTTTCTTGGTCTTTTCCAAGAGACTAGCTCTTAAAGAAAACATCAGAGTTTTAAAAGGAGCCTCTAGTAACTCTGCCCAAAGGAGTATCTGAAAGTGGAAACTATCCTATGGCAGGATAGTGAGGCAAAGATTCCAGGGTGTTTGGGCCTTTCTCCAAATGTCAATAGGCTAGAGAGGTAAGAGAATAGGGAGAAGATTTAGACAACTGAACTTGTCTAATCAAACAGTAATTTCCATCTTTGAGCAATAAATTTAATTTAGAAGACACATCAAATGCCAAAAAGGTAGTTTAATCGTTTAGTTATTTTGAAGCCATACTAAAGATGTAATACAGTAATCCCCTCTTACCCATGGGGGATATGTTCCAAGTCCCCCAATGGATGCCTGAAACTGCAGATAGTAATGAACGTTATATTAATTATGTTTTTTCACATACATACATATATACCTATGATAAAGCTTAACTTAAAAATTAGGCACAGGGCTAGGCACGGTGGTTCATGCCTGTAATCCCAGCACTTTGGGAGGCCGAGGCAGGTGGATCACCTGAGGTTAGGAGTTTGAGACCAGCCTGGCCAATATGTTGAAACCCCGTCTCTATTAAAAATACAAAAAATTAGCCGGGCCTGGTGGCAGGCACCTATAGTCTCAGCTACTCAGGAGGCTGAGGCGGGAGAATTGCTGGAACCCAGGAGGCAGAGGTGCAGTGAGCCAAGATTGTGCCACTGCACTCCAGCCTGGGAGACACAGCGAGACCCTGCCTCAAAAAAAAAAAAAATTAGGCACAATAAGAGATTAACAACAAAAATAATAAAATAGAGGACATACGACAATATACTGTAATGAAAGTTATGTAAATGTGGTTATCTTTCTCTCTTACACACAAAATGTCTTAATGTACTATACAGCAGGTAACAAAAACTGCAGAAAGCAAAACTGTGGATAAGAGGGACTACTGTAACACGAAAATGTCTTGAGCAATGCTTATATAAGATATTTATACAGACAATGTCATACTGGAATGATCTCATAAGACAACTTTTAAAGAAACTTAAGAAACCAGTTTCAAAGTATTTGTGGAATGGGAATAAAAATTACTTTCAGCTTAAAAGCTTATAAAAATGGCCAGGCACAGTAGCTCACGCCTCTAATTCCAGCATTTTGGGATGCCAAGGCAGGAGGATGACTTGAGGCCAGGAGTTTGAGACCAGTCTGGGCAACACAGCAACACCTCATCTGTAATTTAAAAAAAAAAAAAAAAACTTGTAAAAAAAAAAAAAAAGTGTTTCTTAGGGATATTGTTGTAAATACAAAATAGGCCAAGGGTAGCTCATGCCTATAATCCCAGCACTTTGGGAGGCTGAGGTGGGCAGATCACTTGAGGCCAGGAGTTTGCGACCAGCCTGACCAATGTGGCAAAAGCCCGTCTCTACTAAAAATACAAAAATTAGCTGAGTGTGTTGGCACACACCTGTAGTTCCAGCTACTTGGGAGGCTGAGGCACAAGAATCGCTTGAATCCAGAAGGCAGAGGTTGCAGTGAGCTGAGACTGTGCCACTGCACTCCAGCCTGGGTGACAGAGTGAGACTCTGTCTCAAAAAACTAAAACATAAATATATAAATAAATATTTGTCAAACAATAGCTTTACTTTGAGAAAGAAATATAATAAAGGTTTTCTAATTAGAGAAAATTAAAAATGCTTTCTGGGAAAAGAAAATTAATCTTTCTCTTCCCTAGGAAAAAAACCATTTTTCTTTTGTTTTCTAAATAAACATTTCTTTTTTTTTAAATAAATGGGTAGGTTTTTAGAAACTTTGGAGTGTGTGTGTGTGTGTGTGTGTGTGTGTGTGTGTGTGGTGTGCAACAGACAATTGATCTTGTCCAAAGAGCCTATCTAATTATTTTCTATAATATTAATGATGTTTTTCCTAGCACAATGCCTTATACAGAGTGGGCACAAACTATTTGATATCTGTTGAAAAAAATCAGTCATTTCTGCTTCAGTTGCAAACTGCTGACATTTAATTTTTTAATGTCTTTCACAAAGAATACATTATTGCAAATTTTTCCTCAGACAAATATTTTATAATCCTTCTTGTGCCCCACTGATTTTCAATTTATCAACTGTGGTGCCTGATAGAATTGTCAACCAGGGATTTTCATTGTTTAATCAGTGTACCACTTATTTGAAAGCACTGCTTGAAAATTGCTCACATATACTCATATCTTGTACTTAAAGAATTATAATTTGAGGGTTGATAAAACCCATATCCAAAAGCACATGTAACAAGGCTAATGACCAAATAGCATATCCAGTTTTGAAGCTGATTGACTAACATCAACATTAGATTATGGAATCTGCTAGCCTTGTTACCTAAAAAAAAATAAAGTGAAAAACAATGGCAATACTAAAGCCTTGTGAAATCTAAGGAAAGGAGAAACAAAAATTCAGAAATTTCATTTGGAATGCAAGGTCCTGAGCTTATTCTTCTAGCAAGTATCTAAAAAGTTACTTACAGGGCAAGTAAGAATGACAGAATCATTTCATTCATTTATGACAAACATTAGGAGAGTCCTAGAAAAAGGCAAGAATGACCAGACAAGGAATAATGGGGAAAATGAATCATGTTTTTAAATATACCAATCTGGAATGCCACTTCAGTGCCTCTCTCTAGAGGCCCTAAATGTGAAGCTGAGATATTTTTATCTTCCTGTTTCAGGAAGTTAGCCCTACTCCTAAGGCTGCTAAAAGTTTAGCTGAACCAGGCCTTCTCCCTCCTTTCTGAACTATCCTGCTAAATACATTTTTTCATATAATTTAAGCATAGATTCCTAGTAATACATAAGAATAAACCAATATAGTACTTACATTCACACTGTATGACATCTAAGTTAAACTGCTGAACAGCTCCCATGCTTATTTGTTTTAACTCACTGTCCAGTAGCATCTGCATTAAGGATGTTGACAGATGCTGGCAGGCTGACATGCAAGCTGTCTGAGCAACTTTCCCCTGTTTAAAACAATCAAACCAAAAATCAAACAAATAAACACACATAGAAATACATCATAAAGAATCAGAAAAATCATACACCTGGCATTCTTTTTGTTGCTTATGCTTGGTACAATAGTGGTTACTTTCCTTCCTGTTTCTGTATTCTGAGTGGTTATACCTTTATATCATAGAAATTAACATTAATATTCTTAGTTTACTTGGCTTTCTCAGGATATAAATATCATTAAAGCTCTAACTGCACAAAGGAAAATTAAAATACCAGTTAAAAACTATTATTTCAGATCTCTTGAAATACTGAAAGCACTTTAGAAATGCATATTAAAATGACACTTATGACATAAAATAAGTCATACTGACAGAACATTTTATCCATTTAATGCTCCTTAATCTCTCCTTTAGCTAATTAACCAAGTCAGAATAAAGGAAGTTAACAGTATAATTTACTATTATTGCTATTTAAATTACAGCTAAAATTCAAAATACCCTTTGAATCATAAGTCCTTACTTCTAATCAGAACATTAGTCTATAGCATAGCTTCAATCACTGGCAGAAAAAAAAAGGTTTGTCTACCAATATGACTTCAAGATTATCTACAGATGTGCATTTAGCTTTAGAAATTCAGTTTTTAAATCATCTGGTAGGTTGGAAGTATGTGGTTGAATACTTGTGGTTTTCTTTCAGTATAATATACATCATTAAAAAATATTTCCTACTATAATAATCTCCTAAAACTCTACATGAACTTTACTGATGGCCTAAATTGTTTTCTTAAAAATGGCCTTTTTAAATGTTTAGCCTCTGCATTACACAGCTGACTCACAAAACTACATCACTTTTAGTGTAAATTAATTTTTTTTTTTTTTGAGACAGAGTCTCACTCTGTGGCCAGGGCTGGCGCAATCTCGGCTCACTGCAAGCTCTGCCTCCTGGGTTCACACCATTCTCCTGCCTCAGCCTCCCAAGTAGCTGGGACTACAGGTGCCCACCACCACGCCTGGCTAATTTTTTGTGTTTTCAGTAGAGACAGAGTTTCACCATGTTAGCCAGGATGGTCTCGATCTGACCTTGTGATCCGCCCGCCTTGGCCTCCCAAAGATAAATTATTTTTTTAAACAGGTTTTGCATTTCAACTAGAGGTTTAAAATATTATAAAAACTCTTTTAGGTAAAGTTCTCCTGCATAATACTGCTCCTAGGATGGCTACCTTCAACTGACAATCATGTGATTTCATGATGGAATGACTACTATGATAGGATTCAAAGATCTATGAATATCATCAGAAATAATTACTTTTGGAAGACATGCCATGTTTTGCCTCGTTTGCATTAACAAATATTTACCCAGTCATATTTGATAATTATATTTTTCCTACTTATCTCAAAGGCCAGAAAGCTACAAAATCGTGACCAAAATCTCCCAAACAGAAATGTTACAATATATTAGTACAAAAACATATTACATAGGGTTGATTTGTGAAAAAGGTAATAAAGAACATAAATACATTTTCAAGATGCTTATTACAACATTTGTTAAATCACACATTAAAAGTCAGACTAGAAACAAACAACTTTTTGAATGAGTTTTTTGCATTTAGACACTATGCACAGTGAAAAACTGCATATGTGAAACGGAATGTCAATTTCTCAATCGAAAACTTAAGAGATAAAAGCCGATGCAAACAATATATTTGACAGATACTGATGAACTGCCAAAAAGGAATGTAACAAACAATGCAAAACCCAGCATGATCCAAGATCCCCCAAACTCAAGAGGAATTAGTCTGGGAGACATGCAGCTCCATTCCCCAAGCAGAATAATATCAATATGAATGAGAAGTGGGGAAGCAGAGAAAGGAGAAATCAATGGCATGTCATTTAATTACAATGTAATAGGCTTCAGAATACTTAATGGAAATGTCATTTTGACCTAATGGAACAACTAGTGCATTTTAGTTTAATGTGCTTCTCCATCAAATCAGCTCCATGTCCTATGCATGCTGCCACTATCATGTACTAACTACAAAAGCTGATTAATAAATTGCCAGAAAATTACTATTAAATTAATTTCATAAGCAAACACACTGTACAATATAAGTGGTATTGTTTTATGTAAACTTTTAAAATTTAACATGGGTTCAGACGCTACAAATGATTACATAGCAATAGCACTGGAGCTGAAAACGATGGTAAGAGTAGACACAGGCTATTCCAGAAACCTGGTGGAAATAAGTAATGAAAACACACATGCACACATACATACACACACACAAATTTAGCTCTTTATTTAAATATCATGCGTAATACTAAAATCCTAACATTGAATTTCTTTTGATTAGGCATACTAAATCCAGGCTTATTGTTCTCAAAGATAGAAGATTAAAATATTTATAAAATATTTTATAAATCTTCAGATGAAATAAATAGCTCAAAATTTAAGTTCACAATATCAAAAGTTCAGATTCTTTAAAATTTTTAAAAGTTATATTCCATAAGATTATACAATATTTTTTAAATGTCTACTTTGTAACTATAAAATGTATACAACTATTCTTAAACTTCATGTACTACATATTTTTAGATAGAAATGTTAACACTCCAAAAATTTACACACCCGAAAATATATTTGAAAATTTATTTTTAATGTCTATAGCCATTGGCACACTCTGGTATAATCTTCTGAACACTATTATTATTATTATTATTATTGATGCCTTTAATAATATATCATTTTCTAGAATAAAAATAGTCTGAGTACTTTTACAACGATCTTTTAAAAACTAGCCCTTTTCATTAGAGACGCTCTAGTTTTTAACATTAACAAAAAAAGCCAAAATAATTAAGTGAAGTGACTGAGAAAACACAGCACATTTAATAAATTTCAAGCACCTCAAAATTTCTCTTGCCCTCATCTGAAAAATTAATTGCAACTATTACCAACATTTTCCCTCTCTCTACAAAGTTCAATAAATAAGTAAAAACACCTGCTAAGCTTTTAAAGTTAACTACTTTTTTACCCTGCTCTAACATTTGGCTGAAAACAACTTGCAAAGAGAGAAAACCCTTAGACAAACTTCTTATATTTCAAAGGACTTGTAAAAGAGAATCTGCTGACATATTAGATCCTTTTTGCATTACCGAAAAGCTTTTCTTCTAAGAACAATTGTGGTAAAGAGACATTTGGCTCCTAGGAAATTCCCAAAGGGTCAACCATATGCATCCTTCCATGGCACCTTCACAGTGCTGCTTTCTAGATTCATGTCTCAAAAACAGCTTTCATCATTTACTTGTGTGTCAGTCAATATGATTTATGGACTGCATTCAACAAAGTCAAAGCATATAGAATGAGAAATATGACTACAATCTGCTAATTTGTTTTGTATTGAGCCACTTAAGAGTCAAAGACCTGATGTCAGACTGAGACCAGTAACACAATTAACCAGCCGGTGACAGATTCATCCATCCTCCCTGCCAGGCTGTGCCAATCAAAGACAGCATGAGGCGACATTTGGTGAAATCAGTAAGAAAACTCATTCTCTAAGTAACCTATGTGAGACCTTGATTGACACTTTTTGAATTTAGTTTGTGGAACACAGCCACTCTTTACCCAATAGTCCCTCACTGCAAGCTGTGAAATAAGGCTTTTAATGCCAATCACAGGAACAATAAACCACAAACCACCAACCCTCAGTTTAAAAGGAATTAAGAAAACACATCTGCTTGTATGTCAAGACAAATTTCCAAAATAATTTACTATCATAGATTAGGCTAAAGACACTCTGTTTCCTGTGAAATATCATAAAATAACAAGGTAAAAACACAACATAGTTTATTAGATTATGGCTCAAAACTGGTTTGTTTTGAAAGTAATGTTTTCATGATCTACTCTAATATAATTGTAAGAGAAATGTAGAACACTTAAAAACTAATTTGGCCCATTTAAATTTTCATTTGAAGTTTTCATTTGTGTCTTACCATTTTCTTATTTCAAAGGTCTATTAAAAAAAGGTTTGATTTCAACAGTAATTATTTGAAAGCACTTTACAATGCTGCTTTCATTCTCTCAAGTACATTTAATGTTAAAATGTGCTCTTGAAATCACATTCTTTCCGTATTGGTCTACTCATCCTTAATGATTCCAGGAGAGTCCATTTTTCTTTATTTATATTCCCACAAAAGGTTAACTTTGTACAATAAACTACTTTTTTACTTAAGTAAAAAGAAATACACAGACTCAAATATATTGTACAACATATTATTCTTTACATTGATAAAAGGTTTTGTTTAAAAAGTCTAACTCTTGTCAAAGAAAAAAGGAAAAACGAAATAAAATCATGGTCAATTTGGATATTAAACCTAACACTGATAAGTGACTTCATTAATTCTGATTCTGTATGGCTTTTTAAAGTTACCTAAATTAACGCAGTAAAATATTATCATTTTATACAAACTCACTATCATCATTTGCTACATAAATTTCAGTTATGAGAATATGAAACAGTCTTTTTCAGAAGCAAAAGAAGGGAAGTATTTTAATGAATTAAATTTTTAATTCATTAATGAATGAATAAATTCATAAATTAATGAATTTAATTTCATTTCAGTATGTGTATTTTAAAAGGTTATAAATTGTAGCTCTCCTAAAGAGTATGTGTATTTTAAAATGTTATAAATTGTAGCTCTTTTAAATTTTAAATTTAAATTTTAAAATACACATACTGAAAGAATGAGGTATTTCATCAGATGGAAACACTAAAATTAAAAATTAAAAATAGTTAATTGAAATATTAAAAAAGAGGTATAGTTGAAAAACAGGTATTTTAATTCAAGAAATCTGTTACTCTTCCATTTTATATAAGAACCACTAATCTAGAGTTTTACTATATGGAACATCTTGTTCAAATGTAAATACTGTTATGAAATCAGGAAAAAGATACCTAAAACACAGAATATGAAACTTTCCCCAAGATTATTTCACAAATGCACAAGAATTTCTGTACCTAGTAAGATCAGTTTTAATTCATTTTCTGGCTGAACACTGTACATAACACTGAAATGTCTGATTCTCAATAATATAGAATAGATATGTTATAAAGGTTTAAATATCAAGATGAATTCCCTTAGTGAGTTCAAATAACATTAATACTACCTTGAAGACAAATTTTTTTTTTTTTTTTTTTTTTTTTGAGACAGAGTCTTGATCTTTCACCCAGGCTGGAGAGCAATGGAAGGATCTCGGCTCACGCAACCTCCACCTCCCAGGTTCAAGCAATTCTCATGCCTCAGCCTCCCAAGTAGCTGGGATTACAGGCATCTGCCATCATGCCCGGCTAATTTTTGTATTTTTGTAGAGACAGGGTTTCACCATGTTGGCCAGGCTGGTCTTGAACTCCTGACCCCAGGGGATCGGCCCACCTGAAGACAAATTTTTGAAATTATGCTCTAAAATTCATAGATCAAAATATACTCATTTTAACACCCACAACATTCCCCCAAATACCTCTTTACACTCTATATTCCTCTTATACTCTATTTCTGTCCATCTCTAACTACTTCCAGCCCTGAAAGAATGAATTGGGACACATCAGTTTACCACAATCCCACAGTCAACTATAAATTCCCATTCTCCCCTCTCAGGTTGTTCTCCTTCCAACAATTACCAATCATAAGGGTATGAGACAGTAACAGAAATGTCTACTCTTAAGACACACACACATACAGAGAGAGAGAGAGAGAGAGAGAGAGAGAAATAGAACGTGATCATCTTAAAGTTGAAAAATTTTTTCCTGAACTGGGAAAACCACAGGACTGCATAATACATGGCGTATTTTTACTTCCCTCAAAACTTCCCCTATCCCAATCATAGGGCTTATCAAACTTTGGCAGTCTTTTTGTTTGTTAAACAATCTTTTGAGTATGGCCTTAGAAGGCATGCAGTATCCAAATTTTTAGCTTTCTACAAGTATCACTGCTTCTGCCATGGCAGTCCCATGATATTGCCAAACTCACCCTAACTTTTGTTTTTTTTTTTTTTTTTTGAGATGGAGTCTCACTCTGTCACCCAGGCTGGAGTGCAGTGGCACCATTTCGGCTCACTGCAACCTCCGCCTCCCAGGTTCAAGCGATTCTTATGCCTCAGCCTCCCGAGTAGCTGTGACTACAGGCGTGAGGGACCATGCCCGGCTAATATTTGTGTTTTTGGTAGAGACGGGGTGTCACCATATTGGCCAGGCTGGTCTCAAACTCCTGACCTCATAATCCGCCCACCTCGGCCTCCCAAAGTGCTGGGATTACAGGTGTGAGGCACCACACCTGGCCAGACTCTGTCTTGGGAAAAAAAAAAAAAAGTTGCCAGAATCACTAATGGTTTAGACAACAGAAGTGGTTTACATATAATCATTAATTAGTAAAGTTGACAAATGTCACTCAAGCAAACTGGCTTCCCTTTCATAGATGTAGGTGGCAGACTATTATAAACAGCCATACACAAAAAGATAGCACAAAGTAGGTCTTTGTCACTCATGAATTTGTATTTAGGTTTCAATTCTTGATATTGACTCTCAGAGTCTAGTACAAGCAGAACTTCATTTGCTGAGGCACACATTTGAATAACATGTTCTGTGAAACGGGTTATGATGGGGGAAAAAATGACTCAGAGACTGAGTGCAGTCAAAGTCTCAACCTCCCTGGGGTTGGGGGAGGGAGAGCATTGGGATAAACAGATAATGCATGCTGGGCTTAATACCTAGGTGATGGGTTGACAGGGGCAATAAACCACCATGGCACATGTTTACTTATATAACAAACCTGCACATCCTGCACATGTACCCTGGAACTTAAAATAGAAAAAAAACACAGAAAAACAGTCTCAACCTTCCTAACACAACGTGGCTTTGCTTTCTTCTGTTAGTTAACATGAATGAAGTAACTCTCATTAAGGTCTACAGCTTCAATTGCATTTTATATAGGTCTTTCCTAATCCACTGGCTTCCTACTAAAACTCTCGTGTTGTTTCCTTTTAAAAGCCCTTTCATTACTACTACTTCCAACTAAGCCCTGACCGAGGGCAATTCAAAATATTGTTTTCTGCAATGTTTGACATCAGGAAAATATTTAAGTATGCTATGCTATATACAAACTTAAGACTTATAATTTATGAAATTAAATTTCTCACCAAGATTAGCCAGAACTTGGCTAACTTAGACAACTTAGTAAATGTCTAAAAGGATTAAAGTTACGAAATACAAATATGTTCATTTTCAACTAAGAAGCAAGATTTTAAAAAATTAACATCTAGTAGTGAAAATCAACTGTTTTATAACATTAAGAAAAAGCTTAATAAGAAAAAAATTCTATTTCAAAGAGTGGACCTTGACTATTTCCAAATTTTTCAAATATTTTGTCTCAAAGTTTTTTTAACTCTTTCCAATACAGGGATATATTATATTGTCAATGGTTTGTTCATGTTGATTTTTGTATACCTGGAATTAACTCATAACAATGGATATAATATAAAAATGGATATCAAAATATGTCATAGAAATACCACTTTGATTCCCACAGAAATAACTACAACATAAAGAACTTTTTGAAAATACTCGATATTCAAGTGCCAAACTTTCAAAATCTCTAATGCAAATTTATCTAAAACTGATCCCATTATCTGTCCCTGCCTCCTTAAACTGACAATAACAATTTGAGTTTTTGGATGGCCGGTCAGTTTTACTTCTGAATATCACTTCTGTATGTTGAATTATATGGTTCATCAGCAGGAAGTCTGTTAGCAAGCTTAATAAGCACTCAATGATTATTATATCGAGTGAGTAAAAAGGGCAAATGAAAGCCTAAGGGTCTGTGTCTTCAACAGGACAAAGTATTTCTCCTTAATGTTGGGAATTTGCAACAGTTATTCTGGTGCTAAAGGGTCTTTTGTTTTGATCACTACTAAATTTACAGTTGAGTCTAGAGAGCTGTGGTTTTAGTTACTGTATTTTTCCTTCACTGAGGTGTGCAAGAAATGAGTAAAGTATAAATACAAATATTTCTAATCAGTACTGGTATCATCTTTACTAAACTCTCATACAGATATTTTCCAAGTTTCTGCCTGAGAATAATAGATTGCACCTTCACTTCAAAACTAGAAAGTATTCTCTATTTGACAAATTTCAATTTGGAAATTGATTTTTTAGGCAGTATACTTTTATACGCTTTATACAAACAAGAAAATGACCTTCATGTTGTCCATTTCTTCACTCTTTCATACTTAACAAAACACTTATCAAGCAACTACTTTGTGTAAGACACTGTGTTAAGTATTACCGAATATACAAAGATGAATAGATGTAGTTCCTGACATAAGAGGTGTAAGTTCTACAATAAGGAAAAGAAGGCAAGTCTACAAACAGCAGTAGTATAAAATAAAAACAGGACCATAAAAGCAAGACAAAGTATCCACATGCAGTTAAGTGGAATCAGCAAAGGCTTTGTGAAAGAGGTTGCATTAGAATGTCTTTGGGAAGAGATCCAGGATTTTTACAGTTATAAATAAAGCTAAGACAGAAAATCCAAGATAGATCCAAGACACAATGAATATGCCAGTTTGGATGCACATGTTTAGTAATGGTCAGAAATGCGTGTGTGTGTGTGTGTGTGTGTGTGTGTGTGTGTGTGTGTATTTTTTGTAGAGATGGGGTTTTGTCATGTCAGCAGTGATCTTGAACTCCTGGCCTCAAGTGATCCACCTGCCTCGGCCTCCCAATATGTTGGGATTACAGGCATGAGCCACCGTGTCCGGCCTCAGAAATATATGTGGAAAGAGGCTGAGATAATTTTCTTTTTGCTAGCCTGTGGAATTTCTACTTAATTCAATAGATAATCAAGAACCCCTGATGTTTCTGAATAGGGAAATAAAATTAGACTGTGCTTCAGAAAGAATAATCTAGCACTGGTATATAGGATGGACTGAAGTAAGGAGACACTGTTGGTAGAGACCAATTAGAAGACAATTACATTAATCAAAACTTGAACTTCAGTAACAGGAATAAGAACAGAAAGAAGAGGATATAGGTTAGGAACACTTGCATTTCAAATGCTAGATAAGATTTTGTTTTTCCCTAAGAAGAATTTTCAATATTTATACATTCAAAGAATACTTGTTAGTTCTTATTCTGTCAAGAGCTCACAAGTAAAGGTGAAAAAGACAAATACGGAAAAAAAGCAAAATACGATAAAGCCGTAAAAAAGGTAAGAGCTAAGGCAATTCAGAAGACCAATACTGGGCTGGGATGAGAAAGAAATACCTGCACTGGGTCATGAATCACACTGGGTCATGCACTGGGTTAGACTTCTACGAGTGCAGTTTGGGATCAGGGTAGTAGAGAAAAAGCATTCAGGAAAAGCATAAACCATCTTTGAAACAAGTAACGATAACAACTAATATTTTTTGAGTATTTATTATATGCCAAGCACTTTTCTAAACATTTTAGGTATACTATTTCATTTAAGCTCACAAAAATCTGTAGGGTATATGTTGCCACATACCTCATTTTACAGATGAGGAAAGACCACAGAGAAGTTTCCAAATGCACCTTAATATTAAGATGCATTTGAGGTGAGTGCAGTGCTTTTACAATCTAGTCTCAGAGAATCTTGACTGCTTCACAAACAACTAATATTACCTTCAAATTTAGGTTTCCACAAAACTAAAAATTTATCAAGGATGTTGCCAAAGTAATTAGCCTTTAATTTAAATACCTAAGCAGAGAAAAATAAGCCTGCAGGAAATTCATTATTTTCTAATGTACATGCTAGCTTTAGTTTATATCTACTTACCGACATGGCTGCATGATCATTGTTGTTAGTCTGAGAAGGAAGTCAGCAAGGCAATCAAATAAAAAAGGAAAATGTATTCTAATCACAGCAGAATCAGTGTTTAAAGTAGCAAAAGGGAATATACTCTAAAACAAGCAAGTTCTTTCTGTGTTTGTTGCTAATTTAGAGGCATTCATCTATCACATAAATGTGACCATAATTTTTTATTTTGAAGATTTAGGCATGAGTTTTTACATCCATACTAATTAGACAAATCCTCCTCCAAACTTTTGTCTCTCTCATCAAGTTGTCTAGTCAGAATTAAAAAACCAAGAGCTTTAGCACTTATGTCTACTGAATAAGCAAATTTAGAACACATCAGTTCTTTGACAAGGTTCTGTGCTACAGAGCAGTGATTCTCAAATATTAAGCAACAAATGCAGCTTGTTAAGCTTCAAAAATTTTAGTTGTTAGGTCTAGGGCCAAGCACTGGAATCTAAATATTTAACAAGAAGCTCTTCCCACAGATGATTTTAATACAGAAAGAAATGTCAATTTCTTCAAAAACGACAAAACTATAGAGAATATATTATTCTGAAGATGCTTAGGATAAGTCTACTTCTTCACATAATCTGCTAATACAGCTTAAATAAATTACTCGAGGAAAGACGGCACACTAAATTATTTTACAGCTAATTATTTAAATGTTTTGTCTCCCCTAAGGAGTGAATAGCAAGTCAAAGTAAAAACTAAATCACTGGTCTCAATTTAAATACATATATGCCCCTGCCGTAGTTCTGTACTAATTATAAGGTACTGGCTTATTCCTTAAAAACATTAAGGATTAAACATTAATTCCATAAATAATAAGAATTAATTAAACTATCCTTAAAGTACTATTTAATTTTTTAAATTACCTAATTTACTTTTCAAATTTTAATAATAAAATATATGGTATTCAAGTACTTTTTTTTTTTTTTTTAGAAAAAGATATTTACCCAGATATGTGGATTTAACTTTATTATATTAGGTCAATGAAACCAGAATTTATGTATTAGTGGAAGCTGAACTTCCAGTATCGCCTAGACTGAAGGTCCCCCTCCATATGGGAAGCTGCCCTCTTCACCAAATACACAATGAGTAAAGGAGAAACCACAAGCAGAAATGGAAGAAGCAGATACTCACTAGCCAGGCTGGTCAACCTAATTAACCCTAGTAGGCAGTGGGACAGCAGTTGTGTTAACCAGACAAAGAACTCTTCTGGAAGACTGGAATAGACCCTAGATAAACACTAACTTTTTTCTAGATTAACTTCGAATAAATTTTATTTGCATTAGTAAAATTATCCCACCATCATAGTTATTTTATTCAACTATATTTTCCACATTCTTTAATCTTTCAAAGTGTATATAAAGATGTCTTAGGAGATATAAAGGCCACAAAGTTAAGATGAAATTCAGATAAAATTTAGTAACCTAGTCAATAAAAGTCAGTCAACAACATTCAACATATAACTACCATGTATGTCACAGGATGTGATAATGAAAGTATCACAGTTCACAATATATCATTTTTACATGAATTAGATTCAATAAATCACATCAACATTAATCAATGCCATTATAAATTTTTAAAAATTAACATTCAAGTAAGAAAAACCAATTTTTAAGGATATATATATATATACAATATATGGTTATATTTTCATTTGATAGGGAAAACACATAAATGTATTCAAAGCTGCCTACGTCATAATTTAAAAATTGCAATCCTTGTATTTTTCAATTCTTTTTGGTGTCACATAAAATAAAGGGTTATTAAAGCCATGATTGTACTGTTGACTACTACCTTTTTCCTTTACAGTTTTCAATCATGTAAAAGGCCATCTGAACCCATATACTTAGAAAAAAGTGTGAACCAAAAAATAAAGGGCAGAAAAGTGCAGAGCTAAAAGAGGACATGAGGTGTCAGAATAAGTAAATCAACATTTGGATTGAAACGTTACATTTGTCTGAAAGAATGATGCTTACAAACATACAATATTATATACAGGGACTTTAGAGATGATCTAATCTTCTAGGAGAAGGAAGCAAGTTGTTCAGAATCAAGATGGCAGACTAAGTTAATGTTTACTCGTATCCTGAGATACGAGTAAAATAAAAAGTATAGAACTTCAAAAAAGAATAAAATGTTTTCAACAGCAGAAAAAAATGAAGGTGTATGTGGGAATTCATGAACGGGTGCTTTCTGCAAGACAGAAAGCAGATGAAACAGAGAAAAGAAAGCCACTGCCCGTTATATGCTAACAGAGAAGTAGTACAGTAGAGCTTGGAGCCAGCTGTGCATTAGAAGTCCAGAGTTGCAGGTATGAATGAGGATAAAAATGAGAAACGGGATGGAAAACAGGGAAAATAACTGAAGATTTCTGAAACAATTGTACCAATGATCCCCCACCCAGAGGGCCAGAGAGCACAGGCAATTACCCTAATGAAAGAATATTTTGGGGAGAGCTGAGGATCCTGATGCAGGGAGAAGTAAAGGGGAGCACAGGAGAGCAGAGGGGGATGGGGCAAAAGGAGGAAGAGGGAGAAGAAGGAAAGGGAATACATTCTCTTGATGTTTCTTAGAATTCAGGTTTTGTTTTGTTTTGTTTTGTTTTGTTTTTGAGACAAGGTCTTGCTCTGTTGCCCAGGCTGGAGTGCAGTGATGCAATCATGGCTCACTGCAGCCTAGACTTCCTGGGCTCAAGCGATCCTCCCACCTTAGCCTCCCAAGTAGCTGGGACTACAGGTGTGTGCCACCACACCCGGCTGATTTTTTGTATTTTTTGTAGAGACAGGGTTTCGCCACATTGCCCAGGCTGAAGAATTCAAATTTTAAAACAGATACTAAAACCTGGATGCCAGAAGACAATGAAGAAATGCAATGAAAGTACACAGAAAAAGCTAATCAACCTATAATTATATAACCAGCCAAACTATCAATCAAGCATGAAGACAGAAGACATTTTCTAATATGCAAAGACTTAAATAGTATATTTCCCTTTTGTGGGAGAGTTATTAAAGTTACTGAAGTTTTACGGGAATTCAGCAAAACCGACTGGTAATTTTAAAAAAACAACAACAAAACAAAACAAAACAAAAAAACAAGAAGCCTGGGATCCAAGAAACAGTTCCTACCACAGGAGAGCAAGGAACAAAAGTCCCAGGGTAACAGCTATGCCCCAATTCTAGAGAGCAACCGGTACTGGTTAGGGACAAAGACCTCTTAAAAGAGGCCTCTTGGAAAGAAGACATTTTCACACAACTGAAGGAAAGGAAATTAGAACACTCAATATGATGAAGGTACAATATTCACTCATCAAAAAGGAAAAAAATATGTTTTAAATATTAAGTCAACTAAAATGTGTATAATTTCATTAAATAATGGAGTATAATTTTAAAAAATCTATTTGGCCATGATGCTAGAATTATTCTCCTTCAAGTGCCCAGAACTTGGATACTGGACCCCAAAATGAAAGGAAAACAAAAAATGCAAGCATACTATGCTTTGTGTAAAGGGAACAATATGGGCATAATCATAACAAACACCAGTACTGTTTACTGGTGTTTAGCTTGGAAAGCCAGCCTACGAGAAAGGATAGATTTGATTGTGGTTGTCAGAATGTAAATACTAATAACCTGAATAAAGATAAAAATAATAGTATAGCTATCAGAAGAGAATAGATGGAAGAACTGATGGAGCAAAGGAGAGGAAGGCTAACTCCCTTATTTCAAATAGAAGGGAATTAAGATACTGATTAAAGTAGAAAGAACCAGAAATAGAAGTACAGTATAACTATTTTATATAAAGAAATAGGCTTGGCGCAGTGGCTCGTGCCTATAATCCTATCACTTTGGGAGGCCAGTGTGGGTGGATCACTTGAGGCCAGGAGTTCGAGACCAGCCTGGCCAAAACAGTGAAACCCCATCTCTACTAAAACTACAAAAATTAGTAGGGCGTGGTGGCGCACGCCTGTAATTATCCAGCTACTCAGGAGGCTGGGGCACAAGAATAACTTGAACCCGGAAGGAGGAGGTTGCAGTAAGCCAAGATCCCTCACGCCAATGCACTACAGCCTGGGCAACACAGTGAGACTCTGTCTCAAAAAAAAAAAAAAAAAAGAAGAAGAAAGAAAGAAATAGAAGAGATTTTAAAATGTAACAATCAATACTTTAAAAAAGGGGAAGGGAAAGGTTGCTACTTGTACTTTTGTATTTCACAGGCTCACTAGATATTCTCTGTTTTTTAATAAGATAACCACCAGAAGAAATAAAACCAAATAGTGAAAAACAGCAGTCTGGAAGACTGGGAGTGGAAATGGGGAAAGGGAAAGGAGAGGGTCTATTTTCCATTCCAAACTCTTTTGGACTACTTATCACACCATTTATGTGTATTAACTGGAATGAAAGCAAAACAGAACAACCTTTATTTTTAGCTCTATGAAATAAAATAGACATTAGCAAATTAATCCAGAGGTTAAATAATTTGTCTGCTTTCACAATAGCGGTTAATTGGAAGAATCAAGCCTAAAACCCAAATCTCAAAAATTTCAAGATAGTGCTGAATTCTCAGAAAGAATTCTTAAGGAGAGAATGATTTTAAAAGTTAGATACTATCCATTTCTATCCAAATAATGTATCTTTATTTATTCTTGAGCATATATTTGTTTCTCAATTAAAGAAAGCATATTATGTTCTAAAATCATTAATGGAAACTAAAAATGCAAATTAAAAATTTAGTAACATCAGAAACATTTAGTGGGAAAATAATTTACAAAGGATACTAAATTGGCACATCAGTAAAACACTACAGCCCAAAGCAAACAATTAAACCAAGGAAAAAAAACTCTTCAAAGGAAATACCTGAAAAGAGAAACACCTTAAAAGGGACAGATGGAGAAGAAGATGCTGTTTAAATAGAGTAACACTTGTACATTTCCCCATCTTGAAAGAAGTTTCTACTATAATAGTTTTAATCTTATTATTGAGCATATACTGTGCTTGATTTCTTGAGTTAATAAAAACTAAACAATTTTTCTTTGACAGCATGATTTTAAAAGTTATGCTTTATTTAGTGGTGTGCTAGTAAATATGTAACAATGATTCTCTGGGGAAAAAGCCTTAATTTGTATCCTTTTTTTAAAAAAATGGTCTAATCATTTTCTAGACCATTTTTAAAAAAATGGTCTAATCATGGTAGCCTACCATGGCTACCAATGTGATGCCACTGTCAAGGCACAGTTGGAAAGAAGTGTGCACAATTGGATCTTGGGATATATATTTCCCAACATGATCTTGAGGCCATTTACTAATCTTAGAGTAAAAGATATTCAGAGGAATACTCCTGTTAATAGATTTTTTTTAATGGACAGCTTTTTAGGCATCTAATCTCTGATGTGAGATTTTCTTGAAAAATACCCCAAATTACCACATAGAGAACCATATGCCAACAGTAAATTCATATTATTACTAAAGATCATGTCTGGTTTTTTTGTTTGGTTTTTTTTGAGACGGAGTCTTGCTCTGTCACCCAGGCTGGAGTGCAGTGGCACAATCTTGGCTCACTGCAACCTCTGCCTCCCGGGTTCAAGTGATTCTCCTGCCTCAGCCTCCTGAGTAGCTGGGATTATAGGCATGTGCCACCCTGCCCGGCTAATGTTTGTATTTTTAGTACAGACGGAGTTTCACCATGTTGGTCAGGCTGGTCTCGAACTCCTGACCTCATGATCTGCCCAACTCGGCCTCCCAAAGTGCTGGGATTACAGGCGTGAGCCACCGCACCCAGCCGATCATGTCTTTTTTTTAAATTGTCCATCATACCACTTCCATTAATGCAGAAAATCAAAAGTTAAGCATATTTGAAAGCAAAGGAAAAGATATCTTTCTGGGAATAAATTTTTTGATATTTAAAATTCAAATTAGAACCAGATTTATCTACTAATTTAATATCCCCAGAGTAGTAGCAAAATTAAGCAAAGAATATTACATTATACTTAAAGACAAAACAATGAAGAGTTTCTAGAAAGGAAGAAAAATGAACAAATTGATCATTCCATATCTTCTATTTACTTCTACCATAAAAGACAACCATGTGTTAGTATAAATATTTGCATAAATTGGGTACCTTTAGTGATAAACACATGTGAAGACATTTTTAAAACTCACTGTCATTTACATGTCTCCCCTATGGCCGGTAAATCAATAAACTACCTTCATTAAAATGAGTACACAATTAACATTTATAAAGGAAGAAAATGTTAGCTGTTATTTCCAGAAACAGACCAGTGCTGGGTGGTTAGGCAGTAAGTTCACAGTAAAACGTTACTGAGTTCCATTTGGCAGTCATGAAGAATAACAAGATATGTCCAAGCTGCTCAACAACTTATTCTACTTATATTCATGTCAGTGATGAATGAATGTTTAATGTTTTTAAAAATTCTTCTGGTTTAAGTTTTCTGGCTAATATAAAATCTTGTTTAAAAAACAAAGCTTGCTTATACAATCACCTTAGAATAGTGTCATAAATGCATAGAAAAAGAGAACCTCAAGAATACTTGCCAAAATGTTAACAGTGATGATTTTTATTTTTATTTTGTAAGACAGAGTCGTGCTCTGTCGCCCAGGCTGGAGTGCAATGGCGCGATCTAGGCTCACTGCAACCTCCGCCTACCAGCTTCAAGCAATTCTCCTGCCTCAGCCTCCCGAGTAGCTGGAATTACAGGTGCCCGCCACCATGCCCAGCTAAAACAATGATGATCTTTTAACAAGATAAAGGTGATTTTTGCCTCCTTCTTTATACTTGGCTATATTTTCTAATTGTCAGAAAAAAATTATTAAAAGAAGGGAAACTTATACATTTAAAATATTGAAAATTGGCATGATTTCCAAGGGTACTAATTTAGAGATAAAATTACATATTAATCAGACCTCATTGGCATTAGCTAGCATCTGACTGTTAGCAATTGTAAGCACTGCAACTCAAGCTATAATAATGATTCAAATATGCCTTACAATGAATGCCTTTCATAATAAAGAACATTTTCAAGTGGCTGTATAATACAAAGTCATAAGAATGAAAACTAATATCAAGTTTAAAACACAGGCATAAATATAACAAGAAAAAAAGTGAAAAAAGTTTCATTACACAATGAAACTAATACTATAGTTTTAAAACTGTAACAAGGGAAGAAAGGAGAATAAAAGACCAAACTAACATTTATTAACAGTACCCACTTTTTGCCAAGTACCCTGCCAGACAACTTCTCTACATACTATTTTCATTCATTTTATGACAGTCCTATGGGAAAAATGGATTATGCTCATTTTGCAGAAGGGAAGAGGCTCAGAGAGATTAAGCAACTTGCCAGGATCCCATAGCTAGTAAATTACAAATCTAAAGTTCAAATATAAGTATTTCTAACTCTACAGCCCATCTATGCACATCCTCAAGCACTCAGACCTCTAGAAACAATAAAAGATAAACATTCCTCACGTGAATTTGCCTTTTTATTATTCTAATTGAAGATACTATAT
This sequence comes from Homo sapiens, assembly GCF_000001405.40. Taxonomy (NCBI): domain Eukaryota; kingdom Metazoa; phylum Chordata; class Mammalia; order Primates; family Hominidae; genus Homo; species Homo sapiens. The sequence goes on along the minus strand of NC_000010.11, from coordinate 92,980,089 downwards.
TTAGCAGGGAAGCTTAACATTTTGGGTAATGGGAAAATATTTGTTATTTCTATCAATACTATTTAGCTTGCTGTTAATTCCTGTAGCCAGAAGAGAGGCTGCCTTCTCAGCTACAGCACAGAAAAATGCAGATGAATAGGTATTTTAATCTGGAGGCAAGGTGAGGGGATTTTTTTTTTTTTTTTTTTTTTTTGAGACAGTGTCTCCCTCTGTTGCCCAGGCTGGAGAGCTGTGGCATGATCTCAGCTCACTAAAGCCTCCGCCTCCTGGGCTCAAGCAATCCTCCTGCCTTAGCCTCCCAATAGGCTAATCTTTTAATTTTTTGTAGAGATGAGGTTCACTATATCGCCCACGCTGTTCTCCAACTCCTGGGCTCAAGCGACCTTCCTGCCTCAGCCTCCCAAAGTGTTGGGATTACCAGTGTGAGCCACCACAGCCAGCAAGGGAAGTAATCAATTCTCTCACTCATCTAACCTTGGATATAAGAGGTATTTAAAGCGAACATTATTCGGGTTATTGTGGTTTTCCAAATCCTACAGGTTTCCACTGCTACCACAATATGTGAAAATAATGGAGTTCTTTCCCTGGACTCCATCAAAACCATCATTATCTATTAATCTGTACTGTTCTCATGTCCTGTGAGCAGAGAACAAAATCTCACTGGATAGATCATAACTTTTCTGGAACAAATGGAACTTTTCACTAGGCAATGGTCATCAGCAATTGCACATCATGACAATCTTTGACTAAGAAAATATTCTGATTAGCCAGGCATGGTGGCCTGCACCTGTAGTCCCAGCTACTCGGGAGGCTGAGGGAGGAGAATCGCTTGAACCTCGAGGCAGAGGCTGCAGTGAGCCAAGATTGCACCAGTGCACTCCAGCCTGGGTGACAGAGCAAGACTTCACCGGAGGGGAAGGGAGGGGAAGGGATCCCTTTTGGCAGGGGACTGACAGAAACTAAATACTCAGTGAAACTAAGGGTGGAGCTTTTAAGCTAAAAGCTTAAAAGGTTCAATCAGGTAACTTTCAGGGTTAGGGAGTGACAGAGTCACCTCTATCCCAGAAAATCTCCAAATTTTTGCACTATTGGACAATATTTGCACATTTGAAAGAGTGCCCCTTGGTTTCTCAGCTTCCATTGACTCTAACGTACTCCATTGTTCCTGAACACTACCAAAACCAAAGACAGGGCACGGGGCCCAACCAGAACCACCACTTAACTCATGTCTGTAAGTAGGATGGCTTGTTCTGCTTAAGAGGACTGATTTGCAGTTAAATGTGATAAGCTTCGTCTGAAGCTTCTTTGAGGGTTAAAGAAGGCCAGAATTGGCCCTTTACTCTATTTGGGTCCAAGAATAACCTTAAACCAAGAAATCATTTTCAACTTAAAACATTTAAATAAAAATGGTAGCTTAATGTAATGCCATACTTCATCTAGAAAAATAATAGATTTAATGCCTCTGCCTCTTCTCTTTGCTTAAAACAATCTAGTTGAATATTTAATACAATTTCAGGATTTTAGAAAACTAATATACAAAGCAATAATATAATCACTCTATTGACTCTAAAATTTACCATAGTCAATAATTTATTATTTTTGCTTGAAAATCATGCTTTTAGTTCATTCTTGAATAACAATATATTGTTGTTAGGACCATTTTTCTCTTTTGTTTTTTTTTGAGACAGGTCTCACTCTGTCACCCAAGCTGGAGCACAGTAGCATGATTACGGCTCACTGGAGCCTGCACCTCCCACGCTCAAGCCATCCTCCTACCTCAGCATCCTGAGTAGCCAAGACTAAAGGTACACGCCACCATGCCCAGTTAATTTTTGTATTTTTTGTAGAGACTGGGTTTCACCATGTTGCCCAGACTAGTCTCGAACTCCTAGGCTCAGGTGGTCCTCCCATCTTGGCCTCCCAAAGTGCTGGGATTATAGGTGTGAGCCAACGTACCCAGCCCACTTTTCTTTTTTCTTAGGTGTAAACTATTATTTTCTTTTTATATGGTTGTACCTTGTATTTATTGTTGAATTTATTGGTCTATAAAAATTTATTTCCTTTATAGAAAAATCTATGTTAGATGACATAAAAATCCAAAATGGCATATGAAGACTCAGCTAAAGCCATACAAAATGTCGTAACAGATAGATGAGTGATCTAGTTAGACCAGGATTCTATTTCTCTCAATGCCACCAGAGTATGTCTTATGAAAAAGCAGGGTTTCCTCTAGGATGTCAGCCTAGAAGGTGACCTTGGAAGGTGAGACATTTACCCCAAACATTTCTAACACATAATCTCTCTTAATCCTATTCCATTTATGTACAAAATTCCTACCCATCACCTCAAAGCAATACATGACACAGATATTAAAACATAAAACGTGTGTGTGTGTATGTGTGTGTGTGTGTGTCTGCAAGCACGTACATGTGTTTGTTCTTGAGGACTGCTTTTGGCTAGAAGCATGATTTATACTGACAAGGTGAATTCAAATTAATTTAACAATCATTTAGTATAAACTATATAAAAAGCACTTCTATAAAAATTCATTGATATAAAAATTAAATATATTTATAGATTTCCTTTTTCAGTTCAAAGACAGCAGTTGGGAATACAGTATCATCCCTGGGTAGGAATACAGTATCATCCCTGGGTAAGCTTCTAAAATTCTCTGGCCCAGATCCATGATGACAATCTCTTTAAAATAGTCTTCCATTAATTTTTTTTAGGAACACCTTCCCTCAACTTTTCTAATTGGTTCTTTGAAGCAGTTTCTGATGGAGAAAGAGTAAAGGATGAGGAAAATTACCTTTTTTTTTCCCCATTCCAAGCAGAGAGAGGATGGTTGGGCGCAGCTGTGTAGGTTCCAGATTAACCTACTTATGCCTAGCATTCCATTATTGGAACACTAAGCTTGTGGGAGTTATTTATATCACACTGCTCAAGGTCATCTCCAAGATCTGATTTTTCACACAAAATAATTTGCAACCTCCAGCATAAATGGGTTAAACACTTTATTCTTCTGTTCAGCTATATCGTATCATAAGATAAAAAGGTTGATAAAATTTCTTCCTATTTTTTTGTATAAAACTATTGCATTCATGTTTTAACAGTTTTATTATTTCTGGATATACCTAGTAAGAGTATGTTCATCCCACCATAATATCTCTAGTCTTTGCAGTCCTCATCTGAAGAATCTAACATTTCAGCTTCTTTATATCCAAATGTCCTTGCTGTATCTTTTTTTTTAATGTTTCATCAACCAACTGTCCAAAATGTAGATGTGCTATGACTACGTGCCAGGATAGAACAATGCTCCAGTTTTACTTTTACTCTCTTGGCTCAAAAATAGCCAGTAATTTCTTGGTCCTTTCTAACTGGAAAAGCCATTAATTATGTTTTTTTTTTTTTAATTTATTATTTTTTTTTTTACTGATCATTCTTGGGTGTTTCTCGCAGAGGGGGATGGCAGGGTCATAGGACAATAGTGGAGGGAAGGTCAGCAGATAAACAAGTGAACAAAGGTCTCTGGTTTTCCTAGGCAGAGGACCCTGCGGCCTTCCGCAGTGTTTGTGTCCCTGGGTACTTGAGATTAGGGAGTGGTGATGACTCTTAACGAGCATGCTGCCTTCAAGCATCTGTTTAACAAAGCACATCTTGCACCGCCCTTAATCCATTCAACCCTGAGTGGACACAGCACATGTTTCAGAGAGCACAGGGTTGGGGGTAAGGTCACAGATCAACAGGATAAGTATTTTTCTTAGTACAGAACAAAGTGAAAAGTCTCTCATGTCTACCTCTTTCTACACAGACACGGCAACCATCCGATTTCTCAATCTTTTCCCCACCTTTCCCCCCTTTCTATTCCACAAAATCGCCACTGTCATCATGGCCCGTTCTCAATGAGCTGTTGGGCACACCTCCCAGACGGGGTGGTGGCCCGGCAGAGGGGCTCCTCACTTCCCAGTAGGGGTGGCCGGGCAGAGGCGCCCCTCACCTCCCGGGCGGGGCGGCTGGCCGGGCGGGGGGCTGACCCCCCCCCCCACCTCCCTCCCGGACGCGGCGGCTGGCCGGGCAGAGGGGCTCCTCACTTCCCAGTAGGGGCGGCTGGGCAGAGGCGCCCCTCACCTACCGGACGGGGCGGCTGGCCGGGCGGGGGGCTGACCCCCCCACCTCCCTCCCGGACGGGGCGGCTGGCCAGGCAGAGGGGCTCCTCACTTCCCAGTAGGGGCGGCCGGGCAGAGGCGCCCCTCACCTCCCGGACGGGGCGGCTGGCCGGGCGCGGGGGCTGACCCCCCCACCTCCCTCCCGGATGGGGCGGCTGGCCCGGCGGGGGGCTGGCCCCCCGACCTCCCTCCCGGACGGGGCGGCTGGCCGGGCAGAGGGGCTCCTCACTTCCCAGTAGGGGCTGCCGGGCAGAGGCGCCCCTCACCTCCCGGACGGGGTGGCTGGCCGGGCAGGGGGCTGACCCCCCAACCTCCCTCCCGGACGGGGCGGCTGGCCGGGCAGGGGGCTGATCCCCCCACCTCCGTCCCGGACGGGGCGGCTGGGGGGCTGACCCCCCCACCTCCCTCCTGGACGGGGCGGCTGGGTGGGCGGGGGGCTGACCCCCCCCACCTCCCTCCCGGACGGGGCGGCTGCCGGGCGGAGACGCTCCTCACTTCCCAGACGGGGTGGCTGCCGGGCGGAGGGGCTCCTCACTTCTCAGACGGGGCGGCTGCCGGGCGGAGGGGCTCCTCACTTCTCAGACCGGGCGGTTGCCAGGCAGAGGGTCTCCTCACTTCTCAGACGGGGCGGCCGAGCAGAGACGCTCCTCACCTCCCAGACGGGGTCGCGGCCGGGTAGAGGCGCTCCTCACATCCCAGACGGGGTGGCGGGGCAGAGGCGCTCCCCACATCTCAGACGATGGGCGGCCAGGCAGAGACGCTCCTCACTTCGTACATGGGATGGCGGCCGGGAAGAGGCGCTCCTCACTTCCTAGATGGGATGGTGGCCGGGCAGAGACGCTCCTCACTTTCCAGACTGGGCAGCCAGGCAGAGGGGCTCCTCACGTCCCAGACAATGGGCGACCAGGCAGAGACGCTCCTCACTTCCCAGACGGGGTGGCGGCCGGGCAGAGGCTGCAATCTCGGCACTTTGGGAGGCCAAGGCAGGTGGCTGGGAGGTGGAGGTTGTAGCGAGCCGAGAGCACGCCACTGCACTCCAGCCTGGGCACCATTGAGCACTGAGTGAACCAGACTCCATCTGCAATCCCGGCACCTCGGGAGGCCGAGGCTGGCGGATCACTCGCGGTTAGGAGCTGGAGACCAGCCCGGCCAACACAGCGAAACCCCGTCTCCACCAAAAAAATACGAAAACCAGTCAGGCGTGGTGGCGTGCGCCTGCAATCGCAGGCACTCGGCAGGCTGAGGCAGGAGAATCAGGCAGGGAGGTTGCAGTGAGCCGAGATGGCAGCAGTACAGTGCAGCTTCGGCTCGGCATCAGAGGGAGACGTGGAAAGAGAGGGAGAGGGAGACCGTGGGGAGAGGGAGACGGGAGAGGGAGACGAGCAATTGTGTTAACTCTATGTAAATTATTTCTATTAGAGATTATTTCTATTTAAGTCTATATTGTCAGTTTCAGGGTTTTGCCTTGGCTTTGGTGGAAAGAGAGTTACAGTTATTTTGGTTAAAAATAAAATAAATTAAAATTTCAAACAATTTGGCTAAGTTATAATTCCTTACAAATGGATTTATAATAATGGAGAAAGAAACATGCACTCCAAGAAGTTGGTTTAAGCAAGGAAACCTCAAACTAAATTCTAAAATATACTTTAGTAAGCAAACATAAAACAATTTTTGAAAATTTTTATACTTACAGGCAAATGAGTAAACACTTGAAAGATGCTTCTCAAAAAATTTATAAGGTCCATTAAATAACCACTAGCTCTTCCATCTGGCTCAGACATTGTCCAGTCATAATCAGCAAGCTGAACAAATTCATCAATTTTTTGATTCAGTTTGGTATATATTTCTCCTTCTGCTGCATGTCGAGCATCCTGACATGGGACAAAATAACAACAAAGACAAGAAACAGATAATAAAACAAGTGTTCTTACAATTCTAGATATTATTTTACATTTACCTTTGGTTTAATATTTTAGCCATTTATTCAAAGTCCAGGAAAACTGTTGGTTTTTTTTTTCTGGCAGTACTCTATTTATTTGACTGGATATCACATCACATCTTTTCTTAGTTCCTTTCTAACCTATCACCTTTTTTTGTCTTTATGTGATAGAATACTTTATGAGATATTAATTCCTGACTTGTTCTCACAACTCTAAGAGGACCCTTAGGAGAAACAGAAGTAGAAAAACGAAAGTTGCCAAGAACACAGAAGACCACCTCTATCTAACCCCTGATTCACTGAGAGCAATTAAGTTGGACTATCACAGAAGAAATGGAATATCTGCCAGTGCTTTGAGTTTAAGCAGGGGTGGAGGCAGAAGAGAAAGAGATTGAGATAGTTAATTTCTCTGAGAAGAAAGAAACAATAGGAGTGATGCCAGCAAAAATAACAGCGGGAGGATCTCCAAACATTTTCTCATCCATAAAAGTAACCAGAAAACTTATCAAAAATTGTCAAAATCAACCTTTTCAGAACTCTGAAAATTAGTTCAAAACTTGCAGAAATACAGGCATCATTTATTCAAGAAAAACAGCTAAATCTTGGTAGAAAAATGAGCTTTGTAGCATTTTAATGTGCCCTATTTCCATTATTCTTCCTCTGTTCCAGCTCTACAGTACTCTCAAAAGACAACATTCTAAAACTCTGGTGGAAACCTATAGCTTGCCAGCTATCAAAGCAGACAGAACAGAGCTGCAGCTCCTTCAAAGCCACATTCTCAGAGAATTATCATTATTTGACCTATCTGGTGGTTCCCTGGAAGACTCCATGCCTATTTACAGGGATGTCTTTATTTGACCTGAATCAGGACTTGCCTAGTACAAAAAGCCTTTTCCCCAGGGGCAGCTGTCAAAAACAATTAGAGGCAATAAGTTTAACATGGAGGATGCCTGAGATGGTAGGTAACAACTGGGACAAACGATAGGTCAACCAAAGGGCTTAAAAGGAAAAATTAGGGAATAAAATGTCCACAGATGACTCTGAAAAGCTCTAACAGATTCCTGGGCATCTAAACGGCCACATACATACATAGGGCTGTGTACACACTTGGGAAAGACCTAAGAAGGCTCCAAGCTCTCATTTATGGCTGACCTTGAAGCTCTGTGCAAGACAGAAATAAAACAGGGTAGTGACAGGAGAAAATGAAATTCTAGGCAGCAGTTTTATGTGACTAGCCAAAGGAAACTGTTGAAATAGCTGCAGAAGCTATGGGCTGATAAGACAAGACCCTGAAAAACAGGGTGTAAACCATGCTGGCTAAGACTGACAGGACTCAACATGGTGATAGATTTGGCCTAAGTTTCACCCAGGGCTCAATGTACACTCATAACATACTATATCACATACCCACCAGTGCCATGACAATTTTAGGAACACTCATATTTGGTGTAAAAACAGGTGGCACCACAGTTCCAAAAAAAATTCCACCTTTTTCCAGGAATCATCATGAATATTTCATCCCTTGGTTAAAGAAATTCATAAAGATAGCAGCTCCACCCCACCTTGTGCATGACTCACTCACTCTCTCTCTCTCAAGTGTGCCTGCACTCCCCTCTCTTGAATGTGTACTTTTTTGTTTTGCAATTAAGTCTCCATACTTTCACTATTTTCTGACTCATCCTTGAATTCCTTCTCACGACAGTATCAAGAGCCTGGACACTGGCTGGGATCAAGGTCCCAGCAGCATTTGGGGACGTCCCCTAGCCCACTGGTATCATGTGCAAGCAGGAAGTAAAAGTCAAAGCAGAGTGATTAACTTCCTATCTCAGTGTTTAAGACACACCCCAACATGTGCACGGAGCCCTTTGGCAAAGACTAGGGGACTTACAGGTTCCAGGCTTTTAAGCAGATCTGTATCCAATCACCAGATGACCACTAAGCTAACCAAGCAAAGACTTCAGTGGCCACATATGACAAAGAACACAGACTTACAGATTTAGTTCAGAAAGGTCACAAAACAAACAACAGATGGGAGAAACAACAAACCCTTGGGAGAGGTGAGAACTTCCAAAGTTGTCATCTTATATTATTATAAATGTACAGTTATCAACAAAAAATGACAAGTTATGCAAAGAAACAAAGTATGACCAATACACGGAAAAAAAGCAACCAATAGAAACTGTGAGGCAGCTCAGATGTTGAACTTATAAGACAAAAACTTAAGAACAAAAGGAAACCATATCTAAAGAACTAAAAGAAAATTATGAGAATACATCAATAAATAGGGAATATAAATAGAAATTATTAAAAAGTACAATAAGTGACGCGTGTAATCCTAGCACTTTGGGAGGCCGAGGCAGGTGGGTGGATTATCTGAGGTCAAGAGTTCGAGATGAGCCTAGCCAACATGGTGAGACCCCATCTCTACTAAAAATACAAAAAATTAGCCACACGTGGTGGTGTGTGCCTGTAATCCCAGCTACTTGGGAGGCTGAGGCAGGAGAATCACTTAAACCTGGGAGGCTGAGGTTACAGTGAGCCAAGATGGTGCCACTGCACTCCAGCCTGGGTGACAGAGTGATACTCCATCTAAAAAAAGAAAAAAAAAAGTACAATAAGTGAAGTGAAAAAAAAATCACTAGGCTGGGCGTGGTGCCTCACGCCTGTAATCCCAGCACTTTGGGAGGCCAAGGCGGGTGAATCACGGGGTCAGGAGATCAAGACCATCCTGGCTAACATGGTGAAACCTTGTCTCTACTAAAAATACAAAAAAATTAGCCAGGCCTGCGCCTGTAGTCCCAGCTACTCGGGAGGCTGAGGCAGGAGAATGGCATGAACCTAGGAGGTGTTCCTTGCAATGAGCCGAGATCGCGCCACTTCACTCCAGCCTGGGCAACAGAGCGAGACTCCGTCTCAAAAAAAAAGAAAAAAAATCACTAAAGAAGTTCAACAGCAGATTTGAGCAGGCAGAAAAACCAGAAGACTTGATCCACAATATAAATCAACTGGACCTACCAGACATCTATTGTACACTCCACTCAGCAAGAACAGACCACACATTATTCTCAGATGAATAATCAAAATGTACCATTCCCACATTTTAACACTTCTTTGGCTCCCTCTCCAATTTTCACACTAACCACTTACTACTCACTGCCATGGTGGGCTGGGGAAAACCAACTATTGATAGACATCTTTCTATTTGCATGCCTGGCTTCACAGTAGGATTAGAACAAGAATTCGAAGATATTTCTTCTCTCCCCATTCAGTGATTCAACACAAAGCTGACATTAAGGAGAGGCACTGAGTTCAACAGAGCTTCCCCTCAACTACAGAAGAAAGTAAAAATAAACATTACTTTAGATAAAACAGATATTTAAGTTAATGTTAATTATATGAATTGAAATTTTAATGAAGCACTATTAAATATGGTAGTAGCAAGATGAGCTCTGACTCAAAATAGTTAACTTATACAGTCATCCTCTGGTAAGAGATTGGTTCCGGGATCTCCCTCGGATACCAAAATCTGCAGATGCTGAAGTCCTTTATATAAAATGGTGTGGTATTTGCATATAATCTACACACATCCTCCTGTATATTTTAAACAATCTCTTGATTACTTATAACACCTACTACAATGTAAATGCTATGTAAATAGTTGTCACACTGTATTGTTTAGGGTATAATGACAAGAAAAAGAAGTCTGTACATGTTCAGTACAGATGCACCACGCATTTTTTCTTCCAAATATTTTTGATCTATGATAGGCTGAATCCAAGATGGGGAACCCAGAGATATGGAATGAAGGCAGGAAGTGTGTGTCTGTTTTCATTCACTGATATATCCCTAGCACCGAGAACAGTGCTTGGCACATAGTAAGCAGTAGATGAGCACTTGTTAAATGAAAAAAGGAAATCACCCCTGTCTTGAAAAAAGTTTATAATCTAGTTGAGGACAGAAAATCTAGATAAGGATAGAAAATACAATAGTCGACCAGGTGCGGTGGCTCACATCTGTAATCCCAGCTCTTTGGGAGGCCAAGGTGGGTGGATCACCTGACGTCAGAAGTTCGAGACCAGCCTGGCCAACATGGTGAAACCCTGTCTCTACCAAAAATACAAAAATTAGCCGGGCGTGGTGGTGTACGCCTATAATCCCAGCTACTCAGGAGGCTGAGGCATGAGAATTGCTTGAACCCGGAAGGCAGAGGTTGCAGTGAGCTGAGATCGCGCCACTGCACTCCAGCCTGGGCAACAGAGTGAAACTCCATCTCAAAAAAATAAATAAATAAAAATAAAAGAAAGAAAATACAATAATCCCAAAATGAATAAACATGCACAAATTAATACTAACTACATGTATAGTAAAGGTATACCAAATAAGAAGAGATCATGTTGGTTAGAAATAGGGTTTCATGGAGGAAAAGCTACATGGTGATATGGAAAAATAGGAATCTAGAAGAAGTATTTATGTGGTGGCTGTTCCAGTTACTATTTTTGAGTTAGTGGCTTAAAATAACAAATATTTTGTTATACTCACAGGTTCTATGGGTCAGGAAACAGTGGAGATGACTTTGTACTACAGCATCTGTGACCTCAGCTGGAAAAGACTTGAAGGCTGGCAATAAGACTCAATAGCTGGGGATTAGAATCATCTGGAGGCTTCCTCACTCATATGTCTGGCACCGGGGATGGGTAGCCTTTCCATGTTGCTTGGCTGCCTCAAAGCCAAGCACTTTAGTGTTTCCTCAAAGCACTAAAGTGGCTAAAGAGTAACTGGGCTTCTTACATGGCAGCACAGGGCTCCAAGCATGTGTGCTCCATGCTTGGAATAAAGGCAATAACACATTGCCTTTTATGTCCTAGCCTCAGAAGTCTAAAGTCTCAAATGATTTTTACTGTACTCTCTTGGTCAAAGCTGTCACAAGTCTGCCCAGATCAAGAGAAGGGGATACAGGTCCCCACTTCTCAATGAGAGAAGTGTCAAGGAATTTGTAGCCATTTAAAAAATCCATTCCTGCTAATAATGAGTAACGAAGAAATGACTCATAAAGAATATGGGTTAATACTTCCACTTACTTAATAGAAAAAAACAAAACGGTTTTGGGAAAATGGGAAGGTGTCTGATTCCCACTATTTCACTTATCTTTACATCTTAAGCAAATTAACTTAATTTCTTATTTATGAAATGAGAATCATCCCCATCTCACAGGGCTGTTTTGAGCATTATACAAGCTTCTATAATTAAAACAAAGTACCTAACAGTAATTGGCACCCAGAAGGGGCTAAAACAAATTAGTTTTCTTATACTTACTTATGTTTTTTTACCTAGTAATGCTCAATAAATGTCTTACTAAAAGAACTGTATGGAGACTATTAATATATCACAATTCCAAGCCTTCCAAATTGCCCAAGTTGGCTTAACTTAGTGTAGTTATTTTTACGTAAGGGAGAAAAAAATGGGTATTAAACATTAACAGAATTTTTTTTATGTAAAACATGGCAGGCACAGTGGTTTATGCCTATAATCCCAGCAGTTTGGGAGGCTGAGGCAGGAGGATCACTTGAGGCCAGGAGTTAAATAACTGCCTGGGCAACATAGTGAGACTCTGTCTCTACCAAAAAATAAAAAGTTTAGCTGGTCATGGTGGCTTGTGCCTATAGTCCTAGCTACTCAGGAGGCTGAGGTGGGAGGATCGCTTGAGCTCAGGAGTTTGAGGCTGCAGTAAGCTACGATTGCACCACTGCACTGCAGCCTGGGTGACAGAGCAAGACCTTGCCTTTAAAAAAAAAAAAAAAAAAAGGTGAAACACTAACCAGTGGAAAGGGGTGTCATATTTAACATGTATAATTCATGGCAGTAACACCTATTTCTCTTTAACTTCATTAACATTAGGGGCAGGTACCTAAGATGGTAAATGCTTATGACCTACAGAACTAAAGATAACACACCTTAATGACATCATTTGTAAGTCAATTTTCTCAAAGCAATATAAAAATATGTATTTACCATTTTGCATTTTGCCCCAGTGTTCATAATCAGTTCCCTCATTCATGTCTCACTACATTTACTGAATCTAAGCAGATGAATATAGTTCACTACACAACTGAAGAGAGGCAGTAATTCCAGAAGGCAGCTGGATAAGAGAACCCTAAACCTCAGAACTATGTACAATCATCTCATAAATACTCAACCTGCTTCCCTTCTATCGCCAGGCAAAGAAAATTGAGAGTCTGATTGCTCCTATCTTTCGCTGCATTTCCTATCTGCACTCAGACCACTATTTATGATTTCTTTTGCTTTTTTGGGATGCCTCTAATATAGGCAGGAAGAGAAGATGCATAACAAGCTTTTAAAAGCCAGATTCAAGAAGCTCCCCTCCTCCAAACTTACAGAGCTAAAGTACTTGGTTAACTTTAGATTGATATAAAACTGGGTATTTTATTAAAACCAAATTTAAATCCAGCTTTAATTCTCTTTTTTAGTTTATAGAATTTTATTAAAATAAAATAAAGATGTTAGTTCACATTTTCCTAGATTTAAAAAAGCAATATGGGACAATTGAAATATTAACCAAAAGTTGAGGGGGTGGTAGAGACCAAATATCTAGAAATTTTTAAGTCACGAGGGAAAAAACACTATTTTTATCTGAAAGAAGAAAATTTTAAATGATGACAAAACCATTCACACCATCACACTAAAAAGCTTCTGCACAGCAAAAGAAACTACCTTCAGAGTGAACAGGCAACCTACAAATGGGAGAAAATTTTTGCAACCTACTCATCTGACAAAGGGCTAATATCCAGAATCTACAATGAACTCAAACAAATTTACAAGAAAAAAACAAACAACCCCATCAAAAAGTGGGCGAAGGATATGACCAGACACTTCTCAAAAGAAGACATTTATGCAGCCAAAAGACACATGAAAAAATGCTCATCATCACTGGCCATCAGAGAAATGCAAATCAAAACCACAATGAGATACCATCTCACACCAGTTAGAATGGCAATCATTAAAAAGTCAGGAAACAACAGGTGCTGGAGAGGATGTGGAGAAACAGGAACACTTTTACACTGTTGGTGGGACTGTAAACTAGTTCAACCATTGTGGAAGTCAGTGTGGCGATTCCGCAGGGATCTAGAACTAGAAATACCATTTGACCCAGCCATCCCATTACTGGGTATATACCCAAAGGACTATAAATCATGCTGCTATAAAGACACATGCACACGTATGTTTACTGCGGCACTATTCACAATAGCAAAGACTTGGAACCAACCCAAATGTCCAACAATGATAGACTGGATTAAGAAAATGTGGCACATATACATCATGGAATACTATGCAGCCATAAAAAATGATGAGTTCATGTCCTTTGTAGGGACATGGATGAAAGTGGAAATCATCATTCTCAGTAAACTATCGCAAGGACCAAAAAACCAAACACTGCATATTCTCACTCATAGATGGGAATTGAACAATGAGAACACATGGACACAGGAAGGGGAACATCACACTCTGGGGACTGATGTGGGGTGGGGGGAGGGGGGAGGGATAGCATTAGGAGATATACCTAATGCTAAATGACGAGTTAATGGGTGCAGCACACCAGCATGGCACATGTATACATATGTAACTAACCTGCACATTGTGCACATGTACCCTAAAAGTATAATAATAATAATAATAATAATAATAATTATAATTACATGCTTTCTAGACCACGTTTAGGGAAAAAGTGGTTCAGAAAACACCACTTTCTAAAAGGAACTAAGCAAAAATAAAAGGGAAAACATAAAAATTTATTTATTGCTTTTTGTTATTGTCACTAGAACTTTGTTGATAAGTCTGTTTTTCTGAGGTGACACCACAAGCAGGTTCCACTTTTCCCATAAAATATCTAAGTTAAAATAACCTTTTCTCAAGATGTTAAAAAACTTTCGGGGAAGGGTACCTAATATTTTTTAAGGTTTATTAATGCTTTCCACGGGCTATAATAGGAAGCAAATAAATCTATGTCAGGGAATCACGGGCTGTACTGTGTCAAAGAAAAATTTCAGACAGCACTCCCGAGCAGGAATATGATTAAAGTCAACAGTTGAAAGGACTTTTCTAAGGACTAAGAATTCTGCTTATTTTATAATCCAGACAAATATAATCATTAGAAAACATATGTGTCTGATCTTTATAGCTGCATGAACTGGCTCACTATATTTTCTTTTTAAAGAAATGGGAGCAAGGATAGAAAGAAAAGATAGAAAAGGCTTTCAATGTAACTTTTCCTGTAGTTATACATAGGAATACACTAAATTATTTGGTAAGACATTCCTAAGAGATGATTACTAATGATTACTAACGATTTAGTAATTGCTAAGGAAATTAGTTAGAACTTCTTCGGGAGTTCTACAGTTGAACCCAGAATATTCTCAATCTTATGACCTTACCAGGAGGTCAAGAGCATTATCAACTCTTGACATTCTAGTCAGCATATCAGCTAACTCTTAAATAAAATGTAAGGATTCAGTTTATAAACAAAGTAATTCTTCCTTTGTTTGTTAAGGAAATAGTGCCCTCTGGAGGCAGAAATGTATCTAGCATAATTTGAGAACTTTTAAAAAAAATTTCAATGTGTAAGAATTAAATATACTATCTGTGGTTCCCAACCATAGGTGTGCAACAGAACCCACCTGAGGAACTTTTTAAAACATATACATGCACAAATTCCACCTAGACCTCCTGGAGCATAAACATGTGTGTTTTGAATAAAAGCTAAGTAGTAATAGCTAAAGATTTTAGTAAACATATACGATTTACTGTCTATTGTCCATTCCCCCTCTTGGAATAATTCCTAAATACATTTTGGAAAATCACCCTGCCCCCATTCACAGCTATCTCATTTGGGTAAGACTGAACTGATACCTAGCTCCAAGGTTGGGTCTTGCTAAGTTTAAGTCAATTACCAGTCCCATCCTCTTACAAAAAAATTATACAGCAGCTGGTGGAGGGAGACAGTTTCTCTTCCTTTAGATGACAGGACATGACGATGTGAGGTTTGGGACTGTGAGCAGGCAGTCATTTTGCTACCAGACTGAGACAGCCTAGAGCTGCTGGGAACTGCTGGGCCACTATAAGTAGTCTGACGATGAGGCCAAAATTGCATAAAGCAGAGTTAAAAGATGGAGAGACTCTGGATCCATGGTGACATCTACTGAGCAGCAGTGCCCTATCTTTGGACATCTCAGTGTCACTGGCCAATAATTTTTCCTTTATTGTTTAAGAAAGTTTGAGTTGCTTTTTCTATCAGTTCCTGTCAATTTTCTGTTAATAACCCTGATTAATACAACTATCTTATAATAGAAACATTTATTCAATATTTAAGAAAAAAGTTACATTTAATTTTGCTCATTTAAAGCAAGGGAAATACATGTATATTTTTATGGGCTTCAAATATGTAGGCAATAGATAAAGTTAGAGCTATCACCATAAAGGTGTCCTCCCTAGTTAACTTCTTCCTGCTCTAATAAACAAAATTCCAATAATCCATTATCTTGACCTAAACATTTCTAATGTTAGTTACACTGCATATAGCATCCAACTCATTATCCAATGTCACTACTAATGCAGAAGGGAAAAAGCAAATAAGACTAACCAATATAATTTATTAATAGTATTTAGTTATAATGAAGGAAAAGGTATAATAAAATGGCCAGAGAAGCCAATAAATTATAATTTTTTAAAAATATATATATAATTTCCATTATTTATTTTAGATGTTAATGTGGCAATCAAAAGAAGTTGTTTTATTCTTTATATTCTTGTTTTATTATTTTCTTTACATTTAGTACTTAAAAATCAACCAAAAAATAAAAGAGGGATTTGTGTGCTAAGCATCTCATTAAATTAGCAAAAAGCACTAATTCACCTGGTTACTTTTCATCAGGTTTTTTCATTATATATTACTGTGATTTTTTTTTTTTTAAAAAAGAGTATTAGGCTTTAGGATATGTATTGTGCCTTATACGCATGCAAATCACAGATTACCATTTGATCAATACTCTGGGTAAAACAAAGCTCAAGATCTGCTCCATAATGAACTAAGAAATCAAAAGTTAAAAGCCATGAAAAGCTTGTAGGAATTACAAGAACTGAAGTATCATAAAGTTCTAGAAATCTCTCTAAAAGATTATCTTGCTGGGTACAGAGGCTCTCGCCTATAATCCCAACACTTTGGGAGGCTGAGGCAGGAGATCACTTAAGCCCAGGAGTTTGACACTAACAGGGGTAATATGGTGAGACCCTATCTCTACAAAAAATAAATTTTAAAAAATCGGCCAGGTAAGATGGTACGCAACTGTAATCCCAGCTACTCGGAAGCCTGAAGTGGGAAGATCACTTGAGCCCAGGAGTTCAAGGCTGCAGTGAGCCATGATCCAAAAAAAAAAAAAAAAATTGCTCTTTATAAAAAGAAATACAGTCATCATGGACTATAAGCCAGAGATTAATAATATCATAGTTCTAAAGTACGCAGGTCACAAATAGTATACTAAATGTTCTATTACAAAGGTAGGTTACTGTAAGAGTTATGTTAATTATACCAAAAACAATTTTCAGAGGGAAATACAAAGTACTTCTTAGAGAGTTAGATAATGCAAGGTGAAGTATTAGGTAAAAAGCTACAGCCCAGATACAGCTGAAGATCGAAATTTAAGTAAAGGAAACTGACACTAACTGCTTCTAGAAGAAATTACATTTTTCCCCAGAATATACATTCAAAACACATGTAAACCAAACATTATTTTAAACCAAAAATAAGCATCCTTATTAACATAAGATGAATAAATATGATTTTATATTCCATCTTCTGGGTCATTATCTGAATGTCTGAATATAACTTCAGCTTTCTGCCTTCTGTGCATGGGTTTATACCAATTCTTCCTTATCCTCATCTCTGCTGATTAAAATCTTACCCATGCTCCAAACTGATACAAATACTTAAATGCCTTCAGGGTCCAGGCAGGTAACAAGAATAAGTATGGCAGGCAGGGTATTTACCGTAGGCAGGATCATTATAGAGTTTAAGTCTCATCTAAAGGTATGCAAATTCGAAACATTTAGAAAAACCACAAAACCAAATCAAACATGTCTACAGGACCAAATTCATCTACTATTACACACTGTTGTTATTTGTTTGTAGTTATCTGCTCTTCTAGATTAAAAGAATCCTAGTGGTCAAGAACCATTCCATATCTTCCCCTCAGCAATTAGCACAGTACCACAGAAATGCACTTTAGGGCCTGACAGCGGCTTACACGTGTAATCCCAGCACTTTGGGAGGCTGAAGCAAGAGGATTGCTTGAGTCCAGGAGTTCGAGACCAGCCTGGGCAATACAGTTAGACCCTGTCTCTACAAAACAATTTTTTTTAAATCAGCCAGGGTAGTAGCATGGGCCTGTAGTCCTAGCTATTTGGGAGGCTGAGGTGGGAGGATTGCTTGAGCCCAGGAAGTTGAGGCTGCAGTAAGCCAGGATCAAGTCACTGCACTCTAACCTGGATGACAGAGTGGGACCCTGTCTCAAAAAAAAACCATATATATATATATTTTTAACATTTTTACATTACATTATATATACATTTTTGCTTAATAAACATCATTTAACATATACCCCCAAGTGAAAAATGACACTCAGTTTAGACAGAACCATCTAAGGAATTACTGCTTTGTTTACAGGACTATCTTTTGGGACACAATCAAAGCCTTACTTTAGACAAGACAGAATATTTCATTTCTTGTTCTTTATCAAAGTAGCCTGTCCTAGAATAACCTAAATCTCTCATAGAGCCACCTGCTAATTACCTCACTTGTAGAGGGAAATATGGGTTCTGAGCTATAATCAATTATCTGGAATAATTCAAAATCCAGTCTTTGGATTATCTGAGATTGTCACAGGTCACTGTAAACTAACTACTCCTCTAATTCTCCGATTACCTAAGTTATCTCCTTTTCCTTTTTAAAAAGTGGCTGCTACATTTTTACCTTTCTAGTTTTCAGGGGCTTTTGTACCTCAAAAGTGTTCACAAATAATGACTAGTGGCTTTGTGGTAGCATCTGCCACTCCTTAAGTGGTTGTTTGTCATCAGGTTTGCAAATCATCTGATATAAATAGCTTTTTAAAGTAGTCCTCAACCATTTATCTCCCTACTCTATTTCTGCTTTCCATGATCTTTATAAGTGGCATTTTCTATAATTAACTGATTACTGATGATATTAAAAAAAAAAAAACAGAAAGCGGAGCACTCTTATCTATGAGGATTGAGGTCTCTACATTTTGTTGATCCTCCTCTTTTGTTTACAGAACTGAAAAAATGTTTTTATTTTTCCTGTTACCTTTTATGTTTTTGGCAAAGTAGCATGTCCCTTATTTACTTTTCTGTTCTATTTACGAAGGGACCTACAATTACTTATTCTATCCCATATATATTTGTTACCCAATCTGCTTTTGCTTTTGGTTGTTTTCTAACTTACCTTTTAGGATTTTATGTCATTCAAATGTATTAAATCAGCTGTAAGCATAAAACTGCTTTATACAGTCCTCTCTAATGGGGGAAGACCAGAAAAGAAGTTGGTGGTAAAGGATGACAAAAGAAATAAATGTCATATACATTGCCTTTTTAAAATGGCAATCAAATTGCATACACAATAAAATGAATTTTACAAAGGAACACTCCATCAATAAAAAAGCATATAAGTAATCAGAAGCTGACATGCAATTAATCAGTCAAGGCGTAATTTTGCAAGTACCTTCACAAAGCAATACATCAGCTTTACATAGATAAAACAACAAAACATTATAATTAAAATGAAAAAATTTTAAACTGCCAATAATACCTCATTAGTTCTAAATGTTTATGCCAGTTCCTGAATTTCTATCTTTACTACTAAAAATTAAATAAATTATATTTTACCCATACCATAACATCTGTCAAAGGTCACGTATCCAGTCAATAACCAGGATGAAAGCAAAAGAAAAGTTTCTAAATAGCCAAAAGTGATACAGTTCACACTAATAAATAAGGTGTAGTAAATTCTATCATGGAATACCATATTGAATTCAAAATAAATAAACTACAGCTACATACAACAACACAAATGAAATACCCCAACTCCTGCTGAGTAAAAGAAGTCAGACACACAAAAAGATGCACTCTGTATGATTTCATTTAAATAGAACCCAGAAAAAGGCAAAACTACTCTGTGCCGTTAAAAGTCAGTACTGAGAGGAAAAAAGATAGTGACAAAGGAGAGGAATGAGGAAGGCTTCTACGGTGCTAGTAATGCTTTATTTCTTGACCTCATAGTTACAAGTGTGTTCGCCTTTTTTTTTTTTTTTTGCAATTTAAATAGACTATTTTTTAGAGTAGTTTTAGGTTAACAGCAAAACTGAACAGAAAGTACAGAGATTTACTACATACCCCACAAATTCCAAAGTCCACAGTGTACACCAGATTCACTCACAGTGTTTTACATTCTATGGGTTTTGATGCATGTATACACAATTACATACTTTTAGAGCAATAGTCTCACTGCCCTAAACATCCTCTGTGCTTCACTTAGTTATCCCTCCACCACTCCCTCACTCCTGGCTACCATTAATTTTTTTATTGCCTCCATAGCTTTCTCTTTTCCAGAATGTCACATAGTTGCAATCATACAATATGTAGACTTTTCAGACTGGCTCCTTTCACTTAATAATATGCATTTAAGTTTCCTCTATATCAATGGCTAGATAGCTCATTTCTTTTTAGTACTTAATAATATTCCATTGTCCAGATATACCAGGGTTTATTTATACATTCACCTACTGAAGGACATCTTGGTTGCTTCCAAGTTTGGGCAATTATGAATAAAGCTGCTATAAACATCCATGTGCAAGTTTTTGGGTGAACCTAAGTTTTCAACTCCTTG
This sequence comes from Homo sapiens, assembly GCF_000001405.40. Classification (NCBI taxonomy): domain Eukaryota; kingdom Metazoa; phylum Chordata; class Mammalia; order Primates; family Hominidae; genus Homo; species Homo sapiens. The sequence continues at coordinate 92,960,018 of NC_000010.11, read as the reverse complement.
GGATAAATACCAAGAAGCACAATTGCTGCATCATATGGTAAGACTGCGTTTCACTTTCTAAGAAGCTGCCAAATGGTCTTCCAAGGAGGCTGTAGCATTTTGCATTCCCACCAGCAATGAGTAAGAGCTTCTGTTGCTCCACATCCCTGTCAGCGTTTGGTGTTGTCATTGTTCTGAATTTTGGCCACTCTAATAGGTGTGTAGTGGTATCTCACTGTTGTTTTAATTTGCATTTCCCTTATGACATATATATGGAACATCTTTTCATATGCTTATCTGGTATCTCTGTATCTTCTTTGCTGAGGTATATGTTAAGGTCTTTGGCCCATTTTAAAATCAATTGTTCATTTTCTTCTCATTGAGTTTTAGGAGTTCTTTGCAATTTCAGACAAGAGTCCTTTATCAGATAAGTCTTTTTCAAATATTTTCTCCCAGTTCTGTGGCTTGTCTTCTCATTCTGTTGACAGGGTCTTTCATAGAACAGAAGTCTAAAATTTTAATGAAGTTCAGTTTATCAATTATTTCTATCATGGATTTTTCCTTTGGGGAACAATCAAGACCAATTAAAAAGTCATTGCCCCACCCAAGGTCATCTAGATTTTCTCCTATGTTATCTTCTAGGGGTTTTATCATTTTGCATTTTACATACAGATCTGTGAAACATTTTGAGTCAGTTTTTGTGAAGGGTGTAAGGTCTGGTCTAGATTCATTTTTTTACATGTGGATGTCCAGTTGATTCAGCACTATTTGTTGAAAAACTATCTTTGCTACATTTTATTACCTTTGCTCCTTTGTCAAAATTCAGTTGACTATATTTATGTGGGTCTATTTCTGGGGTCTTTAATCTGTTCCATTAATCTATTTGTCTGTTGTTTGTCCAATACCACATCTTATTCATTACTACAGCTTTGTTTTGTTTTGTTTTTGAGACGGAGTTTCACTCTACCGCCAGGCTGGAGTGCAGTGGTATGATCTCGGCTCACTGCAACCTCTACCTCCCGGGTTCAAGCGATTCTCCTGCCTCAGCCTCCCGAGTAGCTGGGATTACATGTGCGCACCACCACACCCAGTTAATTTTTGTATTTTTAGTAGAGACAGGGTTTCACCATGTTGGCCAGGATGGTCTTGATCTCCTGACCTCATGATCCGCCCACCTCGCCCTCCCAAAGTGCTGGGATTACAGGCATGAGCCACTGCACCCAGCCTCATTACTACAGCTTTATAGTAAGTCTTGAAGATGGGTAGTATCAGTCCTCCAACTTTGTTCTTCTTCAATACTCTGTTGGTTCTTCTGGGTCTTCTGTCTCCATATAAAGTTAAAGATCACTTTGTCAACATCCATAGAAAAACTTGCTTGGATATTAATGGGGAATACATTAAATCTGTAGATCAAGTTGGGAAGAACTGACATGTACCATGTCCTTGCTCCATAAGAAGAGAATTTCAAGCCCTTAAAGACAATTTACTACTGTCACTTCAGCCACAATCCTAAAAGGCTTTGCTACATAGTCATTAGCAGACAAAAACAAAAAAAAGGCAAGTTAGAAAAAGAATCAGAAGTGCATTTCTTCTAGGCATTTACAGTTGCAATTACTGCCAGGACTCAAAAGACAACTCTTCAGAGTAGCAGGCTGGAAAAGCTCCTTGGAGCCAAGTTAAAGATCCCTGATGCCAAAGAGAAAGAACTGGACTATTTCTCTACCACACAAGTTAGAAAGGGAATGGTATTTCCATTTTTTTTCTTCTATACTGATGCAAATTTTTCCAGTTAGGAGAAGACTTATATTAGCTTTAAGTAGTTCTCTAATTGGGTCTGAGTTACTTTCAAAAAGCTGAGGTACTGCTTGAGGGTAGGAACTACTTATTGAACCTCTTTTATATCACTTACAGAGTTAGCAAACAAGCTAACAAAACAGTCTATATGCTATTTCATAACATAAATACTTATGACACAAGATCAGGTAGCTTGTGTGTGCATATGCAGTTTTTGAAAGGGAAGCAAATGGAGGTATAGGTATCAAGTACTTGTTTCCAGAATCATTAAGCAATCAAATAGAAAGATGTTTTCTAGGGTCACTGAACTGAAAAAAAATCAGGCTAAGAGGCTATATAATCCAATCAAATGTCTACAGCCAAGACTGTACTTCAATCGTTTTTGTGAAAGAGGTAACAGACTATTCACTATGAATGGAAATTCCCCAGTGTCCCTCAGTAATTCACTTTAATATTGATTTAACAATCCTCCCTGTTGAAATGCTTCCCCTTATCACATTTAGAGACAAATTCCTCTTGAAATAGACCAAAAGACAGAACTGAAAAATACTTGACCTTCAAATCTTAAGATGAAAACAGCTCTTGCTCACATATTAGAAAACAGAAAAGCATTTACTGAGTTCTGTGTGAAAACAGAACAAACAAATAAACAACAAAAAACAAAGATGCTTTGCTATTTACAGAGCAGAACTTGATTTCCAAGGAAATACACCAAGGAGTATGCAATGATAGTTATGGCTTCAACTCTGGAATGATGAACCAGAGCTAACATTTCTAAACATTCTTTCCCAACAGGCAGATTTTGAGAAAAGCAGTTCCAAGATCCCCTAATCTAAGAACATTGTGTTCCAGTATCTTTGGTTCTCTGGCTTATGACCGATAAGAATAATTACTTGAAGATCCCTAGAAACACAAGATGCTAAGGCAATTCATGTTTTAATCAGAGGGTACTGGGTAAGCATATTAAAAGTAATGTTAACAGTTAAATATGCCTGCAACTCTAAGCCTGAGAAATCCCTTCTTGACAGGGTATCAGTAACAGATGGATGTAAGGACAGAGAGAACAATAAAGAGAAAGTAGAGGCATTATGTAAAATCTAACATAAAAGCTAACAATCAATTTGTCCTTGGATAAATAAGTAACTAAAAACTTGTGGCATCTCCTCCTATATTATCATACTTATTATACCATATTGTTAAGTGTCTTTTATTATTTTTTTCCTCCTCTGAGCTTCTTGAGGGCAGGGATACATTTTTGTATTCTCAGAGTCTAAACAGAGTGCTCAGAGCCTGACTTACATACAGTGAATGGCTCTGGGCTAAGTATCTTCCTTACTCCTCATAATAATCATATGAGGTAGGTACTGTACTGTTACTCTAATTTTATAGATAAAGAAACCTGGAATCATTTACATTAAAGAACTTGCCCAAGGTCACAGAGCAATCTAACTTCAGAGTATATGAATTTAATCACTGTACTATATTATCTGAATAAATGAATGCCTGCTTTTTTAGGCTTCTAAGTTTTAATAGCTAATTTTATAAGTCTGCTGATTCAGATATCATTCTGCATTTGTGTCTTATGTATTGAAATGACTACATGAGATCAAGAGTCACCAGAGGAGCATAATATTTGGGGGCCAAGCAGGTAATTCTAGGATCCCAGGGTTGTTTGTGGACTTCACACTTGCAACATATGGTTAAATGTTAACACTAAATTAGTTATTTTAAAACACAAGTACATTCATTTTTTACAATGCAAGTTACTACAATAAAATCTTGGGGGTGATTGATAATATAACAAAAGTAGTTAAAGAGAATTCTTTTTAATAGGAAACTTTTAGAAAGAGCTGTAAGGTTAAATTAGCAAGCCCATTTTACAGATAAGTGATCAGTACATGGTTTATCATTAGTTTAATAAAATATTCAATTCAAGGGGATTTATACACACTAGACTAAGCCAGTGTCTCATCTATGACTCCAAATAATAAAATACCTTATGAAATTGTTTAATCTTACATTCTACCTAAAACAACCATTAATTAATCCTCAGTATATTCTGTATATTATTCAAACAGAAATCTTTCCACCCGCAAAAGAGGTAGGACTTCAATGACATGTAATAATATTTATTTTTCTTCAGATCAGAACCAATCAAGGATGGAAAACAAATCTATCCTTTTTTAATTTGTCTTACATTTTAAATTTTCAAAAATAAACACTCATATAGAATTAATTTTTAAACTGTGAAATATTAATTCAGTTAGACCTAGTCAGCACTACTATAAATCATCAAAACATGAACAAAGCATAATACACTGTAGAAAATAAGTATACTTTTCTCCATGTTAATAAGATGTTTACAGTGCCAAAAAGAAACTGACATTTACTTGCTCATTGTTGACAATGAATACCTCTATTCTTAATTTTTAGGAATATAGTAGATCTTGCATATATAAGAACGGTCTTTAATTTCTTAACGTCTGCTTACAGTGACTGAAATGAAAACTTTTGGTCAAATTTTTACATACCTTGAAAGTAGAAAGTCCATAAAGTCTTGTAGTATGAACAGTTTCTTGGGAAATATTTGTAATGTTAGTTATAAAGTCCTCAAGATATTTACAAGCTTGCTCCAGGTGTGTTGTGTTTATGATGATTTGTACCAGCTAGAAAACACAAGATATATCTAGTAAAATACAGGTTACATGTATGTAAAATCACCTAATTTTTAAAAATGGGATTATTACTTCCAGCAACTGTACCATTTCTACATAATTGCAGCATTATAGGATACAACTATCTGATTTTAAAAGCCTGTTGCAAATACTGCGTATGAATTTATATATATATATATATACACACACACACACACACACCAAGAGTCTAAATACCAGTTATTTTAAAATAACTTTTCATAGTATGTTTCAAATCTTAAACATTTAGCAAGTAAAAAATTAGGATTGTGACTTTTCCTGTAGTCTGGCAATCAGAAATCTAAATAGATATTCTAACATCTTTATCTACTATTCCCCATATGAACCCTTTTCCCTCATTTTTTTATTTTTTCTTCCAGAGACAGGGTCTTGCTGTCACCCAGGCTGTGTAGTGCAGTGGTATGATTGTAACTCACTGCAGCCTCAACCTCCTGGGCTCAAGTCCAGAGTAGCTAGGAATATAGTTGCACACTACCACGCCTGGCTAATAGTCTTCATTTTTTGTAGAAACAGGGTCTCACTATATTGCCCAGGCTGGTCTCAAACTCCTGACCTCAAACAATCCTCCTGCCTTGGCCTCCCAAAGCTCTCGGATTAGAGGTATGAGCCACTGTGCCTGGGATCCTCACATTTCTGGAATTTACACTGGTGTTTTTATTTTGAAAACAAATCTGCTTATATTAATACATTTAAAACAGGAAGCTAGTTTTACAGAATGACGTTCAGCAATAATTTAAAATAATTGTTTCATACAATGAAACATTTCACTATATGTGTCTTTTTAACCTACCTCTGTCAAACCTATATGAGGTTTTCTAATAAGGTTCAGTAAACAGCTACTCAAAGTTCTGGTCAGCAGCAGATTTGTTGATTTTCTAAGCATATCGTCTATTTCTGTTGAGCTAAAAACAAAGATTGATATTATTAAACTTAATAAATAATGAATGTGGTTAGTTAACATCCTAAATAATTTAACACAGTTTACTAAAATAATTTTCCCCATCATTATTTTATATCTTTAAATAAACTACAAAGACCCATATTTATTAAATCACAAACTTCAATTTAACTTTGCAAAAGGGACATTTTCCATAAAGTAGAATATTCATATATGGCATAATTTAAATTTATCCAATTAACAACCACAGAAAAATCATAGAGGACTTGGTATAAGGAAACAAAATTATTCCTAAATTCCGACTCCATCATGGGATAGTAACTTTGTTGTTTTATTATTTTTATTATTGTTTTTGAGCCAGGGTCTCACTTTGTCACCCAGGCTGGAGTACAGTGGTGCAATTATAGCTCACTGTAGCCCCAAAGTCCTGGACCCAAGCAATTCTCACACTTCAACATTCTGAGTAGCTGGGACTACAGATGCATGCCACCATGCCCAGCTAGTTTCAAATATTTTATAGAAACAGGGTTGCACTATGTTGCCCAGGCTGGTCTCAAACTCCTGGACTCAAGTAATTCTCCCACCTTGGCCTCCCAAAGTGCTGGGATTACAGACGTCAGGCACCGCGCCCAGCCCCAAAAGACAGTCACTTTGAAAGAAACTTCATACACAACTATAGCTAAAAATTATTTTTAAAATACAAACTGATATGAGCTCTTTCTAGATATAATAAACAAATTTAATTTTTAATATAACTAAGTTATCCATTTTCATTGATTTTTTAAGTCTTCAAAGAAATAAATTACCTTAAACTAATTTTAATATGATGTTTCTTAACATCCTAAGTATTACTAAGCTAGCACTAAAAAACAAATTCTCTTCTCCTAACCATTCGGTCTTCAATTTAAGTAAATAATGATTTCTTGGATACAGCCTCATTATCACAACAGTTAAACTGTCTGTAGACCATGGATTATCCATCTCGGCACTATTGACATTTTAGGGTGGATAATTCTTTGTCGTGGAGACTGTCCTGCACATTTGGATGTTTGGCCTCTATCCACTAGTTTCAAGTAGCACCTCTCCCCTGAACTGTAACAACCAAAGATGTTTCTAGACATTGCCAAATTTGTGGGGAGGAGGTGGTGGCAGGAGAACCAAAATTATCCCCAGTTGAGAACTACTGCCTTAGATACAGGCTAACATTTTTGCATCCTTTTACTTTTTATTAAAATACTACTTTTAAAAATCTGTGGGCCAGGCGCAGTGGATTGTGCCTGTAATCTCAGCACTTTGGGAGGCTGAGGTGGGTGGATTGCTTGAGGCCAAGAGTTCAAAACCAGCCTGACCAACATGGCACAACCTCATCTCCACTAAAAATACAAAAATTGGCAAAGAGCAGTGGCGCGAACCTGTGGTTCCAGCTACTTGGGAGGCTGAGGTGGAAGGATCACTTGAGCCCAGGAGATCGAGGCTGCAGTGAGCCATAATTGTGCCACTTCATTCCAGCCTGGGCAACAGAGTGAGTTCCTGTCTCAAAACAAAATAAAAACAAAAGCAAAAACAAAAACAAACACAAAGAACTACCATTCAACCCAGCAGTCCCATTATTGGGGATATACTCAAAGGAAAATAAATCATTTTACCAAAAAGACACATGTACCCATATGTTCATTACAGCACTATTCACAATAGTAAAGACACAGAATCAACCTAGGTGTCTATGGCAGCACCCCTGGCCTCTACCCACTACTAGTTCCAGTAGCACCTCCCCATTGATAGCAATGTTGGATTGGATAAAGAAAATGTGGTATATAAACACCATGGAATACTACACAGCCATAAAAAAGAACAAAATCATGTCCTTTGCAGCAACATGAATGCAGCTGGAGGCTATTATCCTAAGCAAACTAATGCAGAAACAGAAAACCAAATACTGCATGTTTTCACTTGTAAGTGGGAGCTAAACACTAGGTACACATGGATGTAAAAATGGAAACAACAGATACTGGAGACTACAAGAAGGGGAGGCAGGGGTTGAAAAACTACCTGTTGGGTACTATGCTCGCTACCTGGGTGACACGTTCAAGCATACCCCAAATCTCAGCATTACACAATATGCCCCTATAACAAACATGTACCCCATGAATCTAAAATAAAAGTTGAGGAAAAAAAAGTTATGGCATAAAAATAAAGTATTAATGTTTCATAAAAGTTATGACAAAAATGCATTTGTGATTAGTAAACTCACCTCCGGTGTAGTGACTCTGAAAATTTAAGGCTGGCATAAATAAATTCTTTAACTTGAATGTAAATATGAGGCACTGACTGAGACATGGGGAATTTCTTTGGGAAAGACTGCTGTAGAAAAAGAAAGTTAATATTGTTTTTGAAATTTTAGAAAAAGACATGCTAATCACTAAAAAATGTAAAATTAAATTGATTTCACACTTGAATAGCAAATACCTGCATCAAAAACTCTGTTATATTTCTACATTTTTGATATTTTATCAAAATATTTCTGAAGAAAATAATGTGGCAATTTACCCTTGTTTCTTAAATCATATTATCAGACTTCCAACAAGCAGAGAAAACACATACCAATACCTCTGGTGTATTCTGATGATGAGTATTCTGGTGATGAGTATTCTGTCTGTAGGCAATGCCTAGGCTGTCTGCTTCTTTGTGTATTTATCATACAAGAGTCAGGGTGGCCATGAAAATTATAGGCCAGCTTTCTGGCTCAGAGTCATTAAATAATTCTAAGACTCCCTTCATTTACCTTCAGTGAAGGCTTGATGCCAATTCAAGAAGTTATCGAGTTTATTCCGTAACTCCTAGAATACCTTATAGCAGGTTTCTGACCTCCATGCCATTAAACACTGGTATGCAGCCAATGGCTTACAGGGTCCTTCCTGGCTAAACTACTTTGTAAGTCATTATGCATTTGAAATTCTCAGTCTCTAAAAGGTAAACTCCTTCCAAGATTGTTATTAAAAAAACCCTCTTTTCTATTTCAGTAAGTCTAATATACCCTTCTATCTTCACCTTCATTGCAACCTTGTTATATCGGTGAAAGTACCATCACCAAGATCACCAGTGATCTCACAGTTGTTCAATCCAGTGGTTTCTTCAGCTCTCATGTTACCTGACTTTTTTGAAAAATCTGACACAGTTGACCCACTCCTACTTCATAAATGATCTCTCCTTCCTTGGATTCCTGCCCACACTGGTTTTCCTCCTTTTTCTCTACCTACTCTATTTCTTTTCCTCTAGCCATTACTTAATTATTGCTGTGCTTTAGGGTTCTGTCCTAAACCCTCTCTTTCTACTACATATACTTTTCTTGGATGATCTCATATGGTCTTATGACTTCAATCACCATACAAGTACCAATATCTCCAAATCTACAACTCCAGATCAAATCTTTCTCTTAAGTCCAAATTCATGTATCTACCCATTGGACAGCTCCATTTGGCTGTACCATTGAGATGAGTTACTCAATAGATCCAAAAGTGAAATTATCATCTTTTTCTTCTAAATTTGCTCCTTTTCTGTTTCTTATCACAGTGAATGCTGCCACCATCCAAGGTGGAAACTTGGTTATCTTACTTGACCCCTTTATCTCCGTTACCCCTCATATGCACATAATCAGCAACTCCTGTTGCTCCTACCTCCTAAGCATCTCAAATCAGCTTCAATGACCATAACCCCCATTCAGGTTACATAACCCTCTTCTCTCATCAAGATAAATGCAAAAATCTACTAGGTGGTCTCCCTGCCACCAGTCTTACTCTTTTCCAATCCATTCTCCACATATAGGTCTTCCTAAAGCACAAATCTGGTTATGTTTTTACCACTTAAAATTCTTTCATGGCTTCCCATAACCCTCAGGAAAAAGGATAAACTCTTTAACACTGTTTAGTAGGGCCATTATGGTCTGGTCCTTTCTACTTCTCCAATTTACATCTCTTGAGCTTCATCTCTTGTACTTCATCTACTTTGACCTTTATGCAGCCTTTCTGCATGGTGCATCCCCTATCTTAAGCAATGCAAACTTCTGTGAATTATAATTTCTTATTTATTTTATCTATCCTCACTTGACTATAAGCTCCTTAACACCAAAGACTGAAAATCTAGCACATAGCACTGTTTCTGGTATATAGTAGGTATATGAAAAATATTTGAAATTATTTTAATGATATTAAAGGCAGAATATAAATATGTTCTTATTTTGGCCAAATGATTCTAATAAAATTAACATAGCTATCTACAAAAACATTTTTGCATGTATGTTTACTATTACTCCTCCATTCATAATTTATGTTGAAAATAACTCAAGTTATTTGATAGTTTTATATATTTTCTAATAGTTTTAATTGAAAATTATACTTAAACTAGGAAAAAATATACACACACAACCAAAAGACTTTATTAAATAATTTATGAGATTTATTTTTCAGTTGTCATATTTTAATTTTCCATGTGACTTTAACTATTAACAGTTCTTCTTTTTAATAATGAGTAATACATAGACCAATGAATACAACTTCTAAGAACTTAAGAGGTACTGCATATATTAGAAATGCTCTGCAAGCAAAGTTAAATTTCCTTTTAATTATAAACCTATTATGATTGGAAGGGATATTAGAGATTACTGAGTTCAAACTCCTCATTTGACAGATGAGGCACAAATGCCCACACAGGCTCAGTCATTTGCCTATAATAAGCCACAAGCAGCCAGGTACAGTGGCTCACGCCTGTAATCCCAGCACTTTGTGTGGCTGAAGCAGGCAGATCATCTGAGGTCAGGAGTTCGAGACCAGCCTGACCTACACGGTGAAACCCTGTCTCTACTAAAAAAAATTACAAAATTAGCTGGGCATGGTGGCGCATGCCTGTAATCCCAGCTACTTGGGAGGCTGAGGCAGGAGAATCACTTGAACCCAGGAGGCAGAGGTTGCAGTAAGCCGAGATGGCACCATTGCACTCCAGCCTGGGCAACAAGAGCAAAACTCCGTCTCAAAAAAAAAAAAAAAGCCACAAGCAGAGCTAGCACATGAATCTAGACCTAGTCTAGTGCTCTTTATATAGACACTAGCCTGAACAAACTCATTACCAGTAACTAAAAAAAAAAAAAACTAAGCCATGAGATAGAGAATATTCTGGTGATATTTCTTGACAGAACAACTTTCATTGGGCTTTCAAAAAATACAGAATTAGAATAATTATTCTGGCCTCTTGTATTAAAACATAGCTAATAGGTATATGCAATGGCGGCATTAGCTACAATCTAGAAGCTATCCATTTAATTACCTGGTTCTGTATTTAGTGACTAGTACACATAATATGCTTAGTTTATGTATAAAAATACAACAAAAATTTACAGTCATGATTCACTCAGAATTTGGTCTTGCTCATGCTGAAGTGATAAAAATGTAGAAAGGTACTGAATTACAAAAAGTTGGGAAAATAATAAAGAAGAGTAAGGAGAAAAAAACAAGAATAAAGAGAATACAAAAGTGACAGTTACAGTTAAAATGACATCCTTTTCTAATGAGATCTAATTCTACTCAAAGATATTGGGTAGGTACAAGGGTGCATGTTTGCACGTATATATGCACATACACATGGATTCATGTGCATTCTGAGAATCTCCTACATGGCTGGTCTACTTCCTTTCTCTACCCTGTGTTTTGTTATCTTGACTCCAAACATAAATATTCCTACTTCAGGAAGAAATCTACAGGTAGCTATTGCCTTCACATATCACTTATTTAACCAATATAAACTTTTTGTAAAAGTGTACTTCTTTTAAATCTTCCACAGTGATAAACAATTCAAAGAAATTCTTGTCTCTTTCACTAGGATATACTCTTATTACTATAAATCTACTTTTCATTTGGAATCCACCCAACATTAGTAACACCTCTCCTAGGAATCCACCTAACATTTGGGGCAACTACTTCTAGTAGGCCCAGGAAAGTCTCTTCTTAACGTCATCGAAATCTCAGTAGTAGTAGTAGTAGTAGTAGTAGTAGTAGTAGTAGTAGTAGTAGTGGTAGTAGTAGTAGTAGTAATAACATACTCTTTAAAACTTCACAGAACATAGTTAGTTTTCTCAATACAACAAAAAGTTGCCCCTCAAGAAACCACTGTTATTTACAGTCTCAGCTTAATATTTAATATTATGTAGTAACAAATACTATGAATTTATTTTTAAGAAAATCCTTGAATTAAAAACTAGCTTGTACCTTTTCAAGGTCTGGATCTTGAAAGGGAAATTTGCTGATGACAATTTTATATTCTTCTTCATTGACAACAGGGATGGGGCTGTAATTATCTTCTTCAAAAATGTCCCTGTTAGGAAAGGAAAATTGAAAACTTATCATTACAAAGCATATTATTAGAGTACTAAAAGACAATACCTTAAAAAACCCCAACTATTACAAAAGCAGTTTTTACTTGTCTATTAAAGGTCCAAACAGGAAGATACTGCCTAAGCATCCAGAATTCTAAAATTCAACAACAAATAGGTCTTGTCCCTCAAAATCCAGGTACAATCTCCTTTTTCCACTAGCTTGTTTTACAACCTCTCAGCACTTTAGTTTTCCATTCTAGAATAATTCTCAAGGTGATATATTCTGAACAAGCTCATTATCTGTAACTAAAAAAGGATCCACGTAATGGAAAGTATTCCTGTCATAATTCTTTCTATTTTTTCTTTTTTGAGACAGAGTCTCGCTCTGTCACCCAGGCTGGAGTGCAGTGGTGTGATCTCGGCTCACTGCAACCTCCATCTCCCAGGTTCAAGTGATTCTGCTGCCTCAGCCTCCCAAGTAGCTGGACTACAGGCGCGTGCCACCACGCCTGGCTAATTTTATTTTTAGTAAAGAAGGGGTTTCACCGTGTTAGCCAGGATGGTCTCGATCTCCTGACCTCATGATCTGCCTGCCTCGGCCTCCTAAAGTGCTGAGATTACAGGCGTGAGCCACTGTGCCCAGCCTCCTGTCATAATTCTTGATAGGAATAATTCTCAAGCTGTGTATCTTGTGTCTTCTCTTTTCCCAATGAGATTATAAACTCTTGAAGATCAAAACAATGTGTTACATTTGCTTAGCCTCTCATAATGTCATGATTAGAAATGGATCTTTTATAGTTGGTGACGCAGAAACAGTTACTACTCATCAAATATCCATGTGCTCTTCTGTACACCCCCTTGCAGTTAGGCAGGGCCATATGACTAGTTTTGGCCATTGGGCTGTGAATGGAAGTGACATGTGTTGCTTTGAGTTTAAAGCCTTTATGAGCCAATTGTGCAAACCTCCTTCCCATGGTGACAAGGAAGACAACACGTTGAAAAGTTAGAATCACAAATGCAAATAGCTTGTATCTCTGACTAGGAAACCTATCGTGGGTTTCTGTGTGAGTGAGGAATAAAACATGTTCATCCACTGATATTTGGGGAATTTTTGTTGCTGTAGCATAACCTAGGCTGTCCTAACGTAACTGTCATCCAATCATTGATTTCCTTTTAATTAAATAATTTTGATTAATATTTATTGAGCACCTATTATGTGCTAGGCTCTGGGCTGTGATGACAATTCCCTACCTCATGACAATAAACACAAGAAATCTAATAGGAGAGATAGATACACAAACAAATTATAACATCTATAATGTTGTGCTATACATACAATACAAGAAGTACAAGGTTCAGAAACAGGACAAAGAAGGAAGTGACTATCAGAGTACGTGAAGAACATCTCATGGAAAGTTAGACAGAGAAGTGAGTAGTCCTGTAGGGTCTTTACAGATGAAAAAAATTTCTAAAGAGATTATGGGAGAAAAGCATTCTAGACCACTGGAATATATACGCAAAGGCACAAGGAGTGAGCGTTAGTGTGTGGGGGGGTGTAAAACCACAAGTAGTGCAGTATTACAAAGTATAAAGTCTGAGGGACATGGTGAAAAATGAGATTGGACAGGTGTGCAAACAGACATCCAGATTTCACTCTGTAGGCATTAAAAGGTTTTAGGAAAGGGAATGTCATAGGAAGATATTCACTGTGTGAAGGATAAACTGGAAAAAGCCTAATAATGAACACAGAGAGATCACTTAGAAAAACTGAAGAATAATCTAAATAAAAGGTGACGAGGATCTGAATTAAAGCTGCAACAGTAGGGGTAGAAAGGAAGTAGCATAAATGAAAGCTTTACTTTTTTTAATTTTTTTTTTTAAGACAGGGTCTCACTCTGTCGCCCAGGCTGGAGTGCGGTGGTGCAATTTCGGCTCACTGCAGCCTCAGCCTCCCGGGTTCAAGCGATTCTTTTTTTTGAGACGGAGTCTAGCTCTGTCACCCAGGCTGGAGTGCAGTGGCGCAATCTTGGCTCACTGCAAGCTCCGCCTCCCGGGTTCACGCCATTCTCCTGCCTCAGCCTCCTGAGCAGCTGGGACTACAGGCGCCGGCCACCACGCCCAGCTAATTTTTTTTTTTTGTTTTTTTAGTAGAGACGGGGTTCCACTGTGTTAGCCAGGATGGTCTCAATCTCCTGACCTGGTGATCCACCCACCTTGGCCTCCCAAAGTGCTGGGATTACTGGCGTGAGCCACCGTGCCCGGCCTCAAGCGATTCTTACACCTTAGCCTCCTGAGTAGCTGGGACTACAGGGTGTGCGCCACTAATCAACCACACCCAGCTCTACCAAAAAATACAAAAATTACTTTTTTGGTATTTACTTTCACTAATTCTATTTCATTCTACATAGAGTTTAAAAATAAAGTAAAACGTTAAAAGGCAGGGCTAAATGAGGTGGCTCACACCTGTAATCTTTGGGAGGCTGACGCAGGCAGAACACTTGAGGCCAGCCTGGGCAACACAGCGAAATGCTGTCTCTGTTTTAAAAATAAAAATAAAAATGATGAAAGGTTAAAAGGCAAGTTACAGGGAAAGTAACTACTAGAAGACAATAAACTACTAACTTTATACAAATGCCAGGGAACCAGTTACTATGGAAGAAGAGATAATTTAACGAAAGGCACATTTATATTCTAAGAATGTTAATGTAGTCTTAATATGATCTGTTTATAGAACCAAATTCTATAAACGTGTATAAGTTCCTACTCTGTCAGGCACTATACTAGGGCTAGGCAATCAAGAATATAAATAGCTCCATGGCATTGGTCTAGATAATGATTTTTAAAAATATAACCCCAAAAGCACAGGCAACAAAAGCCATAGTAGACAAATAAACTGGATCAAACTAAAAAGCTTCTGCACAGCAAGGAAACAACAGAATGAAGAGGCAAGTTACAGACTGGGAGAAAATATTTGCTGATATATATCTGATACATATAATAAGGAGTTAGTATCCAAAATACATAAGGAACTCAACTCAATAGAAGAAAACAAATAACTGAATTAAAAAGTGGGCAAAGGACCTGAATAGATATTTATCAAAAGAAGACACAAAAATGTCCAACAGGTATACAGATCAGGAATAAGCAAAGCTTAACATCACTAATCATCAGGGAAATCCAAATTAAAAATACAACAAGGCTGGCCAGGCACAGTGGCTCGCACCTGTAATCCCAGCACTTTGGGAGGCGGAAGCAGGCAGATCACCTGAGGTCGGGAGTTCGAGACCAGCCTGACCAACATACAGAAACCCCATCTCTACTAAAAATACAAAATTAGACGGACGTGGTGGTGCAGGCCTGTAATCCCAGCTACTCGGAAGGCTGAGGCAGGAGAATCACTTGAACCTGGGAGGCAGAGGTTGCAGTGAGCTGAGATTGCACCATTGCACTCCAGCCTGAGCGACAAGAGCGAAACTCTGTCTCAAAAAAAAAAAAAAAATACAACGAGGTATCACCTCACAGCTGTGAGAATGGCCATTATCTAACAGACACAAGATAAGTGTTGGTGAGGATGTGGAGAAAGGGAACCTTTGCACGCTGTTGGTGGCAATGTAAATTAATATATCCATTATGGAAAACAGGATGGAGGTTCCTCAAAAAACTAAAAATAGAACTACTATATGATCCCAGCAATCTCATTTCTGGGTGCATAACCAAAAGAATTAAAATCAGTATCAAGCCAGGCACAGTGGCTCACATCTGTAATCCTAGCACTTTGGGAGGCCAAGGCAGGCGGATCACTTGAGGTCAGAGTTTGAAACCAGGCTGGCCAAGATGGTGAAACCCTGTCTCTACTAAAAATACAAAAATTAGTGGGGCATGGTGGTGCACACCTGTAATCCCAACTACTTGGGAGGCTGAGGCAGGAGACTCACTTGAACTTGGGAGGCGAAGGTTGCCATGAGCCAAGATCACGCTGCTGCACTCCAGCCTGGGTGATAGAGCAAAGACTCTGTCTCAAAAAAAATAATAAAAATTAAAAAAAAAAGATCGGTATCTCAAAGAGTTATCTGCATTCCCATGTTCACTGCAGAATTATTCACAATAGCCAAAATACGGAATCGACCTTTGAATGGATTAAAAAAAAGTGCATATACACAATGGAATACTATTCAGCCCTATAAAAGAGGGAAATTCTGTCATTTGCAACAACAAGGATGAACCTTGAGGACATTATGCTAAGTGACATAAGCTAGGCACAGAAGTCAAATACTGCATAATCTCACTTATATGAGGAATCTAAAACAGTCACACTCACAGAAGTAGAGAGAAGCCTGATTTCTGATTTATAGGTTACCAGAGGGTAGGGCGATCAGAAAGTGGCGTAGGCAGGGTAGGGAGATGCCAAGATGTTTGTCAAAGAGTACAGTTTCAGTCAGACAGGAGAAATAGGTTTTTGAGATCTATTCCACAGCAAGGTGACTACGGTTAATAATAATGTAACATATATTTCAAATTGCCAACAGTAGATTTTAAATGTTTGCACCACTAAAAAAAAAAAATAAGTACGTGAGGTGATGGATATGTTAATTTGCTTGATTTAATCATTCCATAATGTATACAATATACCAAAACATCAAACTGTACCTCATAAATCTATAAAATTATTGTCAATTAAAAACTAAATAAAAGCACATGTATCCAAAAATAATACAAAAATAAAACAGGGCTCATAATATAGTGAGAGAGAGCTGCATACAGATAAAATGTAACAGTAGTCAGGTTATAAATTCTATCATGGAAGTAGTCAAGTTTTGAATATCATTCAGTATTGATAATTTTTCTTTTTCCCCCATTTAATTGTTAGGTTGTCAATTCACTATTTATAAAATATTTAAGGATACGGGTCAGAGGTAAGCAAAGCTTAAGTTGTGCTACTTCTTAAAAATTTAGGTGGCCAGGAGGGGTGGCTCACGCCTGTAATCCCAGCACTTTAGGAGGCCAAGGCGGGTACATCACAAGGTCAGGAGATCGAGACCATCCTGGCTAACACGGCGAAACACCATTTCTACTAAAAGTACAAAAAATTAGCCGGGCGTGGTGGTGGGCGCCTGTAGTCCCAGCTACTAGGGAGGCTGAGGCAGAATGGCGTGAACCCAGGAAGCGGAGATTGCAGTGAGCCGAGGTCACGCCACTGCACTCCAGCACAGGTGACAGTGCAAGACTCCGTCTCAAAAAAAAAAAAAAATTAGGCAAAAAGCATGATCTGGAAGAGTATTAAAAGCAGAAGTCAAAATATATTTGGAAATTTTGTGTTAAAATTGACATGCTATCATTTGTTCTCCTCCACTATTACTTTGGAGGATAAAATTAATCCTATCTCTATGTGAATGAAGCCATTAGCTTCCCAGACAGAAAACAATACCTCATGGTTTCCCCAGTCTTGAGGAACAATCTTAGTACTAGAAGTCTTAAGACAGGTAAGAGAGAATAGCTGGCCCAATACAATCTATCGACAGTTATGAAAACATAAACACCCTTCTGAAGAGGCCAGTTAAATAACATCAAGTCTATAAGATTTTATAACTATAAAAATATCATATTACATCATATTATACATTATATCATAGCATATATGTTCTAGATTACCATCTTTATCAATAAATGCTACCTTTATTTTTAAAATAGTTAATAAAAATAATTGTTGATAGTTCCATATGACTCATCAGGACTGTCAATTATCCATCTGGGATAGCATCCTGATAATATCACTCCTGAAGAATGTAAATACCAAAAACTCAAATAAGGATTTGTTTAGTTGATTTTACTAGATGTGTATCACCTTATGAGCCACTTAGGCACTAAAAAATATTTTTTAAGAGCACAGTCTTGCCCTTTTGTGCAGGCTGGAGTGCAGTGGTGTGTTTATAGCTCACTGCAGCCTCAAACACCTGGGCTCAAGTAATCCTCCTGCCTCAACCTCCCAAGTAGCTGGGATTACAGGTGCACAACACAATGCCCAGCTAATTTTTTTATTTTTTATTTGTAGAGACAAGGTCTTACTATGTTGTCCAGGCTGGTCTCAAACTCCTGGCCTCAAGAGATCCTCCCATCTTGGCCTCCCAAAGTGCTGGGATTACAGGCATAAGCCACCTCACCCTGTTCGAAAATTTCTATTACAGTATTTAGAAGGTCAATCTCCATAGTTTTGAAAGTTGATGGGATAAGTGCTAAGCTGGTATTAAATCATCTAACGTACTTTTATTTTAATATCATCAAATATTGACACATTACTTCTATCATATTTTGGGTAAACAAGATGTAAAACCTCAAGATTGACTTTTTCTTCCTGAAAGGGAGAAGGATGGAGAGAAAGAGACAAAAAGAAAAAGAAAGAAAGAAGGGAGGGAGGAAAACTTTTAGTAATTCAAGTGTGGGGGCATATTTCTCTTCTCATGTCACTAAAAAGTTACACAGATATTAAAATACTTTTGTCCATGGCCTGCAGATAAGTGGTTAAAGCAAAAGTAATTTTCTCGTTTAGATTCTTTAAGATTCTTAATCTAGTTATTTTATTTGTAAAAACAGCACTTGCCCAAAACAAAATTTAAAAGCTGTAAATTTCTGTCTCTAATACAAAATATCTTTGAATACTTATAGTCTTATAAGTATTTAATCATTTACTAGGAAAAATTTACAGATATTAGAACTACAAGCAAGTATAATTAAAAACTGATTATAAATGTTACAGCCACTATGGAAACAGTATGGTAGTTCCTCAAAAAATTAAAGATATATTTACATATGATCCAGCATTTCACTTCTGGGTATAAACCCAAAAGATTTGAAAGCAGAGACTCAAACAGATATATGTATACTGTACTCACGTTCACAGCAGCATTATTCACAATAGTCAAAAGGTGGAAGGAACCTAAATGTCCATCAACAGATGAACTGATAAACAAAATGTGGTATATAAAGACAATGGAATATTAGTCAGCCTTAAAAAGGAATGAAATTCTGACATGCTACAATATGGATGAACCTTGAAGACACTGTGTTAAGTGAAATGATCCAGACACAAAAGAACAAACATATCTGATTCCACTTACATGAGGTACCTAGAGCAGTCAAATTTTAGAGACAAAGCAAGAGTGGTGGTTGCCAGAGGCTGGGGGAAGGGGGAAATGGAGAGTTATTGTTAAGTGAGTACAGAGTTTCTATTTGGGAAGATGAAAACGTTCTGGAAATGGATGGTGGTGACAGTTGCAACAATTTGACTGTACACCACTGAACTACACACTTGAAAATGGCTAAGATGGTAAATTCTATGTGTACTTTACTACAATAAAAATGATTATAAGCATTTTTATTAATATATGCAAATGAACCACTTGAGCATTTGACAAACATATTCATTATATTAAGGCACCATGACTTAGACTAACCTGAAAACTCCAGCCCATTTCTTAAGCAGTGTTTCATTGTATTGGTCTCTTATTTCAAATAAAAGGTCAAAAAGTCGGTTCACTGGAAAACCATAACCCTAAAATACAAAAAAAAAAAAAAGCAGATAAACAAGTGTACAAAAATATTCATTAAAAATGTTGGGAATACTAGAGAATCATTTGGAAGGAATCACTAGATCCCATTGCATGCCATTCTCACAGTAAGAAAAAAAAGATACATTTTGACTTTCTACTACATTGCATTCGGTAAAAAAAGAGGTTCAGAAAGAGTTTTATGAGAATAGAATGGTTTTTCCATTTCTTCTCTCTCTTTTTAGTAATGATTACAGTGTTAGCCTTAAAAAGTATTAGAAGTCAGAGCTGGAGGAAAAAATTCAAGATAAGTTTTTACATAACAGTGTCTTGGGAAGTGGTGCCCAAGGATACAAGAAGAAAAGGGAATGGATTCTGTCTGAGACAGGCTGGCTTCCTTTTGCACCTTCAATTTAAGACTCAGTTTGTCACATTGGGAAAATTTATATCTTTCCATTAAACATTCACACTTCCGAATTTTATTCTTTCCGACTCCAAACTCATTGAAATCTTACCCATATCGGGACCAAACATTCTCTCTCACCTCACAGAATTCTCCACTTGTCTCTCCAAGGTTTCTCTCTCCATCTTTGTTCTTGAGCCTATCTCCTTCCACATAAACCATTCCATGGGTTAACTTCTTACTCTATTATGTCTTTAACTTCCACAGGCACCTTTCTCTTGGCTAAATAAACATGCTAAATTGTTTCCCATCTTTAAGCCAAGAAAAACAAGAGACCAAAACAGCTCTCCCTCAATTTTCTGTAGCCTGTCAGCTGCCTCTGTCACTCCCTTCAAAGTCAAACGTACTACAATCTCTCACTTCTATTCCTTTATTTAAACTACTCAACAATGTCACAGACTATCTCCTAAATATCAAATTCAATGATCTCACTCTACCTGACATCTCTTTCTTGAAATTCCTCTGCTTTGAATTCTATAACACCAATCACTCTTCTTGTTCTCCATCTATGAACAATCCTTCCAGTTTCCTTGTGTAACTTCTATCTCTAACCTTTAGTCTTTTCTTCTAGCTCGCTAGGGCAATCTCAAGTCTAATGATTTCAACCTCTGATGATTACTTCAAATCTGCATCTCTAGCTAGGCCTCTCTAAATTCCAAATATTTAATTCCAACACGTGTTTCATCTCCAGTCATTCAGCCAGCAAGTACATTAAACTCACTTCCTCTCTCCAATGAAATCAAGTATTCCTCTTATTTCCTATCCATAATAATAATGCTATCATCAACCTAGTTTATCAACAGAGAATCTAGAAAACCATCTAAACACCCCACCCCTGCCACACACACATACACACACACACTGAGTAGTCACCAAATTCTTCTGATTTTTACCTTTTACAAATCAAATCTATCATTCTCCATCATCTACCCATCTTTCTTTCTTCCAGAAATATTCTTAGTGCCACTGCTTTATCTCAGGTCCTTAATATCTCTTACCTAGACCATTGTAAAAGCTTCCTAAACTAAAATTTCAACCATCTCTATTTCCCAGATTCTCAAAATTTCATTCAAAAATATAAATCTGATTGTGCCATTCCCCTGCCTAAAAACTACAAAATGCTTACTGAAGTCCCACAAGATGTCCCATAATCTGGGTCAAACCACCTCATCAGTTTAATCACCACTATTTGCCCTTCCTTGTTCACAGCGCTATTCTACAGTTTCTAATACCATCAAGCTGCTCAGTTTCACTTTCACCACACCATGCTTTTATCTATAGTTTACACATGCTATTTTTCTTCCATTAATGCCCTTTCCTTCTTACCTATTTGCTGAACTCATCCTTCAAAACCCAGCTCAAATTTCAACTTTCTGTATAGCCTTCCTCAACTCCTAGAATCTAAGTTAGTTATTCCACCTTCTGCAAGCCCAAAGCTAACATATTGCTTGCTGCATTAGGATGCCTTATTAAACATTTTATTCGTTTACAAGTAAGTAAACTGTGAATTTCTTGAAGCCAAGGACTTTTACGTCCCTACTGTCTTACTGACTTTTATGTCTCTACTATTGTATACATCAACTAGTCTGCCAACATGTATTGGGTACTCAAAAAATGTTAATAAAGGAATCAATAAATGTTTACTTGTTATTTGCCTAATAGGCAGTAAGGAATATAAATATGCTGGTATTACTTTTTCACTTTATTGTTTAGTCAGCTTTGTTTTAGAAGATAAAATACTAGCATTTTAAAAAGCAAAATTTCCTTAGGGTGGCAAGGGCTGATTTAAAAAACTAAGTATTATGTAACATTCTTTAATTAGTTTTCATGAAAAGACACTTACCAGTTCTTCAATTAATAGTTATAAATTTAAAAGCTGGCAATCATTAATTCAGTATAAGATAGACCTAATACTCAGTCTGTCAGCTTTGAGTGAAATGAAAATACTGTAGAAACTGAAAAAGTAGGAAGGACTGGTTTGACTTCTCCAGTCATATTTCAAAGCAATAATATGAGAAAGGTATCCTTGCAAGGGTTTATGTAACTATCATTGTTGCTTTTACAGTGCCAATATTACCTAAATATTATCTTTGACTTTTCTTTGATTCTCTGGAGAATTCCTTGGTACCATATCAAATACTGTAGATTCAGCTGTACTCAAAGTCCAGTCCAATAACTATTTATTACAGTCTACAAAGAAATAAGGACTTTGCACCAGAATACAAATTGATGCTGCTACCTATATTGAAAAAAAGTCTTGCTTGTAGCAAGATGCCAACTGCACTAAACTTTGTACTTGGGGATATAGTTAATTTACATTCTGAGGAAAGTTCCTTTTTGTTATGGATCTAACAGATAATTTGCAGACTAGTAACAAACAGTTTGCAGACCAGTGGTCCACAGACCACACTTTGAGAAGAAGTGCTTTAAGTCATTAAGTACAGCAAAATTACTATCCAAAATTACTATTACTTTTGCTCTCCATGGCAAAAATCACAATTACTTTTGCACTAACCTAATATCTCAAGCTACTTAGAAATGGGCTCCCAAAATTTGGACAGCCCCAAATAAAACTTCCCAAAAGTTTTCTTGCAGCGAGATCAGTATTATACAGTCATCACAAAATTTATGAAAACAACAACAAAAAATCCCACCTTATCCCGCTGTTAAAATATAAGCCATACAAATTAATATATAATAGACATGAGTGATAAAATAATTTACTAAAGGAGCTTGTGGAATCTTCTCTTTAGGTTTAAGAATAAAGTAGAAAACTATAATTCTAAGATGCAAAGACTCTTGTGATAAAGCAAATAGTTTAAATCAGGATTTCCCAAAGCATATTATATAAAGTTCTAGATCTAAAAGATGTTCTAAGGGGGAAAAAGATTCAAGGGTCAAATATATTGGGAAAATGCTGCATAATCATCTTCTTTTTGGGAACTTATGGGTATAAATTTGCTCTCAGAAAAGTTTTCAGTGGAGAAATATGTTTTACTTTTGGACCACGGGACACTTTTTTTAAGTAACAGCTCTTATCACACTTTGGAAAATGCTAGTCTGTACTTCATGAAAAGTTACTTCTAACCATAAAATCCCATAAATTTACACAGGAAAAGAAAATGCAATCAATTCTTTATTATCTGTGATCAAGGAGGAAGGACAAGCTAGAAATCTCAAAACTTTGATACTGAAAATCACAAAAATATTGAGTTCTGAAATAATTTAGTTTTAATCTTATTTTTTATATTACTTTCAACATCTCAGGGGGTGACATTGTTCCTAATATCCAGGGGGGAATAGGATGATATTACTCCCAATATCGCAGAGGGTGTACACCCCACCTGTGATATTGTTCCAAATATCCAGGATGGGAGAGGATAATATTACTCCCAATATCGCAGAGGTTATAAACCCCCCGCTGTGATATTTTTCCTAATATCGAGGAGGGAGAGAATAATATTACTGTTAATATCACAGAGGGTGTACACACCCCACCCCGTAATATTGTTTCTAATATCCAGGTGGGAGAGGATGATATGACTCCCAATAACGCAGCAGGTGTACAACTTGCCGGTGATATTGCTTTTAATATCCGAAGGGGAGAGGATAATATTACTCCCAATAAAAAGAAAAATCTTATTTTTTTGTTTGTTTCGTGTTTTTTGTTTGTTTTGAGATGGAGTCTCGCTCTGTTGCCCAGGGGAGCGCAGTGGCGCGATCTCGGCTCACTGCAACCTCCACCTCCTGGGTTCAAACAATCCTCCTTATTTTTAAAAAGAGAAAAACAACTCAAAAAAGTAAAGTGATTTGCTCATAGAACACATGGAAAACCAGAAACCAGGAAGAAAATGAACATACAGTTTTCAAATCATGTGTTTTCATACAAAGTATCATATTTAAAACTAAAAACAATTCTGAAATTAGTAATAAACCCATTTTCACAAATAAGGATCTAAAGCTTAAAGAACCTGCAGGCATACAATTAGTCAACAGCACAGGCAGAACAGAAACTCTGGGTCTATGTGATTCTAGAACCCACTTCTCACTGCCCTAAGGCAGAATTTATATCTTCTAATTTCTAGTTCACGGTTCCTTCCATTATACTCTGTATTCTTTTTTTCAACTATAAAAATACTTTATTCTAACTGAATGATCAATATTTTAAAAGATGGTAGCATCCCTGAGTTCTGTCTAAGCTTCATAATTGAAAAGGAAGTGGTATGAATAGTCCTGGGTAATAGCAGAATATCAATATGTAGGTAAACATTTATTACTACTAATTTACTGCCACTAATCTACAATAACATAAATGAGTATAGCCTATATTTTGTATGTTTTTAAGTGATCAGAATAACCATTAATTGTTAGGTTATCACCCACCTGTAAAGTATCTGCAAATATTACAGTAAGATTCTTCAGCTCCAGAACAAGATCAGGATCAGTGCAATAGGACTGAGGGTGGAAACACACAAACAAAACAAAACACCGACAACAACAAACCAGAGTCATATGATTAAAAACTAAGAAATAAGAAATTGATAATGTTTCTTTTAATCTGCCAGACTTATAATAAGTTTAAAATTTTGGTTGGTTAGATTCACAACAGACCTTCTCTATTCAGTATAAACGTTTAGAGGGAGATCATAATATGATACTTATGATGCTTATATTTCAAAAGTTTTTAGATTTTAAGGAACTAGTTATTTAAACTGAAAAAGGTTTATAATAGACTATGTATTTTCACATTTCATCTATTTACTTATTTTCCATCTTATAAAAGAGACACTATGTATTACTTTTTCCAATATAAGAATTACAATTTCATTATTTTCTTAGTAATTAACCAAAAGAAAATTATTAATTTCAAAGGGACAGTGAGATTTACTCTGTCCCTGTCATAGCATTTAATAAGATTTTGAAAGTGATATGCTGTATTTAATATGACTTCATATTTGGTATCATGGAATTAACAGGAAATATACTTTAATTTTATATATTCAGAGCTGATCTGAATATCGACCATGATAAAATGTATTGTTCTTTATTAATATGCTAGGAAAAGTTGTAGTTCATTGGATAGTGTATCAAGAATCTACATTCCTGATAAATAAAAATGCAGCTTATTTATAATCTTAATATCACATAAGCTAACAAACTTTCTTCAATTTTTAAAAATCTCAATGATCAATTATAAAATTATAAATAGACAAAATTTTAAGTATGAAATATATTAATAAAGGTAAACTACTACAACTTTTAAAAAGGCCTACACTGACTAAGTATTGTCTTTATAACACTAACATATTTGTTATTTCCAGAAAAGGCATTAGGAAGATAGCTGATCATTTAATTTTCATCTATAAAAACCTCTCATTACACAAAGGTTCAATATTTCAAATTTTGAAAATCGCAAATTTTAAAGAAATTCATTATTATAGTGTATTACTGTAAATTGTAAACATTGAAGAACAAGTTCTACTGAGTTTTAATGGTGGAGTTTATTTTAGAAACAAAGAATTGAAATGATAATTAAAAACATTTTCTTCATGGTGCTTTTCAGAGATCTAATGAAGAGGTCAGTTGAGACTAATGAGACCTGCTTAATTCTTCATTTTCTATAATGCTAGAATAAAGGTGTTTTGGGAAGCCCCAGTCAGTTGCAAAATCATAGTCTGATATTACCAAACAAAAGCCTGACATTACTACTTCCAAATCTAAGCAACTACTAAAAAAATGCAGAATGATGGAGGTACAGTTTTCCTCTGACATTATGCAGCTCAGAAGTTCTTGAAGTAACTGAATTAAAATTTTAGTAATGTAAATTGTCTGACTTACTGAATGAGCTCTAAGGACAGCAATTATCTTTGAGAGGGCCATGTTCCAAAGTTCATCAGTGTATGCCCTGGTTACTAATCCTTGGGTCACATGTAAAATGTGATCTTCTACCACAAAGAACCTAAAAACAGTAATTACCAAAGCATGTGTTAAAAAAAAAAACCCTAATAGAAAGTAAGTATTTCTGGCATTTAACATAATATAAAATTAATAATAGTTATTTCCATATTAGATACATACCCTACAATTTGAGTGAAATATCTTCTATAGCCATCAACTGTTTCATGCTTAAAATGAAAAATAAAAATCAATTTAAACCAATAAATACTGGTAACATAAAGGTAAGTTCCAAGTCACTACAACTTCATTAACAAATATTTATTGAGAGTCTACTATATGCCACGTACATTTTTAGGTACCAGGGATATATCTGTAAATAACAAAAAGTCCTTACTCTCATGGAACGTACATTCGAAAGGAGATAAACAAGTTAAAAAGGAAATATGATTTCAGAACCCCCTTCTCAGCAGACTAATCAAAGCTGTCATCACCTCTACTTTGACTATGTATTATACCATCCTCCTACATAGTCTCCCCAACTTCCAGCCTGTCCCCTACCAGAATGTCCAGCTGCCAGAATGATATTTTCCAGCCTGTCCAGCTGCCAGAATGATATTTTTCAAATAGTAATCAGATTATATCTTCTGCCAAAACCTTTTATGGTTTTATGATTGCCTATTGTTTATAATTTTAACAAGGCATATAGAAAAATATTTGATCATTTGACTTTCATTCATAAAAAGTTTATTACATGAAATATTTCATATTTCAATTAAGTTCAAATGTTATGTTTTGCAAATTTCATGAATGTGATCAAATTTTCATACATCTGGGGTTTTCTTCAGGTGTTTTGGGGGAAGAATTATTAATACGTTTTAGCTTAGAAATACTGTGATTGGAAAATATAGTCTACATGTCACCAAATGCTTGATATTTCCTGATACTTGCTTTATAGCATAGTATGTAGTCAAATTTTTAATAATGGTCCATGTGTGCTTGAAAAGAATATGTTCCTACAGTTGTTGAAATAGGATTCTATATATTCCATTAGATGAAGCCTATTAAGCATGTTTTGTATTCTTACTGATGTTATGTCTACTTGGTTTAGAAGATACTGACACATATTTTAAAACTCACTATACTTGTGGATTTTTCTATTTCTCCTTGTAGTTGTGGCAGTTTTGCTTTAAATACTTTGAGTCAATGTTATCAAGTGCTTATAGGTTTAGAATTACCATTTTTATCAACTCAAAAGCACACAAATAACAAAAATTTTATTCTTATCATTCTAGCTTTCCCTGTATTATATAAAAGTATATATACCCTGTTTCTATTCCTTCAGTAGTTACTCTGGAAATCACATTACACATCCTTAAGTAACCAAACTCTAAAGCTAGTCAATGTTTTTACTCTTCTGCTGGACGCTTCAAACTGTAGGATAGTTTAATTTCACTAACTTCCATCTCATTCTGATGTTTATGTTACTGTTGTGTATTTTAATTCTATCTTATTTTTTCTTATTGCTGCTGCACAAATTAAAATTCTATGTTGTTTTAATGTCCACAATATTTTACATTATTTCCTACAGTCATTTTAGATTTACCTAAATATTTATACTTTTTTTGCTATTCATTCCTTCTTGCATCTCACATCTTCCCTTTGGCATCACATTCCTTTTGTTTGAAGCATATCCTTAGGATCTCCTTAGTAAGCGTGTCTTAGTGGCCAACTCTGCTCTTCTTTGTCTGAAAATGTCTATCTCTGCCCTTGTTTCACTGGATATAGAATCCTAAGTTGACAGTTACTTTTTTCAGAATTGAAAATATTTTATTGTTTTGTTTACTTGAAAATAACCTCTTTCTGGGTACCTTTAAGATTTTCTGTTTATGTTTGTTTCTAAAGTTAAGTTTATTGAGGTACAATTTACATATAATAAAATTAACCCTTTTTTACATGTAGAGTTCACTGAGTTTTGACAAATGTAGACAGTTGTGTAACCACCAGATAAATAAAAAAATACAACATTTCCATCTCAGAAAGTTTCCTCCTGCTCTTTTGTAGAGAATTATCCTGCCGAACCCATAGCCCTTGGCCACCACTGATCCCATTCTGTCCTAGAGTTTTGTCTTTTCAAAAATGTCATATAACATTACTCATATTATATATAACTTTACTGCATATGAATTTTTTTCACTTAGAATAATACTTTTGAGATTCATCCATATCACTGCATGTATCAATTCCCTTTTAGTGCCGAGTAGTTCCATTATATAAAACATACAATAATTTGTTTATACATATGGATGTACCACAATTTATTCACTAGTTCACAGACATTCAGATGTCTCTAGTTTTTGGTGTTTATAATAAAGCTACTACAAACATTCACATATGAGCCACTGTATAAAGATACATTTTCATTTCTCATGGATAAATACCTAGGAGCAGGACTGCTAGGTCATAGAAGAGTTTGCTCAACATTGTAACAAATTGCCAAACCATTTTCCAAAGTGGCAGTATAATTTTATATCTATCAGAAGTGTATGAGAGTTCCACTTGATTCACATCCTCACCAGCACT
Organism: Homo sapiens; assembly: GCF_000001405.40. Lineage (NCBI taxonomy): Eukaryota > Metazoa > Chordata > Mammalia > Primates > Hominidae > Homo > Homo sapiens. The sequence goes on along the minus strand of NC_000010.11, from coordinate 92,931,790 downwards.
TGCTATTATCAATCCTTTCAATTTTAGTCATTCTAGTAAGTATGCAGTGGTATCTTATTGTGGTTTTAATTTGCATTTCCCTGACGAAAAAATTATACTGAGCATCTTCTCATATGCTTATTTGCCATCAGTTTATCTTTGGTAAAATGTCTATTCAAATCTTTTGTCCATTCTCCATCCAGCTTTGTTCCTAGAGCGTGGAATGGACAAAAGATTTGAATAGACATTTTACCAGAGATAAACTGATGGCAAATAAACATGTGAGAAGATGTTCAGTATAGTTTTTCACAATGAATATGCTAATTACTCTGATTTGATCATTACACATTATATATATATGTATCAAAATATCACTCTATGTCCCATAGATATGTACAATTATTATATGTCAACTAAAAAAAATAGCCTGACAGTTGTTCTTATATACACTTAAATTTGTTTCTCAATCATCTATTCTGTTCTATTTTCTGTTTATTCTAGTAAACTCAGTACTACACTAAAAAAAAAAATCTTTTGTCCATTTTTAAATTGGTTTATTGGTCTTCAATTACTGAGTTATACAAGTTCTTTACATATTCTGGATAAAGCCCCTTTTTAGACATGAGTTCTGCAAATATTTTCTCCAAGTCCATATCTTGCCTTTTCCTTTCCTTTTTTTTTTTTTTTTTTTTTTTTCTTCTGAGATGGAGTCTTGCTCTGTCGCCAGGCTGGAGTGCAATGGTACGATCTCAGTTCACTGCAACCTCCACCTCCCAGGTTCAAGCGATTCTCCTGCCTCAGCCTCCCTAGTAGCTGGGACTACAGGCACACGCCACCACTCCCAGCTAATTTTTGTATTTTTAGTAGAGACGGGGTTTCACCATGTTTGCTAGGATGCTCTCGATCTCTTGACCTCATGATCCGCCCGCCTTGGCCTCCCAAAGTGCTGGGATTACAGGCATGAGCCAGCTTTTTCATTTTCTTAACAACACCTTTTGAAAAGCAGAAGTTTTAGATTTTGATGTTCAAATCATCTATTTTTTTTCTTTTATGGCTCATGCTTTATGTAACTCACATAGGAAAATACTATAAATACATTATAGAGTAATAAAGATTTTATCCTTTGTTTTTTCCTAAAAGTTTACAATTTTAACTCTTACATTTAGGTCGATGATCCCCTTTAATTGTTGAAAGAAGTGAGTCAATATTCATTTTTTGCATATGGATCATTTAATTCTCTTGCAGTCAGAGGATAGACTTTGTATGATTTCAAGCTTTTTCTATTTATTATTATTATTATTATTATTTGAGACAGAGTCTCACTCTTGTCACCCAGGCTGGAGTGCAATGGTGCGATGTCGGCTCACTGCAACCTCTGCCTCTCGGGTTCAAGTGATTCTCCTGCCTCAGCCTCCCGAGCAGCTGGGATTACAGGCACGCGCCACTATGCCTGGCTAATTTTTGTATTTTTAGTAGAGATGGGGTTTCACCATGTTGGCCAGGCTGGTCTCAAACTCCTGACCTTAGGTGATCCGCCTGCCTCAGCCTCCCAAAGCGCTGGGATTACAGGCGTGAGCCACTGCACCCAGCCCAGCTTTTTATATTTGTTGATGTTTGTTTCATGGCCCAGAATATGATATTGGTGAATCTTCCATGTGCACATGTAAAGCGTGTGTATTCTTCCATCCGGGGTGGAGTATTCAATAAATGTCAATCAGATCAAGACAGCTGATAATAGTTTTCAGGTCTTCCATTCCTCTTTATCTTTGGTGTTCTGCAATTTAATTATAAAGTTTCTAAGAGTGTATTTCTTTTTATTTAAGGTACCTGGGATTCCTTGGACTTGACTCTGTGGATTTCTATTTCTCATCTGTCCCAGAAAATTCTCAGCCATATGGCATCAAATATTCTTCAGTCTCATTTGCTCTATCCTCTTTCTGAAACTCCAATTAGATATATGTTAGACTTCTCTGTATCCCTCATGTCTCACTTCAGTAATTTTTCCTTCTGTGTCTTTGTGATGCTTACTTCCACATAGTTTCTTCAGATTAACTAAGAGAGAATTCATCAACTGTTAAACCTATTCATAATATTTTTAACTTCAGTTAATATGTATTTAATTTCTAGATATTCTACCTGATATTTCTTCACATCTATTTGGTCATTCTTTATAGTTTCTGTTCCCTATTTATATTAGCAAGCTTGGCTTTTATTTCTTTAAATATACTAAGTAGCACTATTATATACTCTATGGCTAATAATTCAAATATCGAGTCTTTTAGAATCTATTTTTGTTGTTAATATTTCTTACGATTCTCACTCGTTTGGTAATTATTTCTGACTGTGAATTGCTCAGTTTAACTCTGGAATGAAGGTGCAGAGATCTGTATTTGCTTCTGCCAGGCACTTGGAGATAGTATCAGGATGGAAATACTTGAAATGTTGAGCTTGAGATGTCTTTGACTATCCATGTATGATGAATTTGGGTTGCAAACACAAGTGGTAACAAACTGCTTATTATGAATTCTCAGAAGGATTTTTTCTCTCGTTCACTCAGCAAGATTTGAGATAGGTAATTTTCCTTACAGTATTCGCCAGAGGGAACAGAAGGATTTTTAGATGGTTTTATCTCTAGCTCATCCTAATAATGGGGCTTTAAATCCTTTGGAGTCTCAGCTTACAAGGGAGACAATCTCTTATTAGACACCTACTTTGGGTGGGCTCTGGGCTTAGCCCTCTGTACCCAATGTCGTCAAAACTCATGCTTTCCTACTCAGCAGATTCTCCTAGGATAAAAGCTATATTCAGTGTTTCATTAAACCTATCTGCATTTCTGCCTTCATTTGGGTTTTCCTGTTTTGATTGTTTTATAGTCAGATATATTGAGGTATTAGTCACATACAATAAAACTCTTCAATATTCAGCTTCTATGAGTTTTACAAACACATCTACTAATGTAACTATCACCACAACCAATATATAGAACAGTTCCTTATTCACTTAGTTTCTTGTCTTTTTGTTTGTTTGTTTTAAATGTCTATCTAGCATCTTCAGTTGTATTTTCAGTGGGACAATTAATCAAGATACATAATCCACTATGTTGTCAGAAACTATCATTCCCTGATATTTTATATATTTCTTGTTGGTCCTTTTTTTTTTTTTTAAATTCGCTGTCTATCTTTCCTAATAGAATGTAAGCTCATGAGAAAAGGGACTTATCTATTTGGTTCACTGCTGTACCCTTAGCACCTAAACCAATGTTTGGAAATGGTAGGTGTTCAATAAATATTTGTAGTTGAATGAACAGTGATACATGCTTTGAAGAAATTAAAACAGGGTAAGGGGATAAAAAGTGACAACATAACCAATTCAAAATATCGCATACTTACCATATTCGACTGGGGTTGCAATACCAGTCTTGCTTGTTTCTTTCTTTGTTTTCGATAATAGTTTTCAAATGTTTCCTCGTCACCCTAAAATAAAATCAGCAGAGTAATGAAAAATACACATACACACACATACAACTAAAACAGATACTTCTTTACCCCAAGAGTCACTTTAAATTCTCTAACTAGAATGTAAATGTTTAATAGCATTTCATACAGAATGTCAAGAATAAGTTTTGCCATTATAGTTTAAAGATAGTAATTTGTTTGTATCATGACTATTAGGAAGAATAAAGTTATGTTTAAACAATTTGACACCTACCAAACTTATTACTTAGGCTTTATAGATTTTTGATTGACCAAACCAAAATATGGCTATCAGTGAGGGAAGCCCAGTGAAAGATTAGCTTCAAAGCCTAAACTTCTGAGCATGTTATACAAGGCCCTATGTGTAACATGAGCATGTTATACAAGCCCCTGCCTCATCTCTTGCTACTCTTTCACTCTCAATATATCCATATACTGCTCTCTTTTCACTTCCAGGCTTTTGTGCAGGCTATTTCTGAAATAAGTTTCCCAGTTTCCTTTTCCCATATGATTTTTTACTCATCCTTCAGGACTCGCCAGAGATATCACTTCCTTGAGAAAGCTTTCCTTAACTTCTGAAGGCTTGTTATTTTCTGTTCTCTCATAGCAACCTGTACTTCCCTATCATAGCACTTATACCATGCTATAATTTCTTGGTTAGTCTATCTCAGTGTTGTCCAATGGAACTCCCTGTGATGATGAACGTTTACTATGTCTGTGCTGTCTAAAATGGTAGCCCACTAGTCACATGTGGCTATAGAGCATTTGAAATGTGGCCAATCTGAATGAGACACTGACTTTTACATTTAAATTTTAATTATTTTAGTAACTACATATAACTAACAGCTACATTATCCAACAACAGAGATCTATCTTTACTACCTCACTCTATTAGAATATGGTCCACATTCCATCTAGCTCATCACTGTATCCCTATCACTTAGAAGAATGCTTGGCATGCAGAAGGCACTCAATAAATATTAGGTAAGTGAATAACTGAAAAAATAAATTAATTACTATACCTCAATCCCCTCTGTCTTCTTCACTGTTTAAAGAGAACCCATCCAACATCAGAAGGAAAGGTTGAGAACCATTTCCCTAATCATCTAAGGCTCCAAAGTCAAAAGAAAAAAACTACAGGAAAAAAATGTCAAAAGCCACATTTTCACTGAAAAAAAGTCTGATTTTATTTTCTTTATACTTAAGTAGCTACAAAAAACGACTTTTCTTAGTGCTGTCTAAAGTAAACTTAAAATGCAGAAAATATTTTTACCTAGGTATCCTATACGAAACTTTTTCCAATTATTTTATACGCAAACAATTAAAATAATTTCAATAAGCTATAATGTCCCCCACACAGTTTTAATATGGTAACTAATTTTTTTCACCATAATTTTAAATAAATGTAGAGGATATAATGCATTTAAAGATAAAATGGAATTTAAAATAAAACTGCTAAATCCTCATTTAAACATATCCAGCCATCACTCATTTAAAAAAATATGGGGCCGGGCACAGTAGCTCACGCTTTAATCCCCGCAACTTGGGAGGCAAAAGCAGGAGGATCACTTGAGGCCAGGAGTTTGAGACCAGCCTGGGCAACGTGGTGAGACTCCATCTCTACAAAAAATTTAAAAATCAGCAAGGCATGGTGGTACGTGCCTGTAATCCCAACTACTCAAGCGGCTGAGACAAGAGGATCGTTTGAGTTTGGGAGTTCAAGGCTACAGTGAGGTATGATCATACCACTGCACTCCAGTTGGGGCAACAGAGTAAGACCTCATCTCTTTTTTTCTTTCTTTTTTTTTTTATTTTTCTTTTCTCCTCAGATTCCTTTTTACCATGAAACCCCATATCTAAAAAAATATAAAATATACAAATATAGAGAGATACATGAACACATTATTCCTTAACATTTAGAAAGTCTACATTTTTCTTTTGAACTCTTATTTCCAGTCCATTATCCTTACAGAATTTATTCTAACTTAATTTTAAAAAACATTGTCTAATATGATATGTTTTACTCTTATCTTTGAGATTATAAGGCTTTAGGTGTTATGGTGGGTTTTTTTTCTTCTGAGTGAAATTATCATAATCAGTACTAAACTGATGCAAATGGCCTAAGTATATCATACATTTTGATAATGAGTAAACCCAAAAGTACATTTTTATTGGAAATAAATATCTTAATAGAATGAGTGAGACTTTTTTTTCCCCCATTAATAATATACTTTCTGGTTCAAATTCTGACCTGCAGACTTAGGGCATTTGTTTTTTTTTTTTTTTAAAAAGTCCACCCTAAAACCTAAAATCTAATTATCAAAGCCAGTCCTCATGATCAAACTAATAAGTCAAATTGTACTAAGTGTCTCTCAAGAAAAGTCTGACTCCAAGTTTCACTTCAAAAAAAGTAAAGATGAGGCTGAAATCAGAGGATTGCTCAAGGCCAGGAGTTCATGATCAGCCTAGGCAGCATGTCAAGCTATCTCTTTAAAAAAAATTTTTTTTTTAATTAGCCAGGCATAGTGGCATGCACCTGTAGTCCCAGCTACTCAGGAGGCTGAGGCAGGAGGATCACTTGAACCCAGGAATTCAAAGCAGCAGTGAGCTATGATCTCACCACTGCACTCCAGGCTGGACAACAGCAAGACCCCATCTCTTAAACAAAACAAACAAACAATAACAACAAAATTACATCATGAAAACCACTGAGAAATTATGGGTTTACACCATAATATCACCAACGCCAGGTGCATTGGCTCACGCCTGTAATCCCAGCACTTTGGGAGGCCGAGGAGGACGGATCACTTGAGGCCAGGAGTTCGAGACCAACCTGGCCAACATGGTGAAACCCTGTTTTTACTAAAAATACAAAAATTAGCCATATGTGGTAGCACACACCTGTAATCCCAGCTACTTGGGAGACTGAGGCATGATAATTGCTTGAACCTGGGAGGCAGAGGTTGCAGTGAGCCAAGATTACACCACTGCACTCCAGCCTGGGCAACAGAGCACGACTCTGTCTTAAAAAAAAAAAAATTTATGGAATTACAAAAAGCAGTCAATATTATTTAAACCCAGTGTGATTGTTTTGTGCATTCACACCCTTAAAATCAAGACAATAAATCAGTTTCTCATTACTTATTCTGTTTTCATTACTTAATTTACAATAATGCAATGTAATATACAACTAAAATTCTAAGCTTTTATGAAGTAAGGAGCATAATAAACAATACTACATGCCTTCCATTAACATGTGGACATACATAAAACCTGTTCAACTTTTGGAAATAATTAAATACAACCAAGTATAAAAATCAGGGATATAAAAAAGGATAAAATAATATTTTTTGGAGCAACCTGGATGGAACTAGAGACCATTATCCTAAGTGACAGAACTCAGGAACAGAAAACCAAATACTGCATGTTCTCACTCATCAGTGGGAGCTAAGCTATGGGTATACAGAGGCATGTGGAGTGGTATAATGAACATTGGAGATTCAGAAGTGGGGTGAAGGATGAAAAAAATCACCTATTGGGTACAATGTACACTATTCAGGTGACAAGTACACTAAAAGCCTAGACTTCATTACTATACAATTCATCCACATAACCAAAAGCCACTTGTACCCCTAAAGCTACTAAAATAAATAAAAGTACATTAAAAAATGCACCCCTATTAATCAATAAATCAAACAATAAAATCAGGCATAACTCCATTAATTTCATTAGATATGATGACCATCCTTTTTCTGGGTGTTTAACAAAAGAGAATGGTATATGCTGCTAAAAATGAATAGCCAGGGTTTACTTTAAATATGAAGTAGAAAACATTAAACAATTGGACTTAGACTTATGACAGCTAAACAGCTTTACCCACTTTATCGAATCATAATGTACATGAATATGAAAAAATAAAGTTAGCCAGTGTAACTTAAAATTTTTGGCAGCCCCAGAAAACACTCCATTCATGTTTAAAAGATACAGCTTTACTAACCCATATCATTTGGCTGTTTAAAGGTGTTTTTCTTTACAGCAAATGATACATCCTAACGAAGAGTATTAAGATTAGTCAAAATCATTGTTTACATTTAAACACATAGGACATAGTTTTAGCAATCAAAATTCTCTGTGTTCTCTTTGCTCTACTCTCACAGGGACTCTCTCTTAAAAGCAATTACTTGTTGTCAATAGCTAGGGGGAAAAAGAACAGGTCATTAAAAGGAAACTATCGTTATTCCTACCTATGTCATTACTCCCTACTACATATCTAAATTCAGAATATCCTACCACAGGACAAAATATACTGTTCCTAATATGATTTACCCTTAACAGAAATTTGTGCAAAAATGGAAAGGAAGGAACTCCCAATACAGTTCCTTGATTAATAATTAAAGGAGACTTCTCCTTTATTTGGCACCCTGGAAGCTTTTACACCTCAAGACAATGCACCATGGTAGTACTGAGTATCAGTGAAGGGTATGATTTTCATTTATAAAGTAAACGTGGTAGCCTTCAAAACAGCCTCCAAAGATCCCCACCTCATGGTATTCATACCCTTGTGTGGTCCCCTCCCACAATGCACCTGAGTTCATCTATGTGATGAATAGGATAAAGCAGAAGTAATGGTATGTCACTTCTGAGATTGTGTTATAAAAGGAATGATGGCTTCCACTTTGGTTTCTCTCCTGGATGACTCACTCTGGGGGAAGCCAGCTGCCATGTCATGAGGACTTTCAGGCAGCCTAGTAGACACTCCATGTGGCAAGGAACTGAGGCCTTCTACCAGCAGCCATCATAGAGGCAAATCCTCCAGCCCCTGTTAAGCCTTCAGATGACAGCAGTCCTCATGACATCTTGACTAGAATCTCATAAGAGACCTGTAGCCAGAACCAGCCAGCTAAGCGACTCCCTGACTGCTGACACTGTGGAATAATAATGTTTGTTGTTTTAAGGCAGTGTGTTATACAGCAATTGATAACTAATATGGTCACTATCTTAGGTAGCTGTCCTAGGAACAGAATCTGAGATCAATGATAAACTAAAGAAATGTTGAAGAAGGAAACTGTTCAAGAAGTGAAGAAAGTGAAAGGAACAAGAGGAAGCCAACCAAGGGTACCATCTAAGGCAAAAAATTGTGTGCCTGATTCCACACTGCAACTTCAGAGCATAAGTTATACCTCAGTGTTGTCCTAATCTAGGCAAGGAAGCTAGGCTTTCAAACACCATATCTACACACCATAACTTATTAATCTCAACACTGGTAATCTGATGTGGGGTAGCTTCTAGCTGAAAAGGGACCCAAGGGAATCTGAGCAGAGCACCAACAGTAAGAGAAGAACTATTCTGAAGACAGGTTGGGCTTCCCAAACAGATCATTTTTAGAAAGAAAGCCTGGACCTAAAATTTATTTCCCTAAAGTTTCTAGCCCAGGGCCCCTTGGAAAGCCTTCACATACCCTTAAAAACTCCTAGGGCAGCAATTCGCACACTATATTTGGTATTCATCAGATAATTAGGAAATTAACTCATTCAATATTCAGTATTCTAAGAAAAAAAATGATCCCTATACTCAAAGTTTAGGATACAGCCAGCTAAGTAAAGTCAGAGAAGCTCTTAGGACTTCTCAAAGTCTGAAAAATGATAAGCTATGATAAGCTATATTGTGAATATTGTGTGCAGCATTTTCCAAAGAGAATCCCTTTTTTTGACATTATACCTATTTTCCTTTCATGGAATACTCATATTTGATCAAATAGAGTAGGATACCTTAGGATTTCGGACAAAGAGCTTTTTTGGCTAAAGTAGACTTACAGTCAACAGTCCTTGAAAGCATACATATTAATGTAACCCTTTTATAATAACCCCTTTAACATTTACTGCCTGATATTTTATACCAGGTCCTATACCAAGCACTTTTATTATTTATATTGACTATAATATCCAACATAGCCTTAGAAATTGTTAACCATATTTTGCAAATGAGGAACTCAAATAAGGGAAGTAATTTTCCCAATGCTATAATGCTGGGAAATGGCAGAACTGGAATAACAAGTAGAAGGAAGAAGAGTTGTAACAATAATAAGAAATTAGTGGCCGGCCACGGTGGCTCATGCCTGTAATCCCAGCACTTTGGGAGGCTGAGGTGGGCAGATCACCTGAGGTCAGGAGTTCGAGACCAGGCTAGCCAACATGGAGAAACCCCGTCTCTACTAAAAATACAAAAATTAGTCAGGCGTGGTGGCAGGCGCCTGTAATCCCAGCTACTTGGGAGGCTAAGGTAGTAGAATCGCTTGAACCCAGGAGGCGCAGGTTGTAGTGAGCCAAGATGGCACCACTGCATTCCAGCCTAGGCAACAGAGCAAGACTCTGTCTCAAAAAAAAAGAAAGAAATTAGCTTTACCAAATAATTTTTGGTTATATATACCAGCCAGAAGTTATTGTGCTAATGAAAGTTTATTAAATTTACAGCATAAAACAGTAAGACTATACTGTAAACTCTACCTCTACCAAAAATACAAAAATTAGCCAAGCATGGTGGCATGAGCCTGTAGTCCCAGGTACTTGGGAGGCTCAAGTGGGAGAATCGCTTGAGCCCAAAGAGGTCAAGGCTGCAGTGAGCTGTGATCACGCCACTGCACTCCATCTTGGGTGACAGAGCAAGACCCTATCTCAAAAAAAAAAAAAAAGAAAGAAAGAAAACAATAGCACAAAGAAAAGGGTATTAATCTAACTGAATTGTTTTAAAGTAAGATGTTAATTGCAATCCTCAGGGCTAATACTAAGAAAATAGGCTGGGCTAGGTGGCTCACACCTGTAACCCCAGCACTTTGGGAGGCCGAGACGGGTGGATCACCTAAAGTCAGGAGTTCGAGATCAGCCTGGCCAACAAGGTGAAACCCCATTTCTACTAAAAAAATACAAAAAATTAGCTGGCCATGGTGGCGGGTGCCTGTAAACCCAGCTACTTGGGAGGCTGAGGCAGGAGAATCACTTGAACCCAGGAGGCGGAGGTTGCAGTGATCTGAGATCATGCCATTGCACTCCATCCTGGGCAACAAGAGCAAAACTCCAGCACAAAAAAAAAAAAAAAAGGAAATGACAAAGGAAATGAAATGGTACATAAGAAAATATCTATTTAATGCACAAGACAGTACTAATGGAGGAATAGAGGAACAAAAAAGATATAAGACATGTTAAAACAAATGGCAAACATCAGAGCAGACATAAATCCTACCTTACCAGTAATTACATTAAATGTAAATGAACTAAACACTCCAATTGAAAGGCAGAGATCAGCAGACTGGATTTAAAAAAACAGACTGAACTATGTGTTACCTACTGGAGACATACTTTAGATTCAAAGATACAAAGAGACTGAAAGTAAAAGGATGGGGAAAAACATGCTATGCCAATAGTGCTCAGAAGAAAGCTGGAGTGGCTATACTAATTAAAGCCAAACAGACCTTAAGACAAAAAATATTATGAAGAAAGATATTTTATGATTTTTTTAAAAAAGGTCAATCCATCAGGAAGACATAACAATTATAAACATATATTCACCTGCCAACAAGGCCCTAAAAATACATGAATAAAAAACTGGCAAAACTGAAAGAAAAAATGGACAATTCAACAGTTATAGTTGAAGACTCCAATACTTCTACTTTCAATAACAGAATAGGCAGAAGACCAACAAGGAAGTAAAAGACGTGAACAACCCTATAAACCAACTACATCTAACAAATATCTATAGAACACACCACCTAATAACAGCCAGATACACATTTTTGATGTTTTGGGGGTGGTTGGAGGGGTGGGTAATGGGTATTTCTGGAATTAGGTAGTGGTAATGGTTGCACATCCTTGTGAATATGCTAAAACCACCGAATTGTATACTCTAAAAGGGTAAGTTTTTTCGTATGTGAACTAGATCTCAATAAAGCAGTTATTTTTAAAAAGGAACATTAAATCAAAAATAAGAGCAATGTAGTATGGAATACACATGTAAAAGTAACTTATAAGAACTGTGATGTAACAACAGCACAAAGGCAATAGGGAGAAATGGAAGTATACTATTACAAGGTTCTTAAAATATACATGAAATGGTATATCACTTGAAATTACACTATGATAAGTAAACAAAAAATGTAAGTGCCTTACACAGAGTGGATATTTCACAAAGAATTATGTGAAGATTTACAGCATATGATCAATTTTTAGGGCCTAAAATACATACATGCCTTTTAAATAATATAAAGCTATATATACATAAATATAAAACATACTTACCAAAACAGAATAAATGTGCAAACATCGATAAACAGGGGAAAAATCAACAAGATCCTGAACAGTTAAGATCTGAAAATTAAACCATTTTTAAAAAAATTATAGGTCAAACTATTAGACCACCATTAGATAATGTAAAGTTAAAGATAGGCAAGAAGATTCATGAACTTTGTGTTACAACATTTATTCAATTCCCCCATAGAAAGCATACACTATAAACGCAAAACCTTCTTTATTTTGTTTTGGCATTTCTTCAGCAGTTTATTCTTTGTAGTATGTTTATTATCACTGTGGACTGTTTTCAACTTAAGGTAACCAAGGAGAGAAATTGTATATTTTTAATATGTATGATAGATTACAGAAAACTGCTATGGATAACTAGATACCTTATTATTGTTTTGGGTAAAAATGATACACAGATTTCATGATTTGGCTATAGACAAAGTTCCTGTTCTTACGCAGCTATGTCATATGATTGGTCATTATTGCACTGAATTAAAGACACTATCAGTATTATTTTACAGACTGCTAAGAAAGAAAAAACACCACCACTTAAAACTATAACACCATCATCTTTAAGATGTATCCTATATTCTGAAATGTTATGTGGAAAAAAAAATGCCTTACAATTGATGAAATGTAGTACTATAAAGTTTCTCAAACTTGAGAAATACATAAACCCTTTTTAAAGGAACACATTTGTACTCATGTGAATCTCCAGAGTGAACTTAAATTATTTTTACTATAACATTGCTTATTAGGGAAAATGATAAAAACAAAATGTAGTGCAGTATAGTAGTAAAATAGATCTGAGAGAACAGGGAAACCACCAAGCTCCTCTAAATGTAAAGGTCTGGGGGTAAGGCATGATGGTGATGCTCCCAGCAGGAAAGATATACAGAACAGGAAGGGGAAAATTGAAGTAAGAAGACTAGATGGTCTATTTTCAACATTCTGAACCTCAAAGGAGAAAATAATACAGAGGTCCTCTGAATATTTAGAAAGAACAAAAAAGCAGAGGTCAAAAATATTTATTTAATTTAAAGGGACAAAAAACCTAATAATAATTTCAAGGGACTAATCAGGACATACTAATTCCACATTAGGAAGGCATTTAACTGTTTGAAGCTGTTCATTTGTCTGTATTCAGTACAATAGCAGACATTCACTACATACGCATATATATACATATATACACATATATACACACATACACATATGTGCATACATATTCACACAAATATATTACATATATACTACATATATATTTGTGTGACTATGTACATATGTATCACCTCATCCTCAGATATACAGCAGAAATGTACATAGTGGCTGGGTGTGGTGGCTCACGCCTACAATCCCAGCACTTTAGGAGGCCAAAGCAGAAGGACCACTTGAAGCCAGGAGTTCAAGACCAGCCTGGACAACACGGCAGTTCCCCATCTCTACAAAAAATATAAAAAAATTAGCTGGATATAGTATATACAGGCATGTGCCTGTAGTTCCAACTACTTGGGAGGCTGAAGCAGGAGGAGCATTTGAACATAAGAGTTTGAGGTTACAGTAAGCCATGATTATGCCAACTGCTCTCCAGCCTGGGTGACAGAGTAAGACCCTGTCTCAAAAAAAAAAAAAAAGAAATGCACATAGTAAACACTCAGCTGTTCACCCATTCACAAATGCAGTCATGAGCACATAGTCGTATGGTTCAACTAAAAATTCTTACTGCATCCCAATTATGTCCTTAGAAAAAGAATTTAAAATCTCATTGGCAAGGCAAAACTTATAAATTAATTGGGAATAACAAGGTTCCTATGATAGTAGCTAAATTTAAAAAAAAATTGAAAAGGACGATAAAAGGTAAGTTCAATAGAAGATTCTGTGGAGATAATTTTATTTATTTTTTTGAAATGGGCGTCTCACTCTGTCACCCAGGCTGGTATGTAGTGACATGATCACAGCTCACTGCATCCTCAACCTCCTCTGGCTCAGGTGATTCTCCCACCTCAGCCTCCCCAGTAGCTGGGAATACAGGCACTATGCCTGGCAATTTTTTTGTATTTTTTGTAGGAAAAGGGTTTCGCCATGTTGGCCAGGCAGGTCTCAAACTCCTGGCCCAAACAATCTGCCCCCCTCGGCCTCCCAAAGTGCTAGCATCACAGGCATGAGCCACGGCATCAAGCCCTGTAGAAAAAACTTTCGAAAGCAATAGGATGCCGGGCATGGTGGCTCACACCTGTAATCTCAGCACTTTGGAAGGCTGAGTGAGAGGATAATTTGAGGCTAAGATAATCTGAGTTCAAGACCAGCCTTGGTAACATAGTGAGACCTCTGTCTCTATAAGAAATTTTTTTTTTTTAATTAGCCAGGCATGGTGATAGTGTGCTTTTAGTCCTAGCTACTTGGGAGACTGAAGTGGGAAGAACACTTGGACCCAGAAGTTGCAGGCTGTAGTGAGCTATGACTGTACCACTGCACTCACGGGCAACACAGTGAGCCCTATCTCTAAAAAAAAAAAAAGAAAGAAAAAAAGAACGAGAGAATGAATTTGGATATAGAAGATGAAAGAAAGAAAATATTTAAGGATAATTTCAAGGTTTCTAGACTTACTAGAACTTTTTTTTTTTCCATTAAAAGACTAATCATAGTAGAGTTATTTTTGTAGTATTTCAGCACCAATTTTTTAAATAGGTAGACTATCCAGAATTAGGCCAAATGACAAGACATTACGAAATAAAAATCTGACAACAGGTAATTCAAATATAAGTAATCACTATAAAAATAATTAGATTTGGGCGCAGTGGCCCACACCTGTAATCCCAGCACTTTGGGAGGCCGAGGTGGACAGATCACCAGGCCAGGAGTTCAAGACCAGCCTGGCCAGCATGGTGAAACCCCGTCTCTAATAAAAATACAAAAATTAGCCAGCCGGGCATGGTGGCGCATGCCTGTAATCCAGCTACTTGGGAGGCTGAGGCAGGAGAATTGCTTGAACCCAGGAGGCAGAGGTTGCAGTGAGCCAAGATAGCGCCACTGCACTCCAGCCTGGGCGACACAGTGAGAACCCGTCTCAAAAAAAAAAAAAAGAAAGAAAAATTAGATTTACACTTTTTCTACAGATTCCACTACCAGAGATTTAGGAATATAATCTACAATCATGTTTATCTGTCAATTATCTAGCCCAACATTTCAGATGACTCCATTGTCCTAATAGCTCAATACAATCTGACTGACTTTGTCAACTTGAAATAAAAATATATACAGAAAAATTTCCTAGCAAAAAAATTTATTTGAGAATAAACAAAGAAATAGGATTAAAATCCAGGACATGCACAGACCAGGGTGGTCTCTGGCATGTCTGCAGAACAAAGGAGGTTAGGGTTTTACCGGGGAGACAGATTGTTATGCAAATTGTTTTGAAAGAAAGTTCACTGGTGAGTGTCACTAGTTGCTAGAAAGGACTTGTAATTTTGGAGTTATGGTTAGGCCCTTACAGTTTTGGATTGACCTTGTAAGATAGTTGTTTGTTTTTTTTCTTCTTTTTGAGACAAGGTCTCACTCTGTCTCCCAGGCTGGAGTACAGTGGCACAATGTCGGCTCACTACAACCTCCACCTCCTGGGTTCAAGCAATTCTCATGTCTCAGCTTCCCAAGTAGCTGGGACTAGAGGTGCCCACCACCATGCCCAGCTAATTTTTATATTTTTAGTAGAGACAGGGTTTCACCATGTTGGCCAGGCTGGTCTTAAACTCCTGCCTCAAGTGATCCACCCACCTCAACCTTGCAAAGTGCTGGGATTACCTGTGTGAGCCACTGTGCCTGGCCTGTTTTGAAACAGACAAGTGTTCACATGTAAGCGGCTAGCTGTCCTTGTAGGGCTGATGCAGTAAGCTATGGTTTCAAAAAATTTATTGTGATAGCTCCTGATACCAGGCTAATCGTCCATGACAGCCCTCCCTTCACGGCCTTCTCAGCCTCCATTTTGTCAAAGTTTGACACACTGACTCCATTTTGACTCTGACAACTTTTACAACATAAATTTATTTTGCATACAGGAAGACTAAATCACACAGATGTACATTACAATCCAAAAGAAAAAAAATTATCTAATAATAGAAAAGAAAGAAAGACACCTATCACCTCTTCTTCATTCTCATCCTCTTCTTCAAGTGAATGTTTCAATACAGTTTCATTCCTTTCCTCTGGAATTCTATCACGATTTATATACATATTTTTCCCAAATTTCATTTTATTTTGTTTCTGCAGAGAAACACTGAAGGTTTTCTGATGCTGTGCCTATTTTGAAGAGAGAGAAATTCAGATTATTTCAAAACTGATTATGGTCAAAATTGGTTCAAAAAATTTGTTCATAGTTTTTTTTTATCTTTTTAATGTCTGTAGGTATAGAATTTGTAGTGATGTCTCCTTTCTTATTCATGATTTTTGCCTTCTCATTTCCTTTTTTTAAAAAAAAAAAAAAAAAAAAAATCAGGGTCTCACTCTGTCATCCAGGCTGGAGTACAGTGGCACCATCACAGCTCACTGCAGCTTCAACCTCCCCAGGCTGCAGTGATCCTCCTACCTCAGCCTCCAGAGTAGCTGGGACTACAGGAATGCACCACCACACCCAGCTAATGTTTCTTTGTTTTTTTGTTTTTTTTGTTTTTGTATTTTTTTGTAAAATGGGGTTTTGCCATGTTGCCCAGGCTGGTCCCAAACTCCT
Source organism: Homo sapiens (assembly GCF_000001405.40). NCBI lineage: Eukaryota > Metazoa > Chordata > Mammalia > Primates > Hominidae > Homo > Homo sapiens. Next base: position 92,915,330 of record NC_000010.11, on the reverse strand, counting down.
GGCTCAAGCAATCCGCCTGCCCCAGCCTCCCAGAGTGCTAGGATTACAGGTGTGACCCACCGCACCCAGCTTCTCTTCCTTTTTAAACAGTCTTAAAATTATGTAGAACCATGTATTTCCTCAGTTGGCATATTGTGTGTTGGCAAGGGGGACTGGCCAACACTCTTTGGCCATACTCCCAACTTCCTGAATTAGCCATTAACCTCACAGAAGGAACTATAACATCAAGTTGCAAGCTTATTTTACTTCCCACTGAAAATGCCCACAGTTTGTGAAGACTAAGAATGTAGAAGCTGTTATCCCACAATTGATCATTGACAAAAAACAACATTTACACAGAATAAAAAGTTGAGAACCCTCATACTTTTAGGCATTTTAGTAATACTTCCCTATCAGAACTTCATTACCAGAAATAGAAAAAAATATAAACTTAATTCCAGGATTTTAATTTCCTTACACACTGCGAGACATTCTCTCTGTTTTGATGGGTCAGATTGTTGCTATTTTGTTCTGTTAGCACATAGAAAGGTCGTGCACTGGCTATTTTAGGTGAGTTCTCTCTAAGGCACATGTAACTGCCAATCAGCCCTTCTCTACACTTAGGTTATCAGACCATGCAAGTTGCAGTAATCTGGCTCCTCTCTTACCTAGACTTTGATCCTGGCTGCCCCCTAGAGGCTGGTACTGGAGAAAATTATTATCACTCCTGTGTATTCCCTTTCCCTCTGTGCCCAAACTAATTTTGTCAATGATTTTCTGTCCTCAGAGTATAAAATCATTTATTTAGAGTATTGTTTCCCAATTATGTTATGCACAAAACTAACAATTCACACAGTAAAAACAGATGTTCCTTGAAAAAAGGGTTCTAAGTTCAAATGAGTTATATAAATATTACATATTGTATCCTCCTCCTAGGAGATTTACAATTCATAAGTAAAGAAATCCGCTTAACTTTATTTAACTCAGGTTTCCAAAATTTATTTGACTATTTAGTCCTTTTGTTCTCCCTAGAGCAGTGGTCCCCAGGCTTTTTTTGCAGGTGGATGGTTTCAGATGAAACTGTTCCACCTCAGATGATCAGGCATTAGATTCTCATAAGGAGTGCACAACCTAGATGCCCCGCATGCACAGTTCACAATAGAGTTTGCGCTCCTATGAGAATCGAATGCCGCTGATCTGACAGGAGGCGGAGCTCAGGCAGTAATCCTCTTTAGCAAGCCACTCACCTCCTGCTGTGTGGCCTGGTTCCTAAAGGCCACAGACAGGTACCAGTCCACGGCCTGGGGGCTAGGAACCCCTGCCCTAGAGAGCAATATTAAAATGTGTGCCAGAGAACATTATATGGAAAATGTTAACTTACCCAATATAAATTTTAGATATTTATTGCTAATTAAACATCAGACTAACAGTGGATTCATCTCTCGTATTAGAATTTAAAAAATTCTCCCTAGACAATCTAAAACTCAGCTCTAAACTAATTTTCAAAAATAACTTTTTTTGTGCCACTCATGTTAGGCATAATAGCTAGATCCCAGGAAGGCAAAAATAAGCAGGGCAAAATCCTCCACTTAAAAAATTCACAGTCTAGTTAAGAACATAAAAAAAGCAATTGTAGTGTGAAAAGTACAATGGTATACACACTGAGGATGAAGTGACCATCTCTCACTGGCAGTAGTGTAATGGGTGATGGCAGAAGATTTCACAGACAAGGTGATGTTCAAGCCCGCTTTTGGGAGGAAAAAGCAGGAATTCATCAGACCGAGAAATGTGAAAGAATGGACATTCTTGGTGAACACCTAGTATATTCCAAAATCTGTAAGACAGCAAATACTGCTAGAGCATAGAAGGGAGACAAGTATCAAGATGAGACTGAGGAACTTGGACTTAAGTAAAAGGTAACAGGGTATCACTTAAGATGAAGTGGTGTGGTCTTATCTGCATTTTAGGACAGTAACCAAAAGGAGAAGAGAATACAGATAAGGAAAACAAATGATTCTATATAACAGTTCAGCTATGTAGAGGGGGAAACAGAATCTACAGGTATTTAGAAGCAGAATTGATAGTAACTAAGTAGGACTTAGTAACAAATAACATTAACAGTATGAATACTCATGAAAAGTTTAAAATACTCCCCAGTTTCTGGAATTGTGGAAACAGGAGACACTACTATCTTGTAGGGAGACCCCCTGAAACTATTGCTATGGAATAAAAGATGAAATGCTCCTGATTATTGTAAATACAAAACTGCATGCAGGATTGTGTAAAGACAATGCCAGTTTGGACTGCCAGAATGAGCCAAAAGCACGTGATGTGCTTCCCCCTGCAGAGAGCCTATGAATGGACGTGCAGTCAGGGAGGTTTCACATCACCAAGATTCCTATCCCAGAAAAGCAGATGTTCATAGCTCTGGGAATGGAATGCAACCCTTGTGAAGAGCCTATAAATGGATGCATGAGGGGAGTGCCTGTCCATATGGATAAGATAGGGCTATAAACACCCTCATCTTGCCACGGCTCTTCTAGGCCCCTTTAGGGTTAAGGCATACTCCCTTCTGAGAATTTCTGGTCTGACTGGTTGTCTACCTTCACGTCCTGTTTCTATAGATTGTTTGTAACCAGCTTTTGCTGCAACTGTTACTGCTGATTAGTATCTGGCTAATCATAGGTTATGGAAAGACTGTGTTTCTGTTTTAAGGCTCTGTTACAAATTACTGATGCACACACTGTATTGTAAATTTTTATCTCTGTATACTGTACTTCTACCTATAGATGTTATGTTAAAGAATTACTTCATCCCCATGTGACCATCTCACCTCATAATCAAATGACCCTAAATCCCTCACTAACCTACCCCGCCCTCACTAAACTTAATAATAAATGCTGGTATATCCAGTGCATTGGAGGCACCGTGGGACCAGAAGGCAGTGACCCCCCTGGACCCAGCTTTCACTATCTTGTGTGTGTCTATTATTTCTCGACCTGCTGATCCGCCTGGGAACAAATAGAGAGCCCCGTTGCATTGCGGGCTGCTGGCCAGATCCTGCAATACTATCTGAGATAGCAAATATAAGAAAAATAGATTTAGGAAAAAAAGAATGGGTTTAGTTTTAGAAATGCTGGGTTTGGGGTAGCTTTAAGATATTTAAATTAATACATAACAAGTCCATCCATCCGTAAAAGGGATACGAGATCACGGAATTAAGCACAGGATACAGAGTGCACCCAAAGGCGGGGGCTGCTTTACAAGGTATAAGCTTTACACTCATGCCACCTAGAAGATTCCAGAACTAAACTGTGACTCTGCCAAACTGAGCACAGCTGATGAGAGACTTCAGGAGGCTTCTTATACATACACAAACACACACACACACACACACACACACACACACACACGCACACAGAGAGAGAGAGAGAGAGAGAGAGAGAGAGAAACCCACAAGAAATTGAAAGGTAGCATGAAGGGATACCAAGACAGAAAAAATACAACTTTTCTTATCAAATCTTGAGAAGTCTAACTCTCACTATAAGGAAAACTCTCTAACTTCTCAACTCTGTGGAAGTTATTTCCAAAAGAAGAAATTGTAAAGAAAAACATCCCCACAGAGAGATGCTAAGAAAAGGTTTCTGTATGAAATGTCTGTTTAAATTGCAATGATAGGGAGCTTGATAACTTTTATGAGGAAAAAATGATAGTGGACCAAGAGAGTCTATTCTCTCCCAGAAATAAATTTTTGTAAATCTTAAATCCTAGGGCCCATGATTTGATGGACTCCCTAAGTGGAAAGAATCCAAAACTGGTCTATGAAAAACAAGTCAAAGAAGATAAGTTTAATATCGACACTTGTGATTAAAATGTATAATGGAATATGAACTTTAAACTACTGTTGGCATTCTCATACTGAAAAAATTTACCAAGCGCTTGTGTTTTTAACTCCCATGGCATGCACAGATTTCCTTGGCCAGAGGTAGGAGAAATAGTATTGAAAACACTGTAATATTGAAGGGAAGAATACAATGGTGAGGAGCTCTATAATGGGGAAGACCCTCACTGACCAGAGACAACCAGTAAGAAAGACTTAGGAGTTTCCAAAGTAGTTTGTAATACTTGGGGGAAAAAAAAATCACGCATTAGAAATCATGTAAGAGTGTGCAATGCAAAGACAAAAAGAAGAAATAGTGTTGAGCATTGTTTTATTTCTATGACATTGTTTCATTTCTATGACATTGCAAGAACAGCTCTTAGAAAATTTAATTATTTTTTAACTTTTTATTAAAAATTTCAAAATAAACAGATTAATATCATGAACTCCCATCATTTATCTTCCACTAATATTTTTACATTCTTGTTCCATCTATACCTTTATCCACTCACTCCATATATACCCCAAATTATTATTATTATTGAGACAGAGTCTCGCTCTGTCACCCAGGCTGGAGTGCAGTGGCGCGATCTTGGCTCGCTACAAGCTCCGCTTCCTGGGTTCACGCCATTCTCCTGCCTCAGCCTTCTGAGTAGCTGGGACTACAGGTGCCCGCCACCATGCCTGGCTAATTTTTTGTATTTTTAGTAGAGATGGGGTTTCACCGTGTTAGCCAGGATGGTCTTGGTCTCCTGACCTCGTGATCTGCCCGCCTTGCCTCCCAAAGTGCTGGGATTACAGGTGTGAGCCACCCCGCCCGGCCCCAAATTATTTTGTACAGTTTTCTATTTATAGTTTATTTTTTTTATAGTTTTTTTAAGTAAGATGTATATACATTGAAATGTATAGCTAAGATCTGTACAAGTTTGACAAATACATTTTTATCATGGTATAAAACATTTCCATCTCCCCAGAAAGTCCCCTTGTGTCCTTTCCTAGGCAATTTCCCCACCCAGAGGTAACCACTGTTCTGATTTTTTCCATCTTAGTCTACCTGCTTTCGAATGACGTAAAAATGGAATCACACAGTTTGTGCCTTTTTGTATTCAATTTCTGTGGCTCAACACATCTGTGAGATTCATACATGTTGTTGCATTAGCAGTAATTCATTCCTTTTTATTGCTAGGTAGTATTCCATTGTATGAATATACCACCATTTGTGTATCCATTCTCCTTCTGAAAGCCATTTGGGTTGTTTCCAGTTTGGGGCTAACTGTGAACAAAGATGCTATGACTATCGTGAGCCCATGTTTTTTTGTTTCTCACTGATAAACACCTAGGAGTGGAACTGCTGACTCAAAAGGTAGATATATTGACTTCCTAACTGCTGAGGCTTTTCCCATTGTTTGTCCGTTTATTATTGAACTGTAGTAGTTTTTAATTCACAGTTAATACTTTTAATTTGTTTTAAATAGAGAACAGTTTAGAATCTTAGCATAAAAAGGCTCCCACTTGCCTCTGGGGCTGCCACTGTTTAGCTAATTCTATACCAGATTTGGCTGGTGGTAAAGGATAACATAACACCACATATATGGAGAAGAATGCTGAGAGTTCGGGCAGTAACTAAAGAATTCATGTTAGACTGATTTTACTTAAAAAAGGAATAAATGTGAAGCCAAAGAAAACACTGATAGAATCCTTTCTAAACAATAACCAGAAAAGATAAGAAAAAGGTAAAACAAAAATAAGCATTTTATGTAAGTTAAAGAAGTAAACCTTGGATATTTTCCAGATCCTGTATTACTAAATAATATTAAATCAAAATTATTTTTAATCTCACCTGTTTCATTGCTGTTTCACCTATTTTGTCAGAATGTTTTCGAATACTTTCCAAAAAGTCTTTGAGATCAGACATGGAGATTTCTTTAATATCCTCACGGAGTTTGGGAAGATTTTCTATCATGAGCTGACAAAACCGGTATTGACTAACCCAGGGAAAGTACACATTCTCTAATTGTTCCATAGTTTTTAGGGCAGAATAGTACCTGTGAGAAGTTAAAAAAGAAAACTCTATAAAAAGTTCTTATCACAATATTTTTACAAGTAAATCTAAATAATCAGTTTTACACTGATTATTCATCAAAAAGGACCTAGTCCTAGTTAAAATAAGTAAAATTAATATTTACATCTATTTGTCAAGGACAAACTATAAACCACATAAACAAGCCACAGGCTCAAAGTTGATGGCATACATTAATGTAAAACTTCTTTTTTCACTTCATCTGAATCTATAACATCAAAAGCATTATGATAGCATCTTAATACCTTAAATGAATATGTATCATTGTTTCAAACTTGTGAATTATAACATCTAGTGATTTGTTATATGATTTTGTATTCTGTCTCCTATCATAATATCCATCCACACAGTATCACCACACAAAAATTACATAACATGAATATAATTCTAATTAAAATAAAATTTATTTAACTTTTTAAAAAATGTCATACTAATATTTAAGGCAATTAGAAATACTGTTAAGTATCACACACACACACACAAAAAACAGGTAAAAATCCACACTGGTAGAGTGCTTTTTCAATTCAACAAATATTTACTGAATGTAATATTTCCTCTTTTGGGCTTTGGGGGCTACTGTTTCACAGTGTGACATGCTGGGTATGCAGCAATTAGTAAAGTGTAGCCTTTGCCCTAGATAAATTGACATATATTTTCATATACATAATTTAGTTCTCTTTAGACTTCTATGAGGTACACTTCTATGGCAGATATTACAAGTAGCATTCTATAGATGAGAACACTAAAATACAGAAAAAGAGTATATAATTTAGCCAAGAAACCATATTAATTCGTAGCTGGACTGAGACCTTACCAAACTATCAGTTTCCTACAATAATACTCAGCACCAAAAATCTATTTGAGAGTTAGGTAGAGGAACTTTAAAAATTAATTACATAGTATTCCATATCTTTCTATTGAATTGGATGACATTAAAAGCAGGAAAAGGCATTAACTAATGTACAAAAAAGGCAAAACAAAGTAAGTTGATAGAAACTATGAGACATAAGTGAAAACAAAAGCAAGTTGAAAAGACCCACCAGGTGTGGTGGCTCACACCTGTAATCCCAGCACTTTGGGAGGCTAAGGTGGGCGGGTCACCTGAGATCAAGAATTCGAGACCAGCCTGGCCAATGTGGTGAAACTCTGTCCCTACTAAAAATATAAAAATTAGTCGGGCGTGGTAGTGCACACCTGTAATCCCAGCTACTCAGGAGGCTGAGGCACAAGGATCATTTGAATCTGGGAGGTGGCAGTTGCAGTGAGATCGTGCAACTGCATTCCAGCGTGGGTGACAGAGTAAGAAACTTTCTCAAAAAAAAAAAAAAAAAAAAGACATTATATTCAAAAGCTGTTTTAAAATACCAATTAGTTTTCTGGCATATACTCTCAAAGATAAGAGTATATTCTGCAAATTGTGACAAAATATTACAACTAACTTAAAAATTAGACCATCTAAATTTTATCTTGGTAAACATCAGAATGCTTATAATGTAAACAAAATGTACATTTGGTCAGAAACTAAAATATTTAGGTGGTGGTATGGGTAGGAGAGATGTCATTACAATAATTTTGATAATACCTGAGATATTAAAGGCTTGATGAAGTGAAATAATGAATTATGTATTTTCAGTGTAATGCATAACATTTTAAATGCAACAGATCAATTAACAGTCAAACCACACTATCTGATCCTTGACTAATTTCCTGATTTGATATGAACTAGGTATATTTCAAAAGTATTCTCTCTACAACAGGTATGGTTTCTGAAAATTCATGCTAATGTCTACAATGTATTTGAAATCCTAAGTGATGCAGAATAAATGAAAAGTATTACCAGTAGCTTTTGCAACATACCACAGACACAGTCAACTTACTTCATAGCACAACTGTGCCTCCCTTCATGCCGCTCATCTCTCACCTCCCATCTTGGCGCTCCCATGAGACATCATCAGAGGCAAGAGAGGTCATAAGACTTACCTAGCGCCCATATACGCACAACCCAGAAATGTAGAGAGTTAAGGTCAGGGGGTTGAACTCTTAACCAATAAGAAGAGCAAGTCAGAGATAAGTTCTCCTTTCCTCTTCCTGGAGGGAAGGTTATGATTTGCAATAACATATACAACCTCCCTAAAGGTATTTAAATAACTCAATAACTCACCCTCATATTTGCTCTCTCAACTTTCCTGTCTCATTTCCCTTTCCCTAAAACTAGGATTCAGAGAACTTCCCTAGGATTATACTCCCTAAAAAAGTAGTAAAATACATGATTTTTACCTCAGACTCTGCTTTCTGGGAAAATTCAGGTGAAGATATATAGAAAGTTTATCATTTTAGGCAGAGAGCAGAAGTCAGAGACCAGACCCTGGATCCTTTCTAAAATTTAGCCACAAATCTCCTATGTTTTATCTGTTTCTAAATGCAAGCAAAAACAGCACCACAATAGATTACCATTTCTCCTTTAGATACACATAATGTTGTTTTTACAAAATTGTAACAGTAATCCATAACCACTAGAAAAATACAAAACCTATAAGGGGAATATAAAAAGCACCTATGATCTGATGCTATCATGTTGTAATTAACTCATCAGCATTTGGCCACATTTCCATCCAGTCATATATCTACACTTCCACTTCTGTAAGCTCATACTCTATTCAACAATATATAATGGAATTTACCTTATAAATTATTTTAAAACAAATTATTATCCTATATGTAAAGTCTTTTATTATAAGGTAATGATGTCCTTATAGTTGGAATGTTAAGTCTCTGATTTTTAAAAATAAACAAAGTAGAGCAAATTTCCCTATATGTTAAACCTCTGACAAGGTGTCTGTTTTTATAAATACAAGATACTTCTAAAAATGTACATGTCATCACTAAATGGAGAACATGTGAGTACTCTAATGATTCTCTGGCCTACAAAGTACAAATTATGCCACTGTTCTTACTTCATTTGCCTTCCCTTGGGTATTTCCATTTCACCAGAGTTTGTCCTACCATAGAATTGGTTACTTCAGTCTCTTCTATTCTTTTTAAATATAACGTCCTGCATACAAAAAAATTTACAAGATACATGAAAAAGTACGAAATTTTTATTAAATTCTAAGTGGAAAAAATAAGACACAACTATGTGATGTCTGAATCACTTCCAATGTACAGACATAAAGAGATAAAAAATAAAGGGATAGAGAAAGATATACCATATTGACACTAATCGAAAGAAAGGTAGATCAGCTATATTAATTTCAGATTAAACAGATTTCAGAGCAAGGAAAATTATTAGGGATAACGAACATTACATAATGATAAAATGGTCAATTCTCCAAGAAGACACAGCAATCCTTACTGTGCATGTAACTAACAACAGAGCATCAAAATATGTGAAGCAAAAACTAACAGAACTGTAAAGGAAAATAAATAAATACACTATTACAAGTGCAGACCTCAGCAAGCCTCTAACAATAATTGACAGGTTCAGCAGGCAGAAATTCAATAAGGACATAGCTGAACTGAACAGTACCATCAATCAACTGGATCTAATTGGCATTGACAGAATACTTCATCCAACAACTACAAAATACATATTTTTCTCAAGCTCACATGGAACATCAAGACAGATCACATTCTGGGCCACAAAACATGCCTTAACGAATTTAAAGGAACAGAAATTATACAAAGCTAATACCATACTTAATGGTGAGAAACAAGATGCTTTTCCCCCATGAGATTAAGAACAAGGCAAAGAAGCTCCCTCTCACCATTCCTAGTCAACATCATACTACATGGAAGCAGTAGCTAATGAAATAAAACAAGAAAAAAAGGTATTAAGACTGGGAAAAAAGAAACAGAAGTCTTTGCAGGTAACATGAAATGTATCTATATAAAAACCTTCAACAAAAAATTTTCTGGAACTAATACCAACTCTGATAGAAATAATTAAAGAAAATCTATATAAATGGAAAGATATTCCATATTAATGAATACGAAGACTCAATATCATCAACTGATGATATCAGTTCTCCCCAACTTGATCTACAGATTCAATGCAATCCCAATCAAAACCCCAGCAACTTATTTTGTGAATATCAACAATGTGATTCTGAAGTTCATATAGACAGGCAAAAGACCCAGAATAGCCACACAATATTGAAGAACAAAGTTGAAGGATAGACTGACACTACCCAACTTCAAGACTTAATACTGTATAAAGTTATAATATTAAAGACTGTATGGTAAAGGTGAAAAGATTAACAAGTAGGTTAAAATGAAACAGAAAGCACAGAAATACACAAATACAGTTAACTGAGGAAATTCAATGGAAAAAGAGTCGTTCTTTAAATAAATGCTGCTGGAACAACTGGACATTCACATGCAAAAAAGTGAATAAATAAATGTAAACAGTGACCTTCACTTTTTATAAAAATTAATTCAAAATAGATCATAGACCTAAATGTAAAACACAAAACTCTAAGACTCTAGAAGATAACACAAGGGAAAATTTAGATGACCTTGGGTTTGGCAATTAGTTTTTAGAAACACCAAAGCACAATGCATGAGGGAAAGAAAAAAAGGTAAACTGGACTTTTCCAATTTAATTTCATTAAAACTAAAACTTCCTACTCTTTAAAAACACTGTTAAGAAAATGAAAAAACAAGCCACAGACTGGGAGAAAATATGTTCGAAACACAAATTGAATCAAGGACTTGAATCCAAAATATAAAAAGCACACTTAAAACTCAACAATCCAAAAATAAGCCACCAAATTAAAAAGTGATCAAAAGACTTGGACACCTCGCTAAAGAAGACATACATGTGAGAAGATGCTCAACATCATGTGTCATTAGTGAATTACAAATTAAAATAACAATGAGATATCATTACACACCTATTAGAATAGGCAAAATCCGAAAAAATGACAACACTAAATCCTGTGGAGGATGTGGAGCAACAGTAACTCTCATTCATTCTGGAGGGAGTGCAAAATAGTACAGCCACTTCTGAAGACAGTTTGGCAGATTCTTACAAAACTAAACATAGTCTTACCATATGATCCAGCAATCACATCCCCAGGTATTTACCCACATTAATTGAAAATTTACATGCATAAAACCTGCACACAAATGTTTATGGCAGCTTTATTCACAATTGCCAAAACTTGGAAGCAACAAGATGTCCTTCAAAGGTGAATGGATAAACTATGGTTCATCCATACAGTGTAGTATTATTCAGTGATAAAAAAGAAATAAGTTATCAAGTCACAAAAGGACACAGAGGAACCTTAAATGCATATTGCCAAGCGAAATAAGCCAGTCTGAACATATTATATATATACTGTATTATTTCAACTATCTGACATTCTGGAAAAGATAAAACTATAGAAACAGTACAAAGTTCAGTAATTGGTACGGGTTCACAGCAGGGAAGGATGGGGAAAGATAGGGAGCACAGGAAAGTTTTCAGGCAGTGAAACTATTCTGTATGATACTGTAATGGATACATGATATATGTTTGCCAAAATCCACAGAACTGTACAACACAGAGTGAACTCTACTGTAAAACTATGGACTCTGGTAAATACTTATGTGTCAATATTGGTTCATCAGTTAAAGTAAATGTACCATATTAATGCAAGACATTAATAACAGAAAAACTGCTTAGAAAGAAGAGGAAAAGTATATGGGAACTCTGTACTTTGTGTTTAATATTTCTGTAAACCTAAAACTGCTCTAAAAAATAAAATCTATTAAATAAAAAAAAAGCAAAAGATGTGAACAGACACTTCACAAAAGAAAACATACAAACAGCCAAATACCAAACAAAAAGGCACTTATGACACTTAGAGATCTCTAGATAAGCCAATTCCAAAGGTTTTCTTGCCACTGAAATTCAACATTCCCAAACCTTTATCATCTAGATGCCCTGGATTGTGTCTAATCTAAATCCTTTCTTTCTACAGTCTAAACCCATGATTTTTCTACCTCTGATTTCACTGATGGTAAAAAAAAAAAAAATTTGTTTATTCTGATCTATAAACAATCAGTCATCAGGAAAATGCAAATTGAAACAATGAGATACTATTTTATACTTACCAAAATGGCTCAACTAGAACAAACTAATTAAACACCATACGTTTGCAAGGATGTGGAGCAAATGAAATTCTTATATTAATACATTGCTAATGGAAGCGTAAATGGTACTACTAAAATAATTATTTTTTAAATTATATTTTTAAAGTCTATTTTTCAAATCATATTTTAAATAGAAAAGTATTTAACGGTTTCTTAAAAAGTGTAGCATTCATTTATGTTATCACTGAGCAATTCTACTCCTATATATTTACTAAATGGAAATATAAACATATCCCTATAAAAAAGACTTGTACCTTAATTTCATGGCAGTCTTATTCATAATACCTGCAAACCTGAAACCACCCAAATAGCAACTAATGGATAGATAAACAAATTCTAGCAATAAAAAGAAATTATGCAACCACAGACGAATTTTAAAAACATTATCGGGAGTGAAGAAGATTCCATTTATATCAATTCTAAAAACACACAAAACTAACCTATGATGTTAAAAATCAGAAAGTGGTTATTTCTAGAGAAGGGAGGAGAAATTGGAAGGAGGTATGAGCAAACTGTGGGGGTAATGGAAGTATTCTTCATCTTGTTTTGGTGGCAGTGACTGTGAGGAAGTATAAGAAAGCTTCTGGGTAGCAATAACATTCAACATCTTAAACTTGGTGGCTACACAGGTGTGTTTATTTTAGTATAACATAAACAAAAATGTACAAGTCATAAGTCTACAACTCCAAGAATCTCTAAAAAGCAAACACAAGAGGCTACCTGAAAAAAAAATTTGGAGATCAAAAAAGAGCTCCTAGAAATTAAAAATTAGCAGAAATTTTTAAAAATCAGCACCACCTTTGGAAGGTAAAGATGAAATAATCTCATAGAAAAAAGAGCAAGCAGACAAAGAGATTTTAAAATGTCAAAGAAGAGATAAGAAAATTAGAGAACCAATCTAGAAGACTGAACTATTAATATCCTAGAGAAATAAGAAAACAGAAAGAAAAAAATAATTCAAAAAAACTTCCTAATGCTTAAGGATATTATGAGATTAAAGGATAATTTCCAGATTAAAAGAAGGCTCACTAAGTACCCACCACAAAAAGTACCCACCACATCAAAGGACATCATCAGGAAATGATAGACCACAGAGGACAAAGAGAATGTTCTAAAAGAGAGAAAAGGTAGGTCACAAACTAACAACTTCAAACTGTGTGTGTGTGTGTGTGTGTATGTGTGTGTGTGTAATAAGTCCACCTAGCACATACATCTTAGTTCCTTGTTTTTGTTTTTGTTTTTCTTTGAGACAGGGTTTTGCTGTCACCCAGGCTGGGGTGCAGTGGCTCAATCTCAGCTCACTGCAACTGCCTCCCTGTCTCAAGAGATCCTCCTGCCTCAGCACCCACCCCCCACCAACCCCCCAGTAGCTAGGACTACAGGCACGCGCCACCACGCTCAGCTATTTTTTTTTTTTTTTCAGTAGAGATGGGGTTTTACCATACGGGCCAGGCTGGTCTCAAACTCTTGAGCTTAAGCGATCCACCTGCCTTAGCCTCCCAAAGTGCTGAGATTACAGGTGTGAGCCACTGCTCCCAACCCATACATCTTAGTTTCTAAATACCATTAATACTAAAAGGAGCTAGGGTACCCTGGAGAATGGCTGCTTCCAGATCTGAGGCAAAAAAAAAAAAAAAAGGCACAATGAGAGCTTGGAACATCTTACGATACAATAAACACAAAAATACTCAAAGACAAAGACACAGGAATTGGCTTGAGAAGTTTCTCTTGTTAAATTTGAAACAATTTGTGCATCAAAATGAATAATGACAATAATAAATTATAATATATTTATTTTAAAAATGCGTAAGTTCACAGCCATAATCGGAAAAAAAGAAAAAAGGTGGTGGTGGGGAATAAAAAGCTCTTCTTTATATATAAAACAGCCAGTTAATAAATGTTTAAGAAATAATAGAATTTTTTAAATCAACATCTTGTAAATCCAATATAATAACGGATTAAGGCAAGAATGATAAAACTACTGGGTGAAAACCTGTTAGGAAACAGGACCCACATATTACTTATTAATTGCAAAGAGAAAAATATACCTTTTCAAAAGACATCTGGTAGACTTCCCCTTAACCAAATGATCAAATTTAGCATAACCTAAGGACAACATGACTTTATAAGCCTCCTGATGTCATGCAATGTGAGGTATCACTTATGCTATACTCTTGCCAAAACCTTTTAACTTGAATCTAAACATGAAGAAACAACTAGATAAATCCAAAATGCCCTGGTCTACAAGAGAACTGACCTGCACTCTTCCATGAAAAAAACAAAGAACAGGAGGACTGTTCTAGATTAAAAGGGACAAAAGAACACATACAAATCAATGTTTTCAGGGAGGGAAAAAGACGTAAGACATTTTGGGGATAGTTGAGAAAATGTGAGTATAAATATTAGATTATATTACTGAAAAACCGATAATGCCCCAAACTGGAAAATAATATGGTAATAATTAAAAGTTAGTTATTTAAAGACATAAATATAAATACCAAAATAATCCATTAAAAGAGGTAAAAGTTTTTGCTCCTATAAAGAAGGAATGGTGAATGGGAAATAGGAAAGGTGATATCTGTTTTTTTTTTTTTTGGCAGCAAACGCGTAGGAAAATTATTTGAATCTTTAAAATGTGAGGATATATAACATTGATTTAAAAAGAGAATATATTATTAATACATACGTGAAAGAAAATAAGACTTTCAGAATAGTTTTTGGCTTGTTTATTACAGGGAAAAAATCATTCTACTAAATTGTATTAACTGGTAAAGCCTAATGAAATTCAACATGTAGCACAATGAAGCAGGACATACACACATCTTTTACTATAGGTCTGTATAAGATGTGTTCTGATAATTAAGTAGTTACTAACCAAGAAGAAATCATTTTTTCCCTAGTCCAAATTGTCTAATTTATTCTGGTTTTTCTATGTTACTTTTGAATCATTTGTTTTTTTTCTTTTGTTTTTTGGGGGGAAGGGGGTGGGGAGGTGAAATGAGGTCTCCCTATATTGCCCACGCTGGTCTCAAACTCCTGGGTTCAAGTGATCCCCTTGCCTCAGACTCCCAAAGTGCCGGGATTACAAGCATGAGCCATGACACCTGGCCAAAACTGTTCGTCTTTAAAATATTTTAAACATCACTATATCCAATGCTCCTATGGCAATCAATAAACTACTTTAAATTACTTTCTTTTTCAACTGTCATATATGCATTTGAGTTATAAAACAGAATGTGAACTACTACATTCACCCAGACTGTCAAAATATAACTGCCTACACTCTTTTCCTTCCACAATATGCACTTAGCCCTTAGTTACATGCAATATTAGTATGTTGGTAAGCTAATCAATATTTTCATTCCTGTTCGGCTATTTGTACTTGATCAACATTACCAATCCTTGATATCATTTATAAAGGACAATGATTTATTAATAAAAGGCTAAGATTTGCTTTAGTGGATTATCCTGATGCGCAAATTTTAAGTACAAAGGTTAGTGTAATGAAGAAAGCAAAACTCATGATTCACTATGATTTATAGTAAATGTATCTGTCCTTTCAATAATAGAAAAAAATTCTTATTTAAAACAATAGGAAAAAAACCAACTCACCTTTTGGCACTCATCTGTTCTTTCAGCTTACTGTACATTTCTAGCACTGCATTAAAAAATATAACATTTTAGCTTTCAAAATGAAAAGAAAATATTTTGAGACATGAAAATAATCAAAGCAGGAAAGAGTATATTACAAATTCATTAGACTTCTACAACTTGAGTTAGGCTAATATTTTCAAATAAAATGTTAAATACTTCAAGTATATGAAAACATGTTTATTTCCTTATATACTGAACATTTTATTATATACACACACACACATATATACATATAAATGTATTATACTGAACCTGGAACACTTGTATATGCTAACCACGTATAACTGAGACATTAGCCTACTAACAATTATCCTATCCAGAAACTACTAATATTTCTTCCCTGAAATAGAACTGGAACTTTAGACTTTAGTTATTTGAGAGAGAAAGTTGAGTGTGAGATTCACTGATTTTTGACTCAACATACCAAATAAAATAACACACTTGTGTTAAACTCACTATAAACAAAAGTTTATACCAAATCCACAAAGAAAGAAAAACGTCAAAAGCTTACAGCAGGAGTGAATTATAATACAGCCAGAAATAAACATAACAAAGCATCTTTATTCATTTCATCCTTTCTATCAAATGCAATTGTTTGATAGAAAGGAATGCAATTATTCAATAAATTATTCTTTGCCAAGATAATATAGTGTCACTAAAAAGGTTTTAAACCTTTTTACCCTTTAAACTTAGAATTTCAAAGTACAGAATGAGTACACACTTTGCTTTCCCTCTACAATATGGACAGACAACATTTTTTTCCAGATTTTTCTACAGTCATATGACTCCTCCTAGGGGTCTCCAAGTTTACAAAAAACATCGTTTATGTGTCTGAAAACCATAAAAACTGCAGTGGTAGCTGTAGTGAATCAACCCTGACTCTGTCGCTTCACAGGACCCTATGTATATCTCTCTATCATAGCCTCTATATTGTAATGTAATTTTTTTCACATTTTCCAACCAAAGCATTAGAGGGAACACATAAACTGGGAGAGAGCCTGCTGCAATAAGTATAAACTTTCTTTGAAGTCTCCAAGCTTAACAATTCATGTAAATTTCATATCTACCTCATGCTATTTCCATATAAAAATAATGCTTTCCTCAAAAACAGTAAAAACTAATACACCAGGAAAATAAATGCATTGTTTATGCCGTGATTTTTTTTTTTTTTTTGAGACAAGGTCTCACTCTGTCACCCAGGTTACAGGGCAGTGGCACGATCATGGCCTACTGCAGCCTCAACCTCTTGGGCTCAAGTAATTCTCTCACCTCAGCCTCCCCAGTAGTTAGAACCACAGGTACGCCACCACAGCTGGCTAATTTTTTTTTTTTTAATTTTAATTTTCTGTAGAGACAGGGACTCCCTATGTTGCCCAGGCTGTTCTCAAACTCCTGGCCTCAAATGATCCTCCCACCTCAGCCTCCTAAAGTGCTGGGATTACAGTCATGAGTCACCATGCCCAAGCTATGACTTCTCACATCCTTTCATACTCCTCCTAATCCACGGAGGAGTTAGGCAACTGCACTGCAACTGATGACTTACGTGTCTTTATTCCCATAAGATCTGTGAACTCCAAGTATCTGAGACAGGTCTCAGTCAATGTAGAAAGTTATTTTGCCAAGATTAAGGGCATGCCCATGACACAGTCTCAGAAGTCCTGAAAACATGTGCCCAAGTCGTCAGGCGTACAGTTTGCTTTTATACATTTTAGAGAGACATGAGACATCAATCAATACGTGTAAGATGTATATTGGTTCAGTCTGGTAAGGCAGGACAACTCAGAAGTGGGGGCTCCCAGATTAGAAGAAGGTAAGAGACAAAAGGTTGCATTCTTTTGAGTCCTTGATCAGCCTTCCACTGAATATACAATTTAGTCTGGCCCAGTGAATCTGCATTTTTATACAAATAAAAGGGCAGAGGAAGCAATCAGATATGGATTTGTCTCAGGTGAGCCTCAGAGGGATGACTTTGTGTTCTGTCTGTCCTTTGTCCATAAGGAATTTCCAGTGGGCAAATTGTGAGGGAGTATGTAGCTTCTTATCTTTGTACCTATCTTATTCAGGAGGAAAATAGGAGGCAGGTTTGCCTGACACAGTTCCCAGCTTGACTTTTTTCTTGGCTTAGTGATTTTGGGGTCCCAAGATTTATTTTCCTTTCACAGATTGTAGGATCCTTCAAAAGCTGAGATTGTGTCATTTCCAACTTTATAGTTCCAATACCTACCATGATGCCTCACACACACATTTATAAGTGGATAGTAGGACAGAAAGATGAATAGAGGAAAGCAGGTAGTTCTGGAGGTGGCCATTAGGAACACAATACTTATATGAACTAAGAGTTGCGGCCTAGCCTTAAAAACGAAGACAGTAGCAGTAACAAACGGCTGACCTCTACTTCCCTTTATTTCTCTATTTTACATAGCCCAGTAGGGGAATAAGCTGAATTTGGCTCTTGCTCATTCCATCAGTACCCAATTTTTAAGGTTTATTATCAGACAGGGACAAAACATTCAAACTTAGAGGACATCTTCATGGCTATTACAATGCACCTGACGGTGGCAAAGAGGTATTATTAAACATGACTATAAGGAAATAGGTTTCTCAACCCTGAAACTTAACATAATAAGCCAACATTTTATTTACTCAAAGTTTTTACGTAAATATACCTGGTCCATCAGAGATTAAGCTGAGTAGAATTTCATTGATTCTAAAAAAAAAGAAAAGCTATTCTCACAAGTCAAAAAACAGGCCAGGCGCAGTGGCTTACACCTGTAATCCCAGCACTTTAGGAAGCTGGGGTGGATGGATCACTTGAGGCCAGGAGCTTGAGACCAGCCTGCCCAACATGGTGAAACCCCACCTCTACCAAAAATACTGAAATTAGCCGGGCATGGTGGCGCATGCTTGTAATCCCAGCTACTTGGGAGGCTGAGGTTGCAGTGAACCAAGATTCAGCCACTGCACTCCAGCCTGGCCAACAGAGTGAGACTCTGTCTCAAATAATAATAATAATAATACTACAATTTTTTTAGCCAATAAAATCTGCTAACAGTTTTAACAATATAATTTGTAGTCTAAGCTAAATTTACATCATAAAAATAGCATATAGCGGGTGCAGTGGCTCACACCTGTAATCCTAGCACTTTGGGAGGCCGAGGCAGGCAGATCATTTGAGGCCAGAAGTTTGAAACCAGCCTGGCCAAAATAGTGAAACCCCACCTCTACTGTAAATACAAAAATTAGGCAGGCATGGTGGTGGCACCTATAATCCCAGCTACTCAGGAGGCTGAGGCAGGAGAATGACTTGAGCCCAGAAGGTGGAGGTTGTAATGAGCAGAGATCATACCACTGCACTCCAGCCTGGGAGATAGAGTGAGACTCCGCCAAAAAAAAAAAAAAAAAAAAAAAAAAAAAAAAAAAATATATATATATATATATATATATATATATATATACACATACATACACACACACACACACACATATATATACACATATATATACACACATATATATATACACATATATATACACATATATATACACATATATATACACATATATATACACACATATATATACACATATATACACATATATATATAATATAAAACATCTCATCATCTCATTCTATTCTGCTGAATATGGAGGTTTAGGCTCCTTCCTAAAAAAAAAATAATAAGTTTAAAAATGGGACAAAAGATGGATTCAGCTTACTATATTTAAAAAAAAAAAAAAAAAAAGGCCGGGTGTGGTGGCTCATGCCTGTAATCCCAACACTACACTAAGACAAGGGGATTGCTTGAACCTAGGAGTTCAAGGCTGCAGTGAGCTATGATCATGCCACTGCACTCTAGCTTGGGCAACAGAGTGAGACTTTATCCCTAAAAAAATTAAAAATTAAAATAAATAAAAAGAAAAAAAGTCATATACCTGCTTCCTTTTGTTTGAACAGAATGCATCCAACTTAAAGTATATTAAATCCAGGTAAAGAAAATACTAGTTAATTTCCTCGGAATTTATCTGATGCCCAAGTAATATTTAGCCCTAACAAAGAGACCAGAAACAGCGTTTCCAAAATACAGGAGGAAAGGCAAGAATG
Organism: Homo sapiens; assembly: GCF_000001405.40. Classification (NCBI taxonomy): domain Eukaryota; kingdom Metazoa; phylum Chordata; class Mammalia; order Primates; family Hominidae; genus Homo; species Homo sapiens. The sequence goes on along the minus strand of NC_000010.11, from coordinate 92,895,500 downwards.
GTGAAGATCCAGCTCTTTTGATGTTTTTCTTACCTTATCAGCACAATGAGATTGTGAGCAAAGCAAAAACAACCTGCTAAGTGACAAACAAAAAACAATGGAAAACTAGAGGTAAAAAATCAGGCAAATTAGGTAAAGGTGAGAAAATGTAACCAAAAGACTCTCCCCATGGGAAAGTATTCCGAGGAAAAACAAAAAAGGGTTATGGGGGACAAAAGGCAAAAGAGGCCAAAAGGAAATGGAAATGTAGAAGTTGCTGTTCTAGGAAACTGATGTGACATATAATCAAACAAGAGCTTTCTAACATGACAAAAGCATGAATATTCAGGGAATAAAATGAACCTGAAAGATAAGCATGGTCTTTGTTGTGAGGCAATCACCAAATAATCTGTAATTCCCATACCAAAGAATCACTACTTGCTATTATTAAATTACAACTTTACCAAGCCAAACGTTTTATTATAGACAAGTTTAACTCACCAGGAAGGCATAACTGCAATTTTTCTACTACAGTTGTAATATTTCTCTGCTGAATTCTACATCGAATGATATCTTCTGTGTGGACTATCACCTTAGAAAAGAAGGAATGTTCATATTTTTAAACAAACAGTTAAAGAACAACTACATACTGAATACCCAGAAAAGTATCATTTTCTCACCTCTTTTCCAGCATCTTGAAACCTTCGGTTGGTATCAGTAACTTGCACCTTAAAAATTTAATTTCACCTTAGTTAGACAAATATGCATAAAACTGCCCTGATGTAACTGCTCACCCTTGTAATCAGATCATGCTTCATGAGAAACTTAGAACAAAGAAATGCAAATTCAAATTAACTCTACAGCTTGAACTTGAACTTTTGATTGAAAAGGGCTTTTGTTAACTTCAATTACTTATGACAGTTCTTTTTAACAGATTCTGTGGCAAACTTCTCAAATTTACTCAGGATTTTTGAACTTTACTTGCTTCTCTAAGTCTGTCAAACAATTCAAATCACTGACCCAATTGACCACTGGTCCCCTTTTGATAACTTCAATGAGGTCTATGTGCCATTCATTGTCTGTAGGAAATGGTGATTGCATTTTATGGTAATTAAACATTCATACTTTGCTGAATGCAAACACTGGGTGGTTGATTAACATCAAACACAGAAATTTCAATCCACAGCAACATTTTAATGCTGCAGGTGCAGGCAAAGCTCAACCTCAAATTTTCCCACATATTAAGTGACTCATTAGGTCATCATAGTAAGGAAGCACATTCTGGTTTATTAAAAATCTCATTAATTTCTGAACAAAGATGCTCAGTGACCTCATTGATGCTGTAGTTAGTCTCTTGTTATCTGAATATCCTTTATACAATGGTTTTCTAATCATAACCTTTGGTGAACCAGGGTCATTTTGTCTGCTAAGTGCTCTAAACGTAAAGAAAGATAAATAGGACAATTCTTATAATTAAATATTTTTTATCCTGACTGAACAAATCTAGGTCTCTTTTAATAAATAATGTTTTAGCTGTATGGCAGAAAGTGTAGACCAACTTTCTTTAAGAAAAATACACACTGCTGTTAAACTTTTCAAAAAGTTTTAACATTATTAAATAATGCTGAGAACATAACTATTTATCATAAGCTTTTAAAGGAATTTTAGAGGATAACATTTTATAAATATTGTACTAACTGTCATTTTAGAAATTCAAAAACTGCAAATAGGGCCTTTCATTGTATGCATGTTTTGAGTTCACTTCCCTGCATGGAAAGAAATCCTGTTAAGTCAGTGCATTACTTGCTTCAGAAAAAGAGAATACTCCTGTCATTAGCATGACAACTGTGTTAATAGAGCATAAAGAGCATTCCCTAATACATATACTAATTCACTTCTTGAAAGTAACATACTTAATAATGACTTGTACATATGTACTATCAACTAAGACTTGAGTAATTTAATGAGAACAAAGGCAAATAATTTTAACATATTTCTTACCTTCAGTTTTTCTGCATCAGTCCTTACTTTAAGGAGTTCTGTAATAGCATCTACAAAACCCTGATGATGAAAATTACACATCTTTTCAATTTCCTTGTCATGATTACGGATACAAGCATCTAACTTTTCCATAAACTTCTTGTGCGCATTTGGTTGGTCATCATACACAGACCTGAATGTATATAAGAAAGCTAAAATTAACCAAAATGTATTATTTAGTAAGCCTGATCTTTGCAAGAGGTGATATCTTAAAATTAAATCTCTGAACAAATAAACTGGTGATAATATTACCTTTAGCAGAAATAATTTGCGTGAAAGTATTTTATTTCTTCTTGAACATGATAATATTAAAAGAACCACACAAGCTCTAGATATAGCATGAGGTATCTGGAAATAAAGGTATGAGGCTCAGGAGATGTGGGCCTAATACAAGTCTTTAACATACTAACATTCAAAAACAAAGAATTACTGAGTGAATGAATGGTTAAAGAATGAATGAACAAACTCATGATTTTTACAGCATTTACTATGTAAAGTAAACGCTCATGTTCTAAATGCTTTATATATTAACTCTTTAATCCCCACAACAAGGCTACAAAGTAGGTATTGTTATTACCCTTGTTTTACAGAAGAGTTACAGATTACTGAACTGCCATAAATTCCACAACCAGCACAAGTGATAGCTGGGATATGACTCCTGATAGTCCGGCTCCAGGGTTCATATTCTCAGGTACAAGCCCATATTGCAGTCACCACAATGTTTCCTAAACATGGCATATTCATTCCTACTGTCTCTCAGCTCATGCTGTCTCCACAGAGAGCGTACCCCTCTATTCACCATGCAGTAAAGGACTACCCTTGCCACTGATTCCTGGGAGGAAAGCCTTTGGCATACCCTGCCTGGTAAGTGTCTTCTTTGTTTACCTGGAAGGCTTTGACTGCCAAATAGCAGATGCTAACAGTGTGACTCACGGTGAGGCCTGAGGCCACACAGTTTTAGCTGTGGAGGGGCAGGAGGTCAGCAATGTGGGCAGTCAGCCAAGTCTACATGGGTAGTCAGTCATGGCTATATGACCAAACTCCAATAAAATTCCTGGATATCAAAGCTTGGATGAGCTTCCCTGATTGACAATACTCCATGCGTGTTACCACACATCACTGCTGGGAGCAGTAAGTGCTGTCCACAATTCCACTGAGAAAGGACAACTGAAAGCTCACTCGTGGAACTCTCCTAGTCCCTGTCCTATGTGCCTTTTCTGCTGTTGATTTTAATCTGTGTAGTTTTTTGAAAGTTTTTGTTGTTGTTGTTTTTGCTGTAACAAACAGTAACTATGAGTGTAACAACTTTGCTGAATTTTGCAAGTCCCTCTAGCAAATTTTTGAACCTGAGAGTGGTCTTGGGAACTTTCCAAACCTCACCCCACATCCGTTGCCCATTGTTTGAGGTTCATTTCAAGTCCCATTTCTTCCAGCAGGCCTTTGCCAATCATTCCCATGCCAAGTAATCTTTTCATCTGCAGGACAGGTAAACTTACAACCCCTTACAGTTATTCTGACACGTAATCATATATTACTTTGTATTGTAATTTACATGTTTTGTATTTAAAATATATTTTGTTTCCCCAAATAGACCATAAACTTCTTGAGGGTAGCCTCTGTCTTAGGTTTTTAATGAATACACTCTCTAATACAAGAGGTAACAATATAGGATACCAATTATTAAGAATTTAGACTCTTGGCAGCCAGGTGCAGTGGCTCACACCTGTAATCCCAGCATTTTGGGAGCCGATGCGGACAGATCACTTGAGGTCAGGAGTTTGAGACTAGCCTGGCCAACATGGTGAAACACTGTCTCTACTAAAAATACAAAAATTAGCTGGGTGTCGTGGCAGGTGCCTGTAATCTCAGCTACTCAGGAGGCTGAGGCAGGAGAATCGCTTGAACCCGGGAGGCAGAGGTTGCAGTGAGCAAAGATCATACTACTGCACCCCAGCCTGGGTGACAGAGTGAAACTCCGTCTAAAAAAGAAAAAAAAGAATTTAGGTTCTTGGCATCTATGCCTACATTCTAATGTACGTCAAATATAAATTTTAATTTTTTTAATTTTTTAAAAAATGTAGGTTCTGTAAGAGCTGAGTTAGAACTAGGCTCTGATCTTGGACATATTCTCTTTTCTATCTCCATGTCATCTTGACTTGTAGCTTTAAATTCCATAAGCACACTGACACCTGCTAAATTTTTATCTCTGCCCTGACCTCTCCTCAAACTCATATATCTCTCCAATTAGATGTCTGATAAGCACCTCAAATATGTCCGAAAATGAATTCCTGATCTCCTTTCACAAAACCTGCCCTTCCCATAGTCTTCCTCATCTCAGTAAACCCCACTTTTCTAGTTGCTCAGGCAAAAAACCTTGGACTCACCCTTGACTATTCTCCTTCTCCAGCAAACTACCTCCCCATTGGTATCACCCTGGACTAAGCCAACAACATGTCTTGCGTAGATTTGTCAACTGCTTCCTAACTGGTCTCCCTGATTCCATCCTTGTTCCCTTTCAGTCTGTTCTCAATACAGCAGCCAGATGATAGCTAATGGGAATTGTCCCATTAAAACCTAAGGCAAAGCCCATGTCTCTCTTCTGCTCAAAACCCAGTTTATCTTACAACAGCCCATAAGACCCTACATAATTTTGCCTCTTGTTACCTCACTGACCTCACTTCCTGTTACTTACTCTCCATTTTACTTATTCCATGCCAGCAACACTGGCCTCCTCATGGCTTTCTTAATACACAGGCATATTCCCATCTATGCTATCTAGATAGACCAGACACAGAGATAGATAGGCAGACAGACAGATACACACACACACACACACTATCCCCTTCCCTGCTTTATTTTTTAATCTTCTAAAACAAAGGAGTTTATCACTATATCATTCCTTCCACTGTAGAATATACTCTCTGTTTCACACTTTTAAGTATTATCTGTCTTCCCCTACTGGAATGTAAGTTGCATGAGGACATAGTTTTTGACTGTTTTGTTCCCTATTGCATCCCCAGCCCTAGAATAGTGTCTATCATATAACAGAAGCTCAATAAATAATTCATTAATAAATGCATGAATTAATAGATGAATGGATGGAATTAGAAAAGGCACTTACTAGCAGTTCAACCTCAGGTAAGCCACCTGAATTCTCTAAGTATCAGTTTTCACAACCATAAAATCAGGATAATAATAGCACATACAGCAATGAACAAGTAGAATTTGAAGTTAAACACACAATACTATTTACATTAGCATCCTCCAAAATGAAATACTTAGATATAAATCTAAAAAATACACAAGATCTACAGGAGGAAAACTACAAAACTCTGATTTTAAAAAAATCAAGGAACTAAATAAATAAAGAACTATTCCATGTTTATGAAGAGGAAGACAATATCATTAAGGTATCAGTTCTTCCCAACTTCATCTATAGATTCAAGGCAATCCCAATCAAAATCCCAGCAAGTTATTTTGCAGACATCGATAAACTGATCCTTGGGTTTATATAGAAAGGCAGAAGACCCAAAATAGCCAACACAATATTGAAAAAGGACAAAATTCAGCCAGGCATGGTGGCACACGCCTGTAGTCCCAGCTACTCAGTAGGCTGAGATGGGAAAATTGCTTGAGCCCAGGAGTTTGAGACAGAAATGAGCCATGATTGTGCCACCGCACTCCAACCTGGGTGACAGAGCGCAACCCCCACTCTGAAAAAGAAAGAAAGAAAAAAAAAAAGAACAGAATTGGAATACTGACAACACGACCCAAGATTTACTATAAAGTTACAGTCATCAAGATTGCATGGTATTGGTAAAACAAACAGATCAATGGAACAGAATAGACAGACCAGAAATAAACCCACATAAACATAGTAACTGAATTTTGACAAAGGAGCAAAGGTAATACAATAGAGAAAAGACAGTCTTCAACAAATGGTGCTAAAACAACCGGACATACACATGCAAAGAAATGAATCTAGACTAGACCTTGAATGATAATGATGTGTCAATGTAGGTTCATCAGTTTTTAAAAATCTACTACTGTGGTGAGGGATATTGACGCTGGGGAGGCTTTGGATGAGTAGGATAGGGAATATATGGGAAATCTCTGTACTTCCTCCCAATCTTGCTAGAAACCTAAAACTACTCTAAAGAAAAAAAAGTCTTTAAAAAATAGTATCTACATTAGAGTGTTAGGAGGATTAAATTAGTAAACATGAAAAATTCTTAAACAATAACTGACACATGGTAAGTGCTTAACATACACTAATGACTAGTATAGTATACACATGAGACAACCAAATCCTCGTTAAACAAGTGAACCAGTGGCTGAACAACTGAGTACTAGATACAAATATCAAATAAATATGACCAAAACTCAATTATCACACCAAAGGATCTGACTACCACTAACACCTAACATTTTTATATGTCCTTTTGCATTTTTTACATTTAGTGTTTCATTTATTTCTTATACACATCAGAGAAACTATCACTGCCTCTTTTTCACAAATGAGTAAACAGTATAGAAATGATAAATGACTTGCTCAACATAGCCTAGCTGGTAAGTAACTGAGGCAGTACTAAAATTCCTACTTCGTACTTTTCCCACAATTAACATATATAACAAGAACTATTAACTAAATAACATTATTTCTAAGGAAAATTCTTGTGCAAGAAGTTTATCTTAACTGACCTTGGTGTGCTATAAACAAATTTTTATGTCATGATTATGAGAAAGTATTGTATTTAAGTAATATACATACACATTTCTATGTTTAACACATTTTATTAAAAGTTGGACATTTATCTGGCTCTTAAAATACCAAATAATAAACAAAATACACCAAAAGAATTTTTTATATTACAATTATCACATTGGAGCAAAAATCTAGCAAGAGATATTTCAGGACTACCCGAATACAGAGTCCCTTCAAGGGAGGATTTGACTGCTTTTGTGGATATAAAGGAGATACTGTTATCCCTTTTGAAGAAGAGTAATAACATAAATAAACAGGAAGAAGAGAACAATAGTTCTTTCCCAGAAGTCTATTTCAGTTTAGAAAGTTCTCAAAGTAAATCCTTTGGTATGTTTTTCCAATATATTCTTCAAAGTTTTAAAAACAAAACTCCTCCTGCTTTATAGTAATTCAGGATACTGCCAGTGCATCTACTATAGCATCACAGGTGAACTCCTCTTTTTCTGTTGTGCTATAATGGAGAAAAACAATATTTTTTTTTAGAATATATGCAATACCCACCCTCCATTAATAGAAAACCAAAGCCTGAGAGGGGTAAACTATTTACATTCCATGCCTTCTGCTATTAAAAAATAGAACCGTAAGTTCCAATGAAAGAAATAAAAATAATATTAAGGAATTAGTACTGTGAATGAGAAGAGTAGGTCTTGATCTATTACAAAGTCTCAGGCTGTCCCAACTCTCTCCTGACCCTAGATAACCATTTGCTATTCCAGACATGCACATAAGCTGTACTCACAGCTGATACCCCCACGTGTCACCCACAACCCATATCAATGAGCAGAGTACACAGAAATAAAGTCATCAAGGTGAATAAAAGTTCCAAACCACAGGAATAAATTGCATTTAAAGAATGTACTGAAGAATCAGGCAAGTGCCAGAATCAAAAATTCATCAAATGATAGAATGCTGGCCCTAGAAAAAGCCTAGAAAGTTCCTAGATCTATGTCATTTTAATAAATGCAGCACAAATCTAAAAGCCAGCAAGCAAGCGCTCAAAATGGAATTAATCGGCTGGGCACGGTGGCTCACTCCTGTAATCCCAGCACTTTGGGAGGCTGAGGCGGGCAGATCACCTGAAGTCAGGAGTTTGAGACCAGCCTGGCCAACAGGCCAGGTAGAAACCCTGTCTCTACCAAAAATACCAAAATTAGCTGGGTGTGGTGGCGGGCGCCTGTAATCCCAGCTACTTGGGAGGCTGAGGCAGGAGAGAACTGCTTGAACCCGGGAGGCAGAGGTTGCAGTGAGCCTAGATCACACCACTGCACTCCAGCCTGGGCGATAAGAACGAAACTCCGTCTCCAAAAAAAAAAAAAAAAAAAAAAATTAAATTAATCACTACAAGTAGTTGATTTAATCCTCTACTTACGTTGATAAAAAGTAATATTAAAAATAACTAGTCTAGAAATTTGCTAATAAGGCCAATAATAAATAGCTGACTGAATGGAGAGAGGCAAGAAAGGAGAAAAGGTGGACATGTATCAGAACACTGGAATGAGGAAAAAAACAAAAGCTACTCTTATCCCAAGAATCTCTTGACACAGTATGTATAGCAGAACTTATGGACCTTCTCTCTTGATAACCATGTAGGGTTAACCTTGAATCAGACAGCCTGACAATTTGGAAAGATAGTGGAAGGAGAAGAAAATGAAGAGAAGATGTGCTCTTCAGGTCAACAATTCCCCACAGTGACTTAACCGGCCAGAGAGGAGTCATGTCTGCTGCTTCTGGCTTAATGATGGTAATGATAAAAATAATAACAACCAACCAAGTACTTATTATGTATTAAGTGCTTTACATGCATTATCTCATTAAGTATAAAAACAGAACCATAAGTTCCAATAAAAAAATTAAAGAATTAGTACTGTGAATGAGAAGAGTAGGTCTTGATCTACCAATTACTAAGTCTCAGGCTGTCCCAACTCTCTTCTGACCCCAGATAACCATTTGCTATTCCAGACATACTTCTGGCTTAACTATGTTAATCATTACAGCTTTACAACATGGATTCTGTTAGCATCACAATTTACAAATGTAGTTTGGGAAGATTAAGACATTGAGTCTGAAGTCATATAGTAACAGAGTCAAGATTTAACCCCAGGTCTACCTGACTCCAAAGTCAGTGCTCTGAACTACTATATTACATAGACTCTCCAGTCAGAAATGGTGATAAGCAGCATAGAATGCAGAGGGAAGTTACCAGCATAGCAACCAACCAGATCACCTTTGAAGATCAACAATTGAGAATGACTCAATAGGGAATCCCTGATGTGCACTGTTGCACCCATCAGGTGAAATCAACCAATGGACAGAAAAGGGGGATGATAACTGAGGCATAGCTAATAGTTACGCAGTTTTAAATTACAAATGCAACAAAATAAGGAGGAGCAAAAAGAAGTAGAGAAAATCGAGGGCCCTGTACTTGACCTCAGTTGAAGAGACTCTGAAAAAGCTATTTTTCTTTTTTTCTTTAAATGATAATCATTATTCTTTGAAATTCTGATTTGTAGGAACAGAAAGGAAATGCTGTTAAGCAGTACTCACTCTTTGAGCCTAGTTGGTTTATAGTTATATCTACCTAATTCATATATGAATGTGCTAGATTTATTGCCATTCTAAATTTTGAATCAATAAACAATTTTAACAAAAATAATTTTTCGTTCTTTCAGTCTCCCAAAATTTTATAATTTCTATTGTTAAGTCTAATCAAGTTCCTGTAAACAAACACACACATATTTATATGCTAGAACCAGCAAGAGCGAACATTAGAAAATTAGTAAACTTTCCATTCTCCCACATCCAATAAGAGTATACCTTAGTGCTCTATATATAGATAATGACACATCAATGTAAGAGAGTTCAGGACAAAGGTAAAATAAATAAATAAATAAAATAAAATTTGTTTAAAAGTAAAAAAGAGGGGGGGGTTAGCTCAGTCATCCCTTCCAAAAGCTTAACACAATAAAATGTCTAATTCTGGCAAAATTTAATGCAACTCAGACAGAAGTACAGATGCAAAATCATTTTTAAAAGAAGAGATGGCTGGGCACAGTGGCTCACGCCTGTAATCCCAGCACTTTGGGAGGCTTAGGTGGGTGGATCACAAGGTCAGGAGTTCCAGACCAGCCTGGCCAATATGGTGAAACGCTGTCTCTACTAAAAATACAAAAATTAGCCAGGCGTGGTGATGCACACCTGTATCCCAGCTACTTGGGAGGCTGAGGCAGGAGAATCACTTGAACCCGGAAAGCAGAGGTTGCAGTGAGCCAAGATTGCGCCACTGCACTCCAGCCTGGGCAACAGGGAAAGACTCCCATCTCAAAAAAAAAAAAAAGAGCTGACTTTAACCTTCATGTGAACAGAGAACAAATATGGCTTATGCCACACTAAAGATTTTACTTACATATTTTAATTTTAGCAACTCGGAATGTATAAAAATACTTTGTGTCTCAAAAATATAGCTAAAAAAATTTTAAGTATCAAACACATTTTCTATCTTCATTATATCAACCCTTGAAAACCAAAGTTTTCAAAGTTTAAATATGAGTTAACTCGCTGTAACTGATTATAAATTGGCTTTAGGGAATTTAAACAAAGTATCTTGCAGAGATACTTTCTTGAATTGTGTGTTTAGGGCTCCACCTAGTGGTAGTAAAATAAATACAAAAAGAAAGATAAGACATTAAAATGTTAAAATTGGTTCACTAGAAATTAATGCTTTTATCATCAAATCAAATGTCTTAACTGAGAAACTACGGCCACTTGAATTTTTTGGAAAGATGCTATATTCTGTAAATAAATGACTTAGTAATCAAATTCCACAGTATTTTTTTTAAGGAAAAGTTCCCTTTCTGATGAAAAACCAACATTCACGATGTATTATTGTGAAAAAAACTCATCACTTTTTATATATTTTTTGTTAAAAAGCATGTAATATCCTTACACTATTTTGGGTATCTTTTTAATTCACTGCAGTCTTCATTGTAAAGAATAAATCCATTACAACTGTGAAGAAAATAAAATGTATTTACTCTTTTTTACTAAAATAATGTCTACACTTTGAGGAAAATCTGATATAATCTCAAAGTATCTAATTCTAATGTCCCGAAATTACTTATATTTGCTAGAATAGTATTGTTTCTTTTCTAGACAAAATAAAAATGGCTTTTCTCTGTCCCAGAATGCTTTGTTCACTAACAGAATACATATACTGGTTGCATAACCATAAAAGAGCATGGTCAGGGGCTACATCTGCATAGTGTATAATTTGAGAAAGTACCTAGAGCAATTGCCATTAAAATGCTAGTCACTGGCTGACTTTCCCATGTATTTTACTAAATGTCAATCAACTGCTTTTAAGAAAAAACAAAAACTAGCAAGAAAATGGACTTCCAAATACTGGAAAACTAGAAGCAGAAATATTGTTCAGGAATCCCTGGGCATTGACACTGCTTGTGTCAACTGACACCTTTTGGTGTCAAAGCTTTCTACAAACCTTTATCAGAAAACAAAACTTTAGGCCAGGCACAGTGGCTCAAGCCTGTAATCCCAGCACTTTGGGAGGCCAAGGCAGGTGAATCACTTGAGGCCAGGAGTTTGAGACCAGCCTGGCCAACATGGTGAAACTCTGTTTCTACCAAAAATACAAAAAAATTAGCCAGTTGTGGTAGCACACACCTGTAGTCCCAGCTATTCGGGAGGCTGAGGCAAGAGAATCACTTAAACCCAGGAGGCAGAGGCTGCAGTGAGCCAAGATCGCACCACTGCACTCCAGCCTGGGCAACAGAGCAAGACTCCATCTCAAAAAGAAAAGAAAAGAAAAGAAAAGAACAAAAAGAAAACAAAACTTAACTCTTTTACCCCTGACAAAATACTATCAGTTACTTCTGACTTCCTTTAATGCTTTTTAATGTCATTTTATACCTTTTCAAACACTAACCTATTTTCTGCCAGTTTTTCAAATGATACATTAGCCTTAAGTTTGCATTTCTATCAATAAAAAATTGCTTTCACACTCTTCTGCGCATTCTTTATTCTTCCAGTATAGGCATTTTTACTATTATTTCACCAGTTCTTCAAATGGCATATCAAGCTTAATTTCTAGCATATAAATCTTAATTTTATATTTCTCATTATTAGTAATTAAACTTTGGTATTTCATATTAGTAAGAGTACATATGATACTTCTTTAGCAATTTCATATTTATACTGAATTCTTTTCAGATTCTAGGTGCTAATCTTATTGACTAGTACTGAAATTTTGGTTACTAACTATAAACTATATTTTTCTGAATATTAAATATATAAGACAATTAACCATGTTATAATTACCAGCTTTTGACAAACTAAACATTCTTTAAAATGCTGCTATAAAGACAGTTTTTAAAGCAAACACAAAGAAACAATAGAAATTACCAAAAGCTATTAAAATCATCCTATCCAATACACATCACTTGCTGTCAATCTCAAAATGATTTCAAAATATAGAATTTGGATATATCAGTAAATGTGGTAAATTCACCAAATTCTCCTGCAACAAATTAGTTCACAATTGATTTAAAGCCAAGATTTGAAAACATTTATTTAAACAGAAGCACATGAATTGTTACAGTTCTTTCAGAATAGGACATACATAGGCCCCAATTATGAAAGGGCAGTTATATAGCAAATAGTAAGCTTTCTGAGATGCAGAACGTTGCCCTACATTGCCCAGATAAAGTTATCAGCAGTTTTCTGTGCCTCTCGTATGGATCCTGGAAAGTAGGAGAAGCTACACTGAGACACTCTATTTGTTCCTACCTGAGTGACCATGTTGTTTCTAGTAAATCTTTGTATTCTTTGTTATATAAATTGAGAATCTGATCTAATCTTTCAGTGGAGCAGCCTCTGCAATATCAATTTATAACCCACTTGAAACCCTGAAGTTAGAGTCTGAAGTGAGACTTGAAACACCGCAACTCTCTTCAGTAGCCTCCAGATATACTTAAGAAACCCAAAATTTCAGTAACAACCATGTGAGAAACAATGGGCTAAAATATTATTTAAAGATAGTAGATAAATTATCTTTGAGAGATGGGGTCTTTTTTCATAAAGCCACATGATTTGGAATTATTTTCTTTTAAACAACAAATAGCAAAGACACCACCTCCCAATTTTTTTTTTTTTTTTTTTTGAGACAGAGCCTCACTCATGTTGCCCAGGCTGGAGTGTAGTGGCACGATCTTGGCTCACTGCAACCTCTGCCTCCCAGGTTCAAGCAATTCTCCTGCCTCAGCCTCCCAAATAGCTGGGATTACAGGCACCTGCCATCATGCCTGGCTATTTTTTGTATTTTTAGTAGAGATGGGGTTTCACCATGTTGACCAGGCTGGTCTCGAACTCCTGACCTCAGATGATCCACCTGCTTTGGCCTCCCAAAGTGCTGGGATTACAGCCGTGAGCCACTGTGCCCAACCACCACCTCCTTATCTTAAATGCACAAAAGGTTTGCTCAAAGTAGCCACTCAATCTTGGAATAAAATATTTCTACTATAGTTAGTTAGCAATATGAAATACCAAGAAAAAAACCAATGTAAAAGTATCATATCCAGTACTCTTAACATTTTCCCAACCATTTTATCAAATACAGCAGACATGAATAACAACCTTCCCATAACATTCTCTGATTGTGTTAGTCTGTCCTCATGCTGCTAATAAAGACGTACTCGAGACTGGGTAATTGATAAAGAAAAAGAGGTTTAATGGACTCACAGTTCCACATGTCTTGGGAGGCCTCAGAGAACTTACAATCATGGTGGAAGAAGAGGCCAACGTGTTCTTCTTCACATGGCAGCAGGGAGAAGAAGAATGAGAGCCAAGCAAAGAGGAATGCCCCTTATAAAACCATCAGATCTCGTGAGAACTTACTATCAGGAGAACAGGATGGGAGAAACCACCCCCATGATTCAATATCTCCACCTGGTCCATCTCATGACTATTGGGGATTATGGGAACTATAATTTAAGAAGAGATTTGAGTGGGGACACAGCCAAACCATATCGCTGATACTCTGCAATCCAGAAGCAAATCAGAAACACAACAGCTCCAAGGAAATAATACGTAGGTCAAGAAAAAGGAAGATTCCTTCTACCAATATTAAGCATTGTGTAAGTGCACAAGCAATAGAAACTGAAAATGAAGTGCAGAAAACAGGCATATACACAGGCAACTTTAATACAGAGCACAATTATTCCTTAAATCATTAAAATTTATCTACACTGAACCTATTCTTCAGAGAGGCAAGAAAGTAAATGAAGTAGTATTATGACATAGGTCCAAAATTCTTTGCACATCTTACAATAAGAGGAAGGGTCTACACTCCCTTCCTTTAATCTGGGCAGGCTTGTGACTACTTTCACCAATGGAATATGACAGAAGTGACACTATGTGACTTCAAAGACTAGAAAAGGCCATGCAATATCTACCTGCCTCCTTTAGACACTTAGTCTGGAGAAAGCCATCCACTATGTAAGAAATCTGACTATCCTAAAAATGACAAGCTGGAAAGGCCACATGTAGCCACTCCCAAATGACAGCCACAGCAACTGCCAGCAATGTGGGCGAGCCATCTTGGCTGTCTAGTCCAGTTGAGACTTCAGATTACTTCAGCCCCAGCAGGTAGCTGACAGCAACCAATATCCATTTGACTACAACCACATACGAGACCCCAACCTACAACTGCCCAGCCAAGTCTTTCCTGAATTCCTAAAGAAAAACAAAAAGTTTTCATGTAGAATACAAGTTACTTGGAAATTTGCATAAAATATTTAAAATAGTATTAAACTTAAAATATTTCCCAGGATAATTCCTTTTTTCTCCATTTTTTTCCCTTTTGGCACTAGTCCTTTTTGGTGCTGTCCTAAACTTATTTTCTACCCCTGGATGCCCTTCCCCCTCCATATGCTTCAATACTAATTTTAAACTTCCTTCAAATTTCAGCTCAAGACAGTTCCTTAATGTTAATTTCATAAATAGCTATACTGGATAACCTTCCCATTACCAGAAATTTTCCCATTTTTTTTAACACAAGGTTTATATTACACTATCTTTTATTAATATGTACATCAAATTTACTCTCCCACTACTTGGTGTATATTTTATCTTCTAAGTTCCTTGAGAACTGAAGGTGTCTTCTATTTCTACATTCAATTCACAAGTGCTGTGAGGATATAAATTACAAATCTTAATAAAAAGAACAGGCTCACTAGAGGGCACCCTTTACCAAAAAGTAACCTCTAGAAATCCAAGTACAGTCGGCCCTCTGTATCTGGGGGTTCCGTATCCCTGGATTCAACCAGCCACAGATGGAAAATATTCAAGGAAAAAAAAAATGGGTGGTTGCGTCTATACTAAACATGCATGGACTTTTGTTCTTGCCATTATTCCCTATCCAATACAGTAAACCACTATTTACATGGCATTTACATTGTTATTAGGTATTATACGTAATCTAGAGATGACAAAGTACATGGGAGTATGTGCATAGGTTATATGTAAATACTACACCATTTTATATAAGAGATTTCAACATCCATGGATTTAGGTATCCACACCGGTTCCCGGAAGCAAATCCCCACAAAAACTGGGATGACTGTATTTTCATTTAGTACCACATCAAAATATGATGTGAATCTCATACTCGACCTAATCAACAACTAAGTATTATGAAATAAAAATAAAAATAAGATTTCCCTATTTTTTGAAGTGGTTTTACCCTGTTACCTATTGCTTTAATATAACTGTTTTAAAAAAAATAGCAGAACAGAATCATAAACAGCACAAAAATTATCTGGCAATTCCAGGCTCCTATGGGTAAGTATAAACAACACAGCACAGGATAAACTTTTATACATTACAGAGTGCCTGACATACAACAGGCATTCAAATATTGAAAGAACACATATAATAATTTTACTAAAGAACATCTTAAAATCAGTGTTTGAATTTGCAATAAATATATAAAAGTTACATATATTGAAAACTGATGGGAAATCAGTACTGATGGATAAGATCTATAAGGAATTGAATATCAATCAAATACAAACAAAAACATATTTTACTTGTCTTCTTCATCAGCATTTGAAAATCTACAAAGGATGATTTTTTATGATTTATTCATGTTAGATGTCATATATGAGGATAATACTGAAATTACTGAATGAAAAATAACCTAAAATTTCTAACAGACCTATGAGCTTTTTTTTCTCTTTTAGAGACAGAGTCTCACTCTGTTTCCCAGGCTGGAGTGCAGTGGTGTGATCACAGCTCACTACAGGTTCGACCTCAGGCTCAAGTGATCCTCTCACCTCAGCCTCTCCAGTAGCTATGACCACAGGCGTGCACCACCATGCCCAGCTAATTTTCTTAAAATTCTGTAGAGACACAGTCTCCCTACGTTGCCCAGGCTAGTCTTGAGGGGTCCTCCAGTCTCAGCCTTCCAAAGTGCTGGGATTACAGGTGTGAACAACCACAACTGGCCTCTATGAGCCTTTTAATCTACTTCTAAACTATATAATAACATTAGCATTTTATAGGGGGAAAACATTAAGCAAAGTTAATGCTTAAAAAGATAATTTTTGGCAGTCCTGGAAAAGACAACATTGTATAAAGTATATCCTGAGGTGGAAGCAACAACTTTACTAAACTGCAGAAAATTTTAAAAATGAAAGCCATCTGCAAATATATTTAATTCTAACTTTGAAACAAAGAACCCCCTGAAATACATACATATTTTTAAAGACCTTTTTTAACAAGTGGCCTCAGTTTGTTGATTTCTTTGGAAAAAAGTGATAAGCTCTTATTACAAATTAAAAATGAAGTTCTTAAAAATCTCAACTTGACTAGGTATAAACCAATTTTAAAACCTTTAAGGTAGATTGAGAAAAACCTGGCTTAAAAAAACAACACATTTGTCATTGTTACAGGTAGATAGGCATGGGCAGGGCAGGAGAGGGCTCTCCCCGCCACCCACCAGAAATGTCAGGTGACAGTTTGACAATTATCGCATTATCTCTCTAAAAATGATAATTTGGCACCCCCAGGAAGAAGCAACTTCCTGGGCATGCATGTGTGATAAGAGACAAAAATGGTAAAGTATGATCTTCCAGGGGCGCACTCCACCAAAAAAGGAAAGAAAACATCAGATGGGCACGCGTATCACTCCCTAAACACACTGTGTGTGCTCAATTCCAAAGGGTAAGGAGGGCACTGGGCATGCGGAAAGTCCACCCTAAGGGAAGAATCATGGGAAAAAGGGGAGCCTATAAAGTCCTAGGATCAAGATTAAGGTTCCTTTTTTTGCTGTCTTCTTTTGCCCTTTTTTCTGTCTTGGACCTTCATGTGCCTGCTTGGCATCATTACCAAAAAGAGATGTCCACAGGGACCTTTCTCGCCAAAGACGACCTAGAAAGAACTACAATGAAGAGGATAAGGAAAATCAAGTAGCTGAGACTCAAGATCAGCAGTCACCTCACCATCAGTACTGTAGCAACTTCAATTACTGATGCAGATGCTCAGAAAAACCTAAACCATAACATGGCAAACAAATAAAAGCAGTCAATCTACCAGCCAGAATACACCCACTCCCAAGGCTGAGCAGGGCAAGGATGAATAAATGCCGGTTTACCATCTCTACCATCATCCAGTTTAATTATCCAACAAGAAGAAATGAATAGAAAATTCCAGCAATAGGAAATGGAACAAAAGGTTGGAGCTGAAGACCTTAAGTGCTTGCTTTTTGCCCAATGACCAGATAACTGGAACTATCTGCATTATCTATGCAACATGAGGTTTGTACTATTTTTACCTAAAGACATATCCTTTTCCTAATGACAAAAATATATTTTTAAAACTAAATATGTAATATACATATATATTTAATTTGTTAAATGTTTTTCAAAAGACAAAGAATTTTGCCATATAAGTATATCCAGAAGTAGTATGGAGGAAAACAAAAACACAGTTAGTGATATAAGGCTGATCCCAACTCCCATCACTGACCCTGACTACACAGTCCACTTCTATTGGTCATTTCTCAGCTTTGCAGAAGAATCAGAAAGAAAACATGAAGTTGAAAAAGGCAATTCCCACTCAAAAGCAGAATATAAATAACAAAACAAAAAATAAAAATCATCTTTTTCCATCTGTATTAGTGCTTTGCAATCCACAAAGCAATTTTGCATACATCACTGCATTTGGTATCAAGAACCTGGAGAAGTATAAAGGACAACTGGTTTTATATCTATCTCACAGATGAGGAAAATGAGGCTCAAAGAAGTTAAGGGATTTATTCAACACCATGTGGCTTCTAAAAGGCCAGAGCCAGGTAGACAATCCAAATCTTAGACTCATAAGGAATGCTGAAGGATATTACAGGAAAAAAAAAAGATAAAAGGAGATGACTGCACAAATCGTCTTTCAGTTGCTGATATTATTTATGTTCAATGTCAGTAATACATTCATTGCTGATTTCCACAGTATCTGTCTGATTATTATGGCAATGCCTGTAGTAATTAATTCTCTTGAAATTAAGCTCCTGCACAAAGAAGTGGGCAATACCAAAACATCAATACATACACTCCCTTACAAACCACAAAGGGTAAGTTTCCTGCCTTCCCGTTCAGGGATGACAAAAACAAAAAACAAAAAATCATTACGCAGATTCTATTAGCCTTGCTCTATTAAACTAAAAAGAACCATCCCTTCTAGTAAGAGAGAGCCCTAAAAGCAAACTTGATTTAAGTTCTTTTTTACCTCCGGAATGAATGAATGAGGATATGAATGAAAAGGGAAAGTAGGAAAGGATTGCATTGTTTTGTTTTTTTCCATCGTTGAGAAATGAAAAGGGGCATGCATAGGGTAAAAGTGTCAGTGATTTTTCTTACAGCCCCTATCTCCTAAGGAAAATGAACTGGAGATTGGTCTCACTTAAGCTACTGGATGCCTGTCTGGGAACTGCAGAGGAAGAAGGAACCTACATCACTTTACTGTAAGTTCTTTCCAAGATCTGAGCCTCCTCTGCCCTAGCACAGGTTGGACATACAGGACCCTCCCTTCCTGAGTGCAATTCCGATCACATTCTTTAAACCCTCTCTTTTTTTAGGTTAAAATTTAATAATCTTTTGACACTGCAGCTTTCATTATCTGATACTCCAGGTTAAAAGGCAAAGCACAGTGATTAAAAGTGTAGGCTCTGGAGTCAACTGGCCTGCATCCACATCTACCTCTACCAATTACTGAGTGCAGGGGGCAAATGACCTAATCTATCTATCCCTACCTCAATTTCCTCAGCTGCAAATGGGTATAACAATGGTACCTTCTTTGCTTCTTGTTAAGATTAAATAATGCATTTAAGTGTTTAAAACATTGGCAATGTTCAATAGATGTTAGCTATTATAATTACCTACATGATTACTTTTATCTCCAGGAATGAAGATCTTGACTAAGAAATTATTTTAGATTTAATATTATTTTTCATAAAATTTCACACAAAATGAGAACCACTTAAATGTGCAACATAAGGAAATAATTAAATAAGCTAAGATATATGTACTTTAAAATATTAATCAACCATAAAGAATTACCTTACAGAGTACTTATAACATTATAATAGGCATTGTCAATATTAAATTCAAAAAGATGAACACACAAATACAGATATACTCACAGGACAAACTCAGAAATACACACACCAAATATGGAGTACTTTTGGTTATAAGGGTTTTAAGTGATTTTTATATATACATGTGTTCTGAAATTTTTTTAATGAATATTTACTATTTTTATAATCAAAAAATTGTATTTTTATTTTGATAAAAAAGGGATGAAAATTTCTATATATTATAGTCACTGCTTCACTTAAAAACTATTTAATAGTAATCATTTAATATGTTGAATAACATAACTTTGCTCAATAAATATTCAATATTTAGTACATGTCCACTTTACATAGAAAAACTCAAATTAATGTCAACAATGATTATCCTTTAGTGGGAATAAAAGTGATTTTTTTCTGCTCTCTATTCTTCTATATTTTTTAAGTTTTTCTATAAAGAAAGTTTGTGTTTTTCATTAATTCAGTCCAAAATGATTTACTAAGTCTGTTGTACTCATGGCATTCTGTTATGTAACACAGTAGGAATTCATGAGATATGTATGAAATCACAGGTCTCAGGGGCAATCTAATTAGGGCTATATTCAAAACATACTTATTCATACACAAAGACATACATTTACAAACAACAAAATAATGCTGTGTAGCATTTTCAAAGTCCATGCTATAAGAATCCAGACATATAAAATATATTTGTGTGTGTATCCATGTAGAATGCAGTATTCTAAGATGGAAAAATTTCGTGGAGGAAATAGGAGAATTCAATAATAGGTAATATTTGAATTGGTAGAGAAAGGAGGAGGAGGGTATTCAATTACGGGTAAAGACAGACAGGAAAGAACATGGCATTGTGCATAATTCAAACAGTTTAACTGATATGAAAGATATCTGTTGTTACTGGGAATTTCACTGTAATTCCCATACAGTGATTCTTAATCTTTATTTAGGCTGTGCCTGGGGATAGCATGACTCTCCTCTCTAATTATAATCAAAGTTATAGTTCTCCCTAGGAAAGTGCACAAACACAGCTATAATACCTACCTTCCCTCTGAGAACTGCTACCCATTGACAAGGTTGGACAAGCTGCATAGCCTCTTTCAAAGTACACTGCAACAGGGGTGTACAATCTGATACACTCTCAGGAATTTTAAATTAACTGGAATTCAGATAGTCAGGTATGTGCCTAACATATAAAAGCTATAGGTGGTCATCCTCCACCAAGTACAGAGAGAAGCAGAGAAAGTCAGACTTCACAAAAGGATGAAGACAAAGTCATCAAGGAGAAATAGAAAGAAAGATGGTTGTCCACTTCTTTGTTCCAGTCTTTCAAAAAGTTTGGCTGCCCTAAGATTTTTATAAAATACCTCAGTAACTTTCACCATTTATTTTTTCATTTTTTCTTAAGCTAACTCAAGTTGGTTTGATTACCCACAACTACAAATTTTTTTTAAATCCTGGACAAAGATGCTCACATGGGTGTGCATGTGTGGGGGTGCACACACACACACACATTTCTTACAATTAAAAAAGGTTTACAGACACCTTCATCTGACTAGCACATTAGAGCATATCTTCCCAAATGAATAAGTTATGGGAATACCACAATATTGATCATCTTAGCTCTCAATCTAATTTTCTGTTTGTGTCACAATATAAAGAATGGGAAGCCCTACCACATAATAATCCAGAAATAAGGGTCAAGACATGGTTTACGTTACTAGACTCCTGATGAAAACAGCATGTCAAAGAGGTCACCAGGCTGATGATGATGATGATATGCCATATAAATTTTACACACTTTTAGTTTTTTCACAACACCAACAATATTGTACTGCTAAGTAAAAAACTGAAGTTAAGGTAAGTATCCTAAAATACTGCTGCTTGGTATTCAAACCAATGCTATAGCCTGTAGCTACAGAGTAACTGAGAGTTTCTAGCAACTAAAGAGGAAAAAAATGTATATACATAGAATCCAAATTTCTTTTTTCCTTTTTTCTTTCTTTTTTTTTTTTTCTGTGACATGGTCTTGCTCTGTCGCCTAGGCTGAAGTGCAATGGTGCAATCCCAGCTCACTGCAACCTCTGCCTCCCCGGTTCAAGCAATTCTCCTGCCTCAGCCTCCCAAGTAGCTGGGATTACAAGCATGTACCAACACACCTGGCTAATTTTTTTTATATTTTAGTAGAAATGGGGTTTCACCATGTTGGCCAGGCTGGTCTCAAACTCCTGACCTCAAGTGATCTGCCCACCTCGGCCTCCCAAAGTGCTGGTATTACAGGCATGAGCCACCGTGCCTGGCCCAGAATCCAATTTCTTTCACCACGGAATACTGAAAAATATTTCTTGTTTACATAAAACTCACGTTCTATGTGTTTTTCCATGAAATATTTCATCTAGTTTGCTATATGTGCTCGTAAAATGCTTTATAAAATAATGCCCAGATGCTTCCTCTAATTTATTTGAAGAGATTCTGTCAAAGAATTTGTAATGACAGAATTGATATACTTTAATATGTTTCTTAAAAGATACATTCATATCTTAAAGGATTATATGACCCTTCAAAGCATCAAGAGCAAGCAAAAGCATAAAAATGAAGAACGATTTTCTGTATATTTCTGATGTTGAATTTTACTTGACTTGTTCTCACAAATAGTATCCTGTTTCCACGCACAGAAAAAAGTCTAGTGTCGTGTGTTAGTTAACATTGCCTCCTATAACTAGTGTTGACATTCTGTATTACTGACATTAATACTCACTGTAATTTTGAATAACAGCACAGCACACTGATGATCATTAATGAACATCCTCCATGGTGAAACCTGAATTCATAATCAGCCAGCACAGATTTGCAATAGACTTCCTCCTTCCTGTTTTTACATTCCTGACCAAAGAGGTATCTCTTCCTGTTGACTTTTGGGCATTTGGTAAAATGCAAAAAATGAGAGATGAAAACACCCACTATATTTAATTGTATTTGTCCTCTAGGATAAAATGAATTGCGAAAATAAATTTTAATTCAAAAAGTTTAAACAAGTAGATTAATGAATGCAAATATAGACTGCTTTCCCAGAAAACTTCAGAAAATTAAACAAAAATATCAGACTGACTACAGCAGATCTAATGTGCACTTTGCGTAATAGCTTAAGAGATGAACTATATACTCAACCCAAGTCTTTTACAGGAATCTTAATCTACAGTTAAGAAGAAATTCACTGAAGGGCTGACTTCACAGCAAAACAAAAAGAATACTACTCAATCATAGAAAACAAAACATAAAATTAATTGAGCTTTACACTTATTATTTGTGCATTTATAATTCACTTATGATTTACAATGCTAAAGACTATAAAGTCTATAAATATCTTTATTTTTCAAAATAAAGATGTAACATTAATATTTATATACCCAAAAATTCAAAACCAATCTCATCGAACAGAAACTAAAGGAGATGCAACAAAAAAGAGAAACAAGTTAATAAAAGGGGACTTTAACATATCTCTCTCAATCCAAGAATGATCAGGTGAAAAATAACATGAGGCTTTAGAAGATATAATGAACTTAATTAATAAGGCATGTATGTGTATAAAACTGTGAAGCCTAATAAAAAACCATACACTTTGAAGACCACATAGAATACTCATGAAAACTAACCATATATTAAGCCACTAATAAAACCTCAATTAATTTGAAAGAATAGAATAAAAACAGATTGATCTAACTATAATGTAATAAAAGTAGAAATTAGTAGCAAAATTTAACAAATAAAAAAGACTCTCCATACTTGGAAAGTTATAAAAAACACATAATATAAAAAAACTTTTGGATCAAAGGGGAAATAAATACAGCAGAATTGCTTTAAAAGAGCAATAAGGAAGATATATCAGAACATGTAGAATACACCTAGAGCAATCATCAGTGAAGAAGAACAGCATTAAATAATAACGTCAATAAATGAATTACGTACAAAATGCAAAAAGCTAGGAAAAGAATAAAAGAAATGGAAAGAATCATTAAAAATAAAAGCAGAAAGGAATGAGTTAGAAAACAGAAAATGTATGGAACTACTAAACAGGTTTTTTAAAAAAATCAACAAAACAGGCAAACCACTAGTTAACCAAACAAAAGGGGAAAACAATGACTGAAATTACAAATACACAAAATTTAAATTTAAATACAAAAAATACTAAAATTAGGACTGACAAGTGGGATATAACCATTGAAAGAGAAGAAATTATTATTTTATTATTTTATTTATTTTTTTTAGACGGAATCTCACTCTGTCACCCAGGCTGGAGTACAGTGGCACAATTTCAGCTCACTGCAACCTCTGACTCCCTGGTTCAAACCGATTCTCCTGCCTCAGCCTCCTGAGTAGCTGGGATTACAGGCATGCACCACCACGCCCAGCTAATTTTTGTATTTTTAGTAGAGACAGGGTTTCATCACGTTGGCCAGGCTGGTCTCGATCTCCTAGACTCAAGTGATCCTCCAGCCTTGGCCTCCCAAAGTGCTGGGATTACAGGCGTGAGCCACTGCAACTGGCCTATGATTTTTTTTTTTTTTTTTTTTTGAGACAGGGTCTTGTTCTGTCACCCAGGCAGGAGTGCAGGAACACAATCACAGCTCACTCCAGCCCCAACCTCCCACCTCAGCCTCCCAATTAGCTAAGACCACAGGTGTCCAGCTAATCTGGTTTTTGTTTGTTGTAGATACTGGGTCTCCCTATGTCACGCAGGCTGGTCTCAAACTCCTGGGCTCAAGTGATCCTCCCACCTCAGCCTCCCAAAGCGCTGGGATTATAGGCATGAGTCACCGTGCTAGGCTGAAATCTTATTTTTAGTAACATTACACAAGTCTACTCAAATAAATTTGATAAACTTGAAGAAATGATAATTTTTCAAAAGAACACAATTTATTGACCCTCAAGAGAGAAAGTCTAAAACAGACCAATTATCACAAAAGAAACAGAGAAAAGAGTTAAAAGACTCCTCTACCAAAAGCACCAGATCCATTGATTTTCACAGGGGTAATTCTGAGAAACTTTTAAAAATAGATAACATCAGCTGGGCATGGTGGCTCACACCTGTAATCCTAGCACTTTGGGAGGCCAAGGTGGTTGGATCACGAGGTCAGCAGATCGAGACCATTCTGGCCAACATGGTGAAACCCCATCTCTACTACAAATACAAAAATTAGCTGGGCGTGGTGGCGCATGCCTGTAATCCCAGCTACTCAGGAGGCTGAGGCAGGAGAATCGCTTTGAACCAGGCAGTCAGAGGATGCAGTGAGCCAAGATCGCATCACTGCACTCCAGCCTGGTGACAGAGCGAGACTCCATCTCAAAAAAAAAAAAAAGATAACACCTACACTAATTATATAATGCCAAAAAAAGAAAAACTTCCAATTTTGTTTAATGAAATGAGTGTAACATTGATCCAAAGATCGGAAAAAGTCTGTACCAATGTGCAAAGTGCACCAAAGTGCAAACTACAAAGTAATCTCACTTATAAATATCAAAGAAAAAATCTTTAAAAGCATACTAGCCAACAGAATTCAAAAACACACTGAAAGAGCAAATTGTCATGACCAAATGGGGTTTATTCTAAGAAGCAGGACTATTTCAATAATAGGAAATCCATTAATAAATTCAATCATACTGACGGAGCAAATAAGAAAAAATCCTATGACCATCTCCATAGATGCAGAAGAAACATCTGACAAAATTCAACAGCCTTTCTTGCTAATAAAAGCAGTATTGGTGAATACTTCCTTAACATGATAAAATATAAATACCTCAGTTCAAAAGCCAGAGCTGGGTGGCACGCGGTGGCTCATGCCTATAATCCCAGCACTTTGGGAAGCTGAGGCGGGCGGATCAACTGAGGTCAGGAGTTCAAGACCAACCTGGCCAACATGGTGAAACCCTGTCTCTACTAAAAAAATACAAAAATTAGCCAGGCGTGGTGGTGGGCACCTTTAATCCCAGCTACTCAGGAGGCCAAGGCAGGAGAAACACTTGAACCCAGGAGGCGGAGGTTGCAGTGAGCCAAGATCGCACCACTGCACTCCAGCCTAGACAATAGAGTGAGACTCTATCTCAAAAAAAAAAAAAAAAAAAAGCCCACAAGCCAGAGCTATCCTAATGAAGAAATACTAAAGGTTTCCCCTGCTAAAGTCAGGAAAAAAAGATGCCCCCTGTCTCAACCACTGTATTGCAATTATTGGATTGTTAAGTTAGACTAGAGAAAGCAATCTAAGGTTTAAGAAGTGAAAAGGAAGTAAAATTATTTCTAAATACAGACTATATGATTACGTAACTGAAAAACCCAACAGAATCAGTGGTGAAAATTTATAAACAATAAGAAAACTTAATAAACAGTTTAAAAATTAGCATACAAAGATCACCAGCATTCATTTATATATGAGCAAAAACCAATTAAATGACAATGTAAGGCCCCTGTCTAGGCACGGTGGCTCACATCTACAATCCCAATACTTTAGGAGGCCAAGTAAGGAGGATCACTTGAGGTGAGGAGTTTGAGACCAGCCTGAGCAACATAGTGAGACCCTGCCTCTACAAGGAAAAATAAAAATTAGTCAGTTATGGTGGCATGTGCCTATAGTCCTAGCTACTCAGGAGGCTGAAATGAGAGGATCCCTTAAGCCCAGGAATTTGAGGTTACAGCTAGCGGTGATCATGCTACTGCACTCCAGCCTGGACAACAGAGTGCGACCCTGTCTCATTTTTTTTTTTTTTTAAAAGAAAGGGCCTGCCATGGTGGCTCATGCCTGTAATCCAGCACTCTGGAAGGCCAAGGAGGGAGGATTACTTAAGCCCAGGAGTTTGACACCAGCCTAGGCAACAGGGTAAGACCTCATCTCTACAAAAAATTTTAAAAATTAGCCAAGCACTAATTTCAATCACACTGATGGAGCAAAACAATCGTATGACCATCTTCATAGATGCTGAAAAACATCTGACAAAATTCAACAAACTTTCTTGTTAAAAACACTAAATAAAGTGGGTATTGATGAATGTTTCCTTAACATGATAAAATATAAATCCCTCAGCACAAAAGCCAGAGCTCTCCTAATGAGAAAATACTAAAGGTTTTAGTCCCAGGTACTCGGAAGGCTGAGGTGGGAGAATCACTTGAACCCAGGAGGTTGAGGCTACAAGGTGAGTCATGATCATGCCACTGCCCTCCAGCCTGGTCTCTAGCAAGAACCTGTCTCAAAAAAAAAAAAAAAAAGAGGGAGGGAGGGAGGAAAGAAGGGAGGGAGGAAGGAAGGGAGGGCCCAATTAAAATAGTGAGAAAAAACACCTACACATAATCTTAAGGAATTCTAAAATTTATTTATGGAAAAGTTTAACTCTCTTGAAAGACATAACATGTTCTTGGATAGGAAGACTCAATATCATCAACATGCCTGTTCTCCCTAATTAATTTATAATTATAGCTCAATCCCAATCAAATACTTTGAGTGTTCTAGAACTAGAGAAATTTATTGTTTGTTTAGAGAAATAAGGAAGAGTCACCAGGAAATCCCTGAAAAAGATAAGCGATGAGATGCAGGTAGCCCTACCAGATATTAAAACAACGAAGCTTCCAAAATTAAAAGTGCTGCATAGCACATGAATAGACATATAGACAATGAACAGAACCAAGAAACCCACATACAGTATCACTGCGTATAAAAATTCAGTACATGATAATGGCACCATCTCAAATCAACATGAAAAAGACCTACATTTTAATAAGAGGTACTAGGATAGCTGGGTTGCCACGTGAAAAAAGATAAAGAGCCACTCCTCATGCCACACCCCAGGAAAATGCAAACAGAATCAGATGCAACATTAAAAAACACCATACAAGTACCAAAAGAAAACATGGGTGGACTCCCCTATAACTCCGGAATCTGGAAAACTTTCCTATGACTCAAAATTCACAAGCTAAAAAGGGAAAGACTGATAAATTTTATTTCATAAAATAAAAAACTTTTGCACAGCAAAAAATAAAAGTATAACTACAGTAAAAAGACAAATGAAAAAAATGTTTCTAATGGCAATTTTAAAAAACTGAAATGGACAAAAAAGATTACTGAATGTCCTATCTAGCATATTTTGGGGTTATCTGTGCCTTTCACTGTCTTTTGGCTATTTTACAACTTTATAAATTGTAGAAAGCTGATACTAATGCAAATGACTCTTGTCCAAAAAAATGCAGATATATTTTTGTCAGTGGAATACAATTGATTACTGCCCTGTGGATACTGACCAGTTGTGTATCCATTTATATATCCATCTCAGCATTCCCAAATCCTATATTGTTTTTTGCCATTGCCTTTGAAACAGTTGTAACATCATACTGATTCCCTCTTAATAAGTTAAATACAATCTTTGGCACATATTCATTTTACATTTGTGTGAGGGTCATGATTTTACCTTTTTGAAAATTATCTTTTAATAGTTTTGGAAGTTTTACCAAAATGCCCAGTGCATTCACCTGACAGAGCCAAGAAAACTGCTTTATCAGATAATTGCACCTCATGGGCTACTCAAGCTTGGGTATTATCTTTTCTTGGCTCCCAGAAGTAAAACCCAAGCAGCAATATATACTTAACTTTGCTGCCTGTTTCTCTGGGTCATCCCCGCTTCCCCCATCCTCTCTACAAATTATATGTTCTGGTGTGGTTTCTAGTTACTGCATGGCCAGTAAGTTATCACCCCTAAATGGCAGCAATGATTGAGAATTCGATTTTATGATCATTTACTTGGTGATCCTTATAGACGGATGATAGAGATCACTTGGGTAAAAGATAAAAGAGACTTTGGTTTGTTAGTCTTTTTAACATATCTGTTTATTCTGAGCTCAAATCCAGTTAAGAATTTCATGTCCACCAAGAACAGGTCTTTGACATCTGGACCAATGAGTTTTTCTATCTCTGTGACTCTTACATCTCTTGACCTGTGAGTGAAGTTACAGAAACAAAGTTACAAAGCTCTGCATCTGTAATTCAGAAAGACTTTTACCTCTTCATTAAGTATGTAAAACAAGTTATCTCTATTAATAGTTTAAACTATAAAGTCTCTTGAATGAAAGAAACTCTGTTCTGACTGGCTTATTGATACAAATAAGTACTTATATAAATAGAATATTTGTAAAATTCCCCCAAAACAAGGAAATTGAACTTCTAATATGTTAAATGTGTTAGACTTAAGAAAAATTCTTATGGAAACTAACTCAAAAACATTTTTAAAACCCAAGGTCACCTAAATAAGATACAATTTTGGCAAACCTTGATAATTTCAGTTTTTAAAAATAGCTATTTCTTGTCTCTGATTAATCATTTTATTCTGCTAAGATTTTTTTTCCTAAACACATACAGGTTTACTGATCACATAAGCTAACATTACCCTACATAATATTTAAGATGATGAAAAGGTAAACTCGCGCTCAAATAAATTATTCTGACAAACTTTTAATTTAAACATGTATGAAAATAATTTCCAACATTTTTAGGTAACAAAACCTTGATATTAAGTTAATTAATAAATAATAATTGGATATCTAATTAATTTTTAGTACAACAGAACCCAAGACGACTGATTACTAAGCACAATTAAGTTTATATATTTGTTTCTTTATATGTTATATAAAGGCTATGGTTTTGGGACATGTTAATGAAAGTGTTCAGTTTTGCCACTTTAAGAAGGTATAAAAGGAATGTTTGTGGCTATAGGAGTTTATATTACGTGTGCTCATGAGTTTTCCAAGTGTGATAAAATTCTTGTGTACAACAGACAGTTCTCAATGTTTAATCCCAGTGTTTTAATGTGAAATATAAATTAGTTACTTGGATTAAAAATTTAAAATCATTACCAGCAGTTAAGATAATACTAGGAAAAATAGTAAGAGAGAAATATAATACAATTGTGTAGATGCTTTTATTTTTCAAGAAAATTGAGTACACTTAACCCTTGAACAACACAGGTTTGAACTATGCAGATTCACTTATATATACACAATTTTCTTCTGCCTTTGCCACCCCTGAGACAGCAAGACCAACTCCTCCCATCTCCTCCTCAGCCTACTCAACATGAAAATGATGAGGATGAAGACTTTTATGATGACCCACTTCCACTTAGTGGATATTAATATAGTTTCTCTTCCTTATGGTTTTCTTAATAACATTTTCTTTTCTCTCACTTACTTTATTGTAAGAATACAGTAGATAATAAACATAACATAGAAAACATGTTTTGATTGTTAGGTTATCAGTAAGGCTTCCAGTCAACAGTAGGCCATTAGTAGTTAAGTTTTGGGAGTCAAAAGTGATACTCGGCCAGGCCAGCACTTTGGGAGGCCGAGGCAGGCAAATCACTTGAGGCCAGAAGTTCGAGACCAGCCTGACCAACATGGTGAAACTCTGTCTCTACTAAAAAAAAAATGCAAAAATTAGTTGGGTGTGGTGGCGTACACCTGTAATCCCAGCTATTCAGGAGGCTGAGGCGAGAGATCGCTTGAGCCCGGGAGGCGTCTCCCTCTGTCGCCCAGGCTGGAGTGCAGTGGCGCAATCTTGGCTCACTGCAACCTCCACCTCATGGGGTTAAAGCTATCCTCCCACCTCAGCCTCCTAAGCAGCTGGGATTACAGGCGCACGCCACCACGCCTGGCTAATTTTTGTATTTTTTTAGTAGAGACGGGGTTTCACCATGGTGGCCAGGCTGGTCTCAAGCTCCTGGCCTCAAGTGATTCACCCGCCTTGGCCTCCCAAAGTGCTGGAATTACAGGCGTGAGCCACCGTGCCCAGCTGATACTCATATTTTTGACTGCAATGAGGGGACAGTGCCCCTAAATCCTGTGTTGTTCAAGGGTCATCTGTAGTTTCATCCTAAAGTAGTAGTTATCAAAATTTTTGTTCTCTTAAAACTGATTGAGAATTCCAAAAAGATTTTGTTTACGTGGATTATAACTATCAATATTTTTCAATTAAAAATTAAAACAGAATTTTTAAAAACATTTATTGATTGATTCATGTGAAAACAGCAATGATGAATGCAATGCATGTTAACATAAATAATTTCTGAATTAGTCAGGGTTCTCCAAAGGAACAAAACTAATAGGATATATAAAGACATATAAAAGATTTATTACAGGAATGGGCTCACACCATTATGAAAGCCAAGTTGTACCATAACATGCCGTCTGCAAGCTGGAGAACCAGGAAAGCCAGTGGTATAATTCAGACCAAGTCAAAAGGCCTGCAAACCAGGGGGGCTGCTCGTGTAAGCCCCACAGTCTGAAGACCTGAGACCAGGTGTTCCGATGTCCATGGGCCAGAGAAGACAGATGTCTCAGCTTAAGAAGAGAGAAAGAATTCACCCTTCCTTCACCTTTTTATTCCATTTGAGGCCTCAGTGGATTGAATGTCCACCCACATTGGCGATGGCAGACCTTCTTTACTCAGTCTACTGATGCAAATGCTAGTCTCTTCCAGAAACACCCTCACTGGAACACCCAGAAATAATGTTTCACCAGCTATCTGGGCAGCCCTTAACCTAGTTAAGTCGACACATAAAATTTCATCATCATAACCTTTTAGGATTATTTAAAAATAATTTTGACCTCACAGACCCCAAACAAAGAACCAGTGCTCTAGAGTCAAGTGTTTGTTTCAGAATATGAAAGAGCACAGTGAAGGACAAAACTTGGAAAATGATGTATATCTGCCTTGGTTTATAATACCTGAGTCTGAAAACCAGTTATGAAATATGTTACAAACTTAGCAACATTTGCTTAATCTTGTTGGGCTTGTTTCCTTGGTTATTTGTTAATGCCTCTGCCTACAATACGAAAGGTTACTCTTTACCTTCTGTGTAATCCGCCTATATAACAGTGAGTCTGTTTGCCAGAATAATTTTCTGTGTTTCATAGGGACTTTATTATACTTTTTATTATTTAAGCAAGCAAAAAAGGTTTCTTCTCACTTATGAAAGAGCTGAGGTTCTTCACAATCAAGTTATCTATGTTTATTTTTAAATGATTCATTTTCATGTTAACTAAATAGATAACCAGCACCACCATGCCGAGCTAATTTTTTGGGTTTTTTTTCTTTTTTTTTTGTTTTTTTGTTTTGTTTTTTTTTTTTTGAGATGGAGTCTCGCTCCGTCGCCCAGGCTGGAGTGCAGTGGCGCGATATAGACTCACTGCAAGCTCCGCCTCCCGGGTTCACGCCATTCTCCTGTCTCAGCCTCTCGAGTAGCTGGGATTACAGGTGCCCACCACCACGCCCAGCTAATTTTTTTTTGTATTTTTAGTAGAGACGGGGTTTCACCATGTTAGCCAGGATGGTCTCGATCTCCTGACCTTGTGATCCGCCTGCCTCGGCCTCCCAAAGTGCTGGGATTACAGGCGTGAGCCACCGCACCGGACTTTTCTTAAAATTTTTTGTAGAGATGGGATCTCTCCATGTTGCCCAGGCTGGTCTCAACCTCCTGGGCTCAAGCAATCCTTCCCGCCTTGGCCTCCCAAAGTGCCGAAATTATAAGCATGAGCTACTGCACCCAGCCTCAAGACATCTTTTACACCTAAAATTATCTTTAAGGTTTCCCAGAGGAACCCTAGAACAGTTCAGTTATTTATTCTTTCAGCTTACAAAAAATGAAATGCAAGAAACTATTAGGTTTGTTGGATGTGCTACTCTAGTAAAAATTGCATGGGAAGAGTTATCAAATTAAAAGAGATGCTTAGCCTTCCTAGATTAAATGTCTATAGGTAAAAAATGTACTAACACAAACATTTCTGAAACTGTACTCTTTATGGGAAGTCCCTGGAGATTTGCCAATGCCCTTGCTATCGATATTGTGTTTTCATTGATCAAACTTTTAAAGTAGCTGTTATGTAATAAACCTGATAGGAAATTTTACTCTCTTCCATTCTCATATTATTGGTTACACTGATTAATTAGCCATAGCTGTTAAAGTCCATCATCTACAGATAGTTTTATTATACTCTGATGCTTGCCTAAAAGCTCTGCTATAGGCTGTTAAGTCGAGCTTGTATCTTCAACAATGAAGGGCAGTTTCAGAGACTTGTGCACTCCAAACTATTGACACTTCACAAAATAGACTCTAAAAGTTAAATACAGAATTACCATATGACCCAACAGTTCCACTCTTAGGTAATTACCCCAAATACTGAACATAGGCATTCAACCAAAACTTGTACATGAATGTTCATAGCAGCATATTCTCAACCACCAAAAGGTAGAAACAAATGTTCATCAACTAATGAATGAATAAATAAAATGTGGACTATCTATATAATGAGAATTATTCAGCCATAAAAAGAGTAGTACTTTTTTTCTTGAGACAGGATTTTTCTTGGTATTGCCCACATAGCAGTCCATATGGACTGCTATAACTAAATACTGTAGACTGGGTAGCTTACAGACAACAGAAATTTCTTTCTCACAGCTCTGGAGGCTGGGAAGTCAAGATCACAGCAGATTCATGTCTAGTGAGTTCTGGTTCATAGATGGTGCCTTGTAACTGCATCCTCACATGGTGGAAGGGGCAAGCTAGCTCTCAGGATCTCTCTCTCTCTCTCATAAGACTACTACCGGTCCCATTCATGAGTGATGTGCCCTCATGACCTAACTACCACCCAAATGACCTACCTCAAACTATCACATTGGTGATTTAGGTTTTAACATATGAATTATGGGGGGGGGGCATGAAACTTCAGACATAACAAGTATTGATTCATGCTACAATATAAATGAGCACGCTAACGTGGAAGAAGCCAGACACACACAAAAACCACATATTATATTCCTCTATTACATGAAATATCCAAAATAGGTAAAATCATAGAAAGCAGAAAACTGGTTGCCAGGGGCTAGAAGAGAGAAAATGAAGAGTGACTATTTAATGTGTACAAGGTTTCTTTCTGTAATGATGAAAAATGTTTTAAAACTAGATAGAGACGATGGCTGCACAGCACTGTGAATGTACTAAATGTCACTGAAATACACATTTTAAAATGGCTGTTTTTTACATTGATGTTACCTCTATTTAGGAAAAAATAAAACAAGAATAATATTTGAGGGGGATACACTTCTGGAATAAAAGTGTGAGGAAATCCACAAACCTGTTCCCTAGTGAAACAACCCTAATTCCACAAACCTGTTCCCTAATGAAACAACTCTAACTAATGAAAATTATTTTTTTAAAACACCATTTGAATTTCTGAAAATTGTCCTAAGAGCATACAGGAAAAGAAGAAACATTTATCCAAGAAAATATACTACATACTTGGTAAGAACAGTAAGAGTTTGTGGCCCTTGACCCATGACCCACATCCACCTTTTCCCAACCACCAGTTCAGGTGACAGATCTACCCAGTGGCAGTAGCTGAGAAGGCAGGGCTCTCTTTCCTGCCAGGGTTTCAGTCAAGAGCCAAAGAAAGGACAGGCATTCAGAATTTCTTACACCTGCCCCAACTGTGTTGCAGAGGCTAAAAAAAAAAGGTGAGTATGGCAGAGAGAATAAGGGCTCCATTCTTCCACCCAGCCCTCCTTCATCCTCCCAGCCCCTGGAGGATGTCATAGAACAGAGGCTATACCACAGTAATAACAACCATGGATATTGGGGACCCAGCTGCCCTCACTTTGGCCTGCTCATACGAGAGAGGCTCCACACTGAGAGAGGCAAGCCAAGACCAGAGACTGCCATCTCACCCAGCACCATGCTCTTAAAGCAAGGATATCACTCCAAGAGAGGGAGGCCACTGTTCGTGCCCCCAGATCTAGAGCAGTGGCTCAAGGATTATAATCAGGGGGTGAGGTAGAAGGTAAGTACAAAGAGCTCCAAAGAATTCCCCAAAGACACTGACCTTATGTAGAACAGAGTGTGGAGAAGCACAAACATAAGGGTGCTCTTGAAAACAATGAAGACTCTGGTATTAAGCAATTGAAAGGAGGTTGGTAGCTTCATGAGAGTAATAAGCTAAATTCTAAGTCAGCAAGTTTACCCAAGAGAACCAGGAAAAGAAAAAGTGAAGAAGAGCCTTCCTGCAGTGAGAACAAACCTCAGAGACTGGCCTGGGAAAACCAGGCACTGCACTCAAACAGATATTGGTACACCCATGTTCACTGCAGCATTATTCACAATAGTCAAAAGGAGGACGCAACACAAATGTCCACTGATAAATGACAGATAAACAAAATGTAATATATACATACAATGGGCTTTCATTCTGCCTAAAAAAGGAAGAAAAGTATGACATGTGCTACAATGTGGATAAATCTTGAGGACATTATGCTTAGTGAAATAAACCCGTAACAGAAAAACATATAATTCCACTTATATTAGGTATCTAGAGTAATCATAGTCATAGAGATAGAAAGTAAAATGCTGGTTGCCAAGGGCTGGTGAAAACTGGGGAATGGGAGTTAGTGTTTAATAAGAGTTTCAGCTTGGGAAGATAAAACAGTTGTGGAGAGCCAGGCGCAGTGGCTCACGCCTGTCATCCCAGCACTTTGGGAGGCCGAGGCGGGTGGATCACGAGGTCAGGAGTTCAAGACCAGTCTGGCAACATGGTGAAACCCCGTCTCTACTAAAAATACAAAAATTAGGTGGGCATGGTGGTGCATGCCAGCTACTCAGGAGGCTGAGGCAGAATTGCTTAAACTGGGAGCAAGAGGTGGAGTCAGCAGTGAGCGAGATCACGCCACTGCACTCCAGCCTGGGCTACAGAACAAGACTCTGTCTCAAAAAAAAAAAAAAAAAAAAAAAAGTTGTGGAGATAGATGATAATGGTGGCAGAACAATGTAAATTGTACTTAATGCCAAATAACTTTATATGTAGAAATTATTAAAATGCTAAATCTTATGTTATATGAATTTTATCACAATTTAAAAATAAAATAAAAAGCCAAGATTGGGAAGATTAGGGGTTTTAATCCACTAAAAAGTCAAAATAAATAACAAAACAGAAAAATGAAAACATTCTGTCACTTATTCCTTTTGACATTTTCGGCACAATGTGGCTGGATATTTTCTAGCTGCTGGAGTATATAGTAGCTTCCTTTACCTGGTGGTGCACTCACCTCCCACTGCTAAGGACTCACAGTTGTACCTTGTCTACAGATGAGAAGCACTCCACACAACATTGATGCCTGGGAGGTTATATGCCTCCAACACACACACACACACACACACACACACACACACACACACATGCACACAAACGTGCACACACACACAGACGGAGAGACAGAACAGCCTGCAGTGAAGGAAAGATTGTTGCAGGTTAAGGTAAAAACTCAGCCCCTCTACCTCAAGGTGAGCTAATTCTGAGATGTCATTCAAGCTCTAGAATTCCCCGAGATTAGGTTAAAGCTAGACTTCTGGGGAACCCACAGGTTTGCTGATCTCTGCCTATCCTATTTTCCTTACTCCTATGGTTTCATCTGAAAGTATTCCCTCAATAAATCACTTGCATATAAGGGATAATATGCCACTGCAAAGAGGACCAAATTTAACTGGATCAGACTGTGGAATAACTTATGCCCCAGGACACTGTTGAAAATAATAATCACCCAGCAATTACTGGAATCTAACAGCCGAATGTGATGCCAACGAAGGCAGAAAGTTTAACAGAGACGTCAGGAAAACAGAAAGTCAAAGAGAGCACTGCTAAAATCACTGTCATTCCAGGGTGACAGCGTATATGCCAGGATTGCACTCTGAGGAGCAACATCAGAGACTTCCCACTGTGAGGGAAATACACTTGATTAGAATAGTCCAAACAAGCCACTAAACAAGCACACAAACAACAACCTGCCCCATGAGTGTTATGGGGTGGAAGGAATCAGCATCGAGAGTTGCTACGTTATCTAAATCGTCCAGTTTTCAACAATAATAACAAAAAAAAACTATGAGGCATATAAGGAAACAGAAGACTGAGACCAATAAACAGAAAAACACGCAACAGTGGCCAGGCGCTGTGGCTCATGCCTGTAATCCTAACACTCTGGGAGGCCGATGCAGGTGGATCACCTGAGGTCAGGAGTTCAAGACCAGCCTGACCAATATGGTGAAACCCCATCTCTACTAAAAATACAAAAATTAGCCGGGTGTGGCGGTGTGCGCCTGTAGTCCAGGTACTTGGGAGGCTGAGACAGGAGAATTGCTTGAACCTGGGCAGCGGAGGTTGCAGTGAGCCAAGATTGTGCCACTGCACTCCAACCTGGGTGACAGAGCAAGACTCTGTCTCAAAAAAAACGAAAGAAAGAAATAGGCAATAGAAACTGCTTATGAGATGGCCCAGATGTTGGATGTAGCAGACTTCAAAGCAGCCATAATAACTATGCTCACAGAACTAAAAAGAAGAAGCAAAGGAAAGTATGATGACAATGTCTTACCAAATAGAGATGGATAAAGAAGTAGAAATTATTTTTTTTAATAATTGGAAATTCCAGAGTTGAAAAGTCAGTAACATAAATGAAAAATTCATTGGAGGGTCCCAACAGTGGATGTGAATTGGCAGAAGGAAGAATCAGTGAATATACAAGACAGTCTGATTATGCAATCAGAGAACAAGAGAGAAAAAACAGTAAGAGAGAAAAAAGAACAGGAGAGAAAAAAGAATAAGGAAAATGAACAGAGTCTCAAATAAATGTGGACATCATTAAGCACACCAGCATACATGAGATGGGAGCACCAAAGTAGAGAAGAGAAAGGAACAGAATGACTATTTAAAGAAATAATTTAAAATTTCCAAAATTTGATGAAAAACATTAACCTACATATCTAAGAAGATCAACAAACTCCAAGTAAGATAAACATAAAGAGATCCATATCCAGGTACATCATAGTAAAATAATGAGAGACAAACGGAAAATCCTGAAAACAACAAGAAACTGCTGATTACATAAGGGAATTCCAATAAGATTAACAGCTGACTTCTCATCAGAAATAATGAAGCCCAGAGGCAGTGGAAAGACATATTCAAACTGCTGGCCGGCGGAGGGGGGGAACCCGTCAACTAAAAATCTTACATATGGTAAAACTATCTTTCAAAAATGAAGATGACATAAAGACATGCCCAGATTTTAAAAAAACAGACAAACAACAACAACAAAAAAAACAGGAAATAGTTTCAAGCAGACCAGCCTTACAAGAAATACAAAAGGAATTTCCTCACGATTAAGAGTGAACTCAGATGACCATTTGATCACACACAGACACACAGACCAGACACACACAGACACACACAAAGAACACCAGTAAAGGTAACTATGTAATTATAAAATACAGTATAAATGCATACTTCTCATTTCTTATCTGATTTGTGGAAGCAGTTGCATAAAACTACATGTACATAATTGTATTGGTGGCATGCAACATATAAAATATATATAGAATATATGTAATACAATGGACAATCACAACACAAAGGATGTATGTGGGAGCAAAGCCATTCTGGAGTAAGAAAATGACACAAGATGACAACTAAAAACCCAGCAACAAATGAAAAGAATCAGAAACAGTAAATAAGAAACTTAATATAACAAACTTTAAAAATACATATTGGTCTCTGTTCTTCTTTCTGCTTCTTTAAAAGACAAAAAATTATAAAAAGTAACAATTATAGTAATGTATTATTGTAATAACACAAAAAAAGGGAAAGAAGGAATATAGCTATATAAGAGTAACATTTCTATACCTTACTGGAAATTAGACTAATTCTGAAGTAGATTCTGAGAGCAACCACTAAGAACTAACTTTTTTCTAAATTCCCAAAAAATCACTAATTAAAATATTACACCAGAAAATATTTGCTTAATGCAAAAGCAGCAGTAAAAAAGGAATAGAGGAGCAAAAAAAAAAAGGAAGAAAGAAATGAGACATAGAACACAAGAAAAACAGCAGATGTGAATCCAACTATGTAAATAATAACATTAAATATGAATAAACAATCAAAAGGCATAGGTTCTCAAATTGGATAAAAATAAGATCCAATGATGTGCTATCTACAAGAGATACACTTTAGATTTAATGACATATTTAAAAGTAAACAGAAAAACATATATCATGAAAAGAGCAACTATAAGAAAGCTGCAGCAGCTATACTAATATCTGACATAACAGACTTTAAAACAAGTCTAGAAATAAAGGATATTTTATGACGGCAAATGGTCAATCAATAAGGAATATATAAAGTATAAACATATATGCATCTAACAACAGAGCCTGAAAAGACATAAAAACTACTCATCATTCAATAATGGATAGAACAACTAAGCAGAAGACCAAAAGGGAATAGGAGACGTGAACAATACTCTAAGCTAATTAGACCTAACAGACCTCTATAGAATACTCCCTCCAACAACAGTAGGATACACAGTCTTCTCAAGGGAACATGGAACATTCTCCAGTACAGACTATGTTAGGCAATAAAATAAGCCTCAATAAACTTAAAATAAACTGAAGTCATACAAATTATTATCTCTGACTGCAATGGGATTAAATTAGAAATTAATAACAGAAGGACATTTTAGAAATTCACAAATATGTTGAAATTAAGCACACTTCTAAATAACCAGTGAAAGAGGAAATAATAAGGAAAACTAAAGATATTTTGAAGAAAGGTAAATGAAAACACACATGCCAAAAAGTTTTAGATGAAGCTAATGCTGTTCTTAGAGAAAAATTTATAGCTGTAAAAACCAATATTAAAAAATAAGAAAGATCTCAAATTAATAACCCAAACTTCCATCGTAAGGTTGGGTTCCATCATAATAAAAAAGAGAGCAACCCAACCCAAAACAAGCAGAAGAAAGAAAGTAATAAAGATTAGATCAGATGTAAATGTAACAGAAAAACAATAGAGAGGCCAGGTGCAGTGGCTCATGCCTGTAATCCCAGAAATTTTGGAGGCAAAGGCAGGCAGATCACCTGAGGTCAGGAGTTCAAGACCAGCCTGGCCAACGTGGCAAACCCTATCTCTACTAAAAATATAAAAATTAGCCAGGCATGGTGGCATGTGCCTGTAATCCCAGCTAGTCGAGAGGCTGAAACAGGAGAATCGCTTGAACCCAGGAGGCGGAGGTTGCAGTGAGCCAAGATCGCGCTACTGCACTCCAGCCTGGGCAACAGAGCAAGACTTCATCTCAAAAAAAAGAAAAAACAAAAACAATAGAGAAAAAAATCAATAAAACAGAGAGTTGGTTCTTTGAAAAGATCAACAAAATTGACAAACCTTTATCTAGAATGACCAAGCAAAAACAAAGACTCAAATTACTAAATTCAAGAACAAAAGAGAGAATGTTACAGAAATAAAAATAAGAAAAAGTTATGAGCAATTATATGTCAACAACTAAAATAATCTAAATGAAACACAACAAATTCCTAGAAAGACACAAACTATCAAAACTAACTCAAGAAAACTAGAAAATCTGAGTATACCTTTAACAAGTAATGAAATGGAATCAGTAATCGAAAACTTCCCAACAAAGAAAATACACATGGCTTAACTGGAAAATTTTACCATATATTTAAAGAATTAACATTAATCATTCACAAGCTCTTCCAAATGTGGAAGAGAAGCGAACACTTCCTAACTCATTCTATAAGGCCAGCATTACCCTGATACCAAAGCCAGATAAAGACATCACCAAAAAAAGAAAATTACAGAGCTGGGCATGGTGGAACATGCCTGTAGTTTCAGATACTCAGGAGGCTGAGGTGGGAGAACTGCATGAGCTCCAGAGTTCAAGACCAGCCTGGGCAATGTAGCAAGATCCTGTCTCAAACATAAATTAAAAAAAAAAATTTTCATGCCAGGCACAGTGGCTCATGCCTATAATTCCAGCTACTCGGGAGGCTAAGGTAGGAGGACTGCTTGAGGCCAGAAGTACAAGATCAGTCTGGGCAACACAGTGAGATTTTGTCTCTAAAAAAATTACAGAAATCCCTCATGAATATAGATGTAGAAATTCTCAATAAAATACTAGCAAACCAAATCCAACAGTATATTAAAGAGGATTATACACTATGGCCAAATGAGATTTATCCTAGGAATGCAAGGGTAATTAAACATGAGGAAATCAATCAATGTAATGTACCACATGAATAGAATAAAGGGGGGAAAAAACCCAAATACTCATCTCAATTGAGAGAGCACCAACTCATTCTATGAGGTATCATTCTCATATCAAAGACATCACACACACACACACAAAAAACAGATCAAAATATCTTATGAATACACATGCAAAAATCCTCAACAAAATACTAGCAAACAGAATCCAACAACATATAAAAAGGATTATACTTTATGCACTATGATCAAATGGGATTTATCCCATGAATACAAAGTTGGTTTACATCTGATAATGTAATATACCATATCAAAAGAATAAGGGACAAAACCACATGATCACCTCAATAGATACAGAAAAAAGCATCTGATAAAATTCAACACCCCTTCATAATGAAAACTAAGAGAACTCCTCAACCTGATAAACAGCATTTATGGAATTCCCACAGCAGTGTATGAGAGTGCCAGTTCTTCTACATCCTTACCAATACATGGTATAGTCAGTCTTTTTTTTTTTTTTGAGATGGAGTCTCATTCTGTCGCCCAGGCTGGAGTGCATTGGCACAATCTCGGCTCATGCATCCTCCGCCTCCCAGGTTCAAGTGATTCCCCTGCCTCAGCCTCCCAAGTAGCTGGGACTACAGGCGTGTGCTACCAAGCCCAGCTAATTTTTGTATTTTAGTAGAGACGGAGTTTCACCACATTGGCCAGGATGGTTTCAATCTCTTGACCTTGTGATCCACCTGCCTCAGCCTCCCAAAGTGTTGGGATTACAGGTGTGAGCCACTACACCCAGCCTCATTTTTTTAGTTGTTTTATTATTATTCAGTCTCAAACACTTCCTTTATACATTCTAGACAGAATTTATTTATTGGATATGCAATTTGCCAATATCTTCTCCCAATCTGTGGCTCACCTTTTCTTTCTTTCCTTTTTTTTTTTTTTTTTGAGACAGGGACTCACTCTGTTGCCCAGACTGGAGTGCAGAGGCATGATCACGGCTCACTGCAACCTCAATAGCTTCTTCAAGGACTAGATATTCTCAATTCTGGTCCAATAAATAAAGTCCAATTTATCAATTTTTTTCTCTTATGTATTATGCTTTTGCAAACAGTATCTAAGACATCTTGGCCTATCCTAAAGTCACAAAGATTTCCTCCTATGTTTTCTAGTAGTCTTATAGTTTTGCATTTTACATTTAGGTCTTGGGTTCATTTTGAGTTAATTTCTAAATATGGTGCAAAGCATGGATCAAAGTTCATTATTTTATGTAAGGATATCCAATTTTTCCACCACCATTACTAAAAAAGACTATCTCTTTCTACTGAATTGCCTTTTCATCTTTGTTGAAAATCAATTGACTGTGTTAATCTATTTATGTGGTTTCTATTAAGTTTCACTGATCTATTTGTTTATCTTGATGCTAGTACCACAGTCTTAATTTCTGTAGCTTTATAGTAAATCTTAAAATCAGGTCTATGGGTCCTCCAATTCTGTTCATCTTTTACCAAGTTAGTTTGGCTAATCTAGGTCCTTTACATTTCTACATGAAATTTAGAATCAGCTTGTCAATTTCTATAAATTTTCATTCTGCTGGGATTTATTCAGATTATCTTGAATATCTAGACTAAGTTGGAGAAAACTGACATCTTAACAATACTGTCTTCCAATCCATGAAAACAGTATGTGTCCACTTACTTAGTTTAGTATCAGCAATGTTAATTTAATTTATATCAGCAATGTTTTGTATTTTTCACATACAAGTCTTCCACATCTTTAGTCAGATTTATCCCTGAGTATTTCATATTTTTGATACCATCAAATTTTAAATTTCAATTTCTGATTGTTGCTAGTACAGAGAAACACAATTGGCTTTTGCATATCCACCTGATTCCTACAACCTTGCTAAACTCACTTATCAGTTCTAGTAGCTTTTCTGTACATTCCACAGGATTTTCTATAATAGTTGATCACACAGTGTGCAAATAAAGACGGTTTTCCAAACTAGATGCTTTTTTTTTAAATGGTCTTATTATACCGGCCTTATATTCAACATTCTAGTACAGTGTTGAATAGAAGTGGTGAGAATGAATATCCTTACCTCATTCCTGATTTTAGAGGAAAAGCATTCAGACTCTTACCACTAAGCACAATTTAGCTCTAGATTTTCATAGATGCCCTGTTTTAAGCTGAGGAATTTCCATTACTAGTTTCTGAGGGTTTTTAAAATCAGGAATTAATATTCGATTTTGTCAATGCTTTCTCCACATATATGATCATACAACTTTTCTTTGTTTAATATGGTGAACAATGTTACATTGATTTTTCAAATGTTAAGCCAGCATCTTTCTTGAAATAAACCTCACTTGATCATGATGTATTCTTCACATATATATACACACACATATATACATATACAGAATATACTTTTTATATAGATGTATTTTATACTTTTAAATCCACATATATGGATTTAATTCTCTAAAATTTTTTGTAAAATCTGTGTGTATGAGGAATACTGATTTAGTTTCCTTTTCTAGTTATGTCTTTCTTTCTTTAGTTCTGGTATCAGGTTAATGTTGACCTCAAAATGAGCTGGGAAATATTCCCTCCTCTTCAATTTTCCAGAAAAGTCTTTGTAGAATTGGCATTAATTCTTCCTTAAAGATGTAGAATCCACCAGTAAAACTATCTGGGCCTAGAGTTTCCTTTTGGGGAAGGCTTATAACAGCAAAATTCCCTTTCTTTAATTGATACAGGGCTATTCAGCTATTTCTTCTTAAGTGAACTTTGATAATACTTTGTATCTTTCAACTAATTTGTCCATTTCTGCTAAGTTGCCAAATGTATGAGCATGAAGTTGTTCATAATATATATACATTTTTTGAGATGGGGGTCTCACTCTGTTGCCTAGGCTGGAGTGCAGTGGCACAATCTCAGCTCTCTACAGCCTTAACGACCCAGACTCTGAGCCATTCTCCCACGTTAGCCTCCCGAGTAGCTGGGACCACAGGCACACACCACCACACTTAGCTAATTTTTGTATTTGTAGAGACAAGGTCTCATTATGTTACCCAGGCTGGTCTTGTATGCCTGAGCTCAAGCAATCCTCCTGCTTCAGCCTCCCAAAGTGCTGGGATTACAGGCATGAGCCACTGCACTCAGCCTATTCATAATATTTCTTAACCTTTTTTTAATGTCTGTAGAATCTATAGTCACGTAACCTCTCTCACTCCCGTTTTTTTGTTTGTTTGGTTAGTTGGTTGGTTTTGTTTTTTTTTTGTTTGTTTTTGTTTTTGTTTTTTTAAGATGGAGTCTCGCTCCGTCGCTCAGGCTAGAGAGTAGTGGCATAATCTCGGCTCACTGCAACCTCCGCCTCCCGGATTCAAGCGATTCTCCTGCCTCAGCCTCTCGAGCAGCTGGGATTACAAGCGTGTGCTACCACACCCAGCTAATATTTTTTTGTATTTTTAGTAGGGACGGGGTTTCACCATGTTGGCCAGGCTGGTCTCAAACTCCTGACCTCAAGTGATCTGCCTGCCTCGGCCTCCCAAAGTGCTAGGATTACAGGCGTGAGCCACCGCGCCTGGCCCTGTTATTTTTAATTTGTATCGTCTCCTTTTCTACCCCTAAAGGTTTATCAATTTTACAGTCTCCTCAAAGAACCAGTTTTGAGTTTCACTGACTTTCTGTATTTCTGTCTCACTGAATACCACTCTGATCTTTACCATCTCCTTTCTTCCACTCTTCTGAATTTCATTTGCTCCTCTTTTCCTAGTTTCTTAGGCTAGGAGCTGAAGCCATTCTTTTCTAGTAGAGGTGTTTGGTGCCATAAACTTCTAACTATTTCTTTAGCTGCATTCACAAATGATATGCTGTGTTTTCATTTTACTCAGTTTAAAATACTTTCTAATTTCTCTTTTGATTTATTTTTTGTGTGTTAGTCAATGACCAAATATTTGGGAATTTTCCAGATAGTTTTTGTTTTTTTGTTTTTTTTAACTACTGATTTCTAATATACTTCTGTTGTGGTCAAAGAACCATGTTATATGTCAGGGCCTGCGGAAAGTTTATCACGTGCTTCTCAGGAAAAGATCAGGCTGAAAAATCCCGCCGCTGAGAAAAAACAATATAAATAAAATGATAAGTCTACAGGCCAGCTAAAAGATAATTAGGAAATAACAACAAAAATTAATCTTAATACTAAAATATTTATGAATAAATTG
Source organism: Homo sapiens (assembly GCF_000001405.40). Taxonomy (NCBI): domain Eukaryota; kingdom Metazoa; phylum Chordata; class Mammalia; order Primates; family Hominidae; genus Homo; species Homo sapiens. The sequence goes on along the minus strand of NC_000010.11, from coordinate 92,850,729 downwards.
ATGTCTTGGATTTCCTTCAAAATAATCCAAGATGATAGGGAGTAGATAAGGGAAGAGATCAAACAAGACTGGCCAGGGAATGAATTGAAGCTAGATGACAGTTCATGGTGGTTCATTACACTATTTTACTTTTTTAAACATTTAAAATTTTTCCATAATAAATGGTTTTTAAAAATGCAATATTAACACTTCACTTCGTGAAACCTGAAAAAAAAGGGAAAAAATAGTAGTAGCTTAAACAATGTTCAAGAGAAAAGACTGCTAGCAGTACCCTCTATATGTGTGCAAAAAGCGTCTGCTTATAAATGAGACACAAATATACATATATATGGGATAAGTATGAGTCACCAGGGATTGCTAAAGAAAAGAGAGTGGGTTCAAACAAAATGAGCCAGTTGAAACAACTGCCCAGCAAAAAAGAACAGAATAACACTATGAATACACATATTCTGTTCCTGAGTGTCCCAAAAATCTCTCAATATATTTCAAATTTTTCTTCTAAGTTAATTTCATCTTTTTTCAAGGACACTACCTAGCACATTTTCCTAAGATGAAGCACCTCCTTCATAACCAGTACTATTTTCACAAATAAACTACTCTAGTAACTTTATCACACACTGCACTCTCAGTTTCAAGATGCAGTGATGAAAACAAAGCTTCCTTTTAATCTTACTTCTTTCATTACCAAGTATACAGTTTATTAAAAGAAATAATAATGTTGGAAAATTAAGGAAATGCACTAATTATGCATTATCATATCATAGCAGAAACCTTATGTGACAAAAATTTATAACATGCCTACCACATGCTTGGTGTTAGGGATACAGTAGTGAACAAATAGGCAAGGTCCCTAATGTTCTGAGTTTCCTGGGCATCTGAATACTCTCCCCTCCCCATTCTACAAATAAGGAAACCGAGATCCAGAGAGGTTAAATAATTTTTTTCCATGACTGCACATTTCATCAGAGGCAGAATTAGGGCAAAACAAGAACCCAGGCCTCCTGACTCTTAAGGGCAAGGTGTATTTACATAACTTGAACTGGCTTCAATTTACACTATATTCACAGGTCCACAAACTGTACAGCGCTCTATTCTAGGAAGTGTATTCTGAAGAATACTAATGATAAAGCATAATCAGTCTCAAGTTCCCTAAGTGAATAATAACTTCATTTATCATTATTATCACTCCAAAAGATGAAACCTTATATGTAAAAGGAACTTATTCTTGAAGACAGTGCCTAACCTAACCCATGGCTCATTACGTTGCCTGGCTAATAATATTCTATTGGAACAGCAGGTACTCAGTTTGGCATGGAATATGCATTACCTAGTACTATTCTTAAAATGAATGGGGAGGAACTCGATTTAAACGGAAAAATTAATGCAATTTTAATGAAATGTTTGTAAATAAGTAAAAGCTGTTCTGCCTCCAAAGCAGCTTAGATCCCGCGAGCGCAGGGTCACCCTAGCGTGTTCCCAAGCAGCAAGCAGCTGCTCTCCTCCAGCCCACGCTCTCTTCTCCAGCCCACGCTCTCTTCTCGCCCACTGCGGCCGCGCGGGGGAGTAGGGGGAAAGCGGGCCGGCGTCTCCCGCTCAATTTCAATTCTCCCACGCCCGCGGCAGCCCGGCGCGCCAGGCTTTCCACCCGCGCGCGACCTGGCACCTCCGTCACGCCGGGTGCCTGCTGTCGACCCTAGCCTGGCATGCCCGCGGCCGAGCAGCCCTCAGCCCCACCACGAGCGAGACGGGGGCAGGCCCCAGAAGTGTCCTCGGGCCCGGGGGCCGCAGCCAGGAGGAGAACGCGGGGCCGCAGCGCGGGGCCCGGGGTTAGAGACCCTGCAGCAGCCACACCCACCGGCTGCGGGGTGACAGCTACAGCGGTGGAGGCAGGCCGCGCCGACAGGTGCAGCCGCCTTCTCGGTCCCGCCCGGGTACCGGCTAGAGTTCCGCCACCCGCGAGCGCCCCCGCCCGCCCCCGCGCGCACCACCTGTCGGGGAGCTTCGCGCGCGGCCGGCGGCGGACGCCCCGCCCGGCTCGTGAGGAGCGGCCGGCGTGGGGCGGGGGGCCGAAGTCCCGGTGGGATGAGATCTTTACCGGAGGGTGGGCCCCACACAGGCGGTGTCGGTGCTCTCGATCTCCTGCAAGATCCGCTCGTGCTCGGGGACGGTGCCCAGACTCTCGCTGTTCTCCGCCATTTTGGCTGGAAGCTGAGGAGCCAGCGAGGCGCGGCGCCGCGGGAACGACGGGGGCGAGCTCCAAGTGGCGCGAGCGCGAAGGGGCGGGGCGGGGGCGGGGCGCTCGGGCCGGCGGCGCGGGGGCGCGCGGAACGCCGGGCAGAAGGCGCGCGACCCGGTTCCCGCCCCCGCACCTGCAGGAGTGAGCGGGGGCTGTGAGCTGGGGCTACGGGCGGCGGCCGGGTACCCAGCTGGCCTCCTGCCCTCTCTCGCGACTAGTCCCTCCTGGGCGTCTTGTGCCTGGCCTTTGGGCTTTAACATATCTCCTTGTCTTCTGTGTGTGCCACACCCTGTGCCACACGCGGGGGTACCGTAGTAATCAGCAAGGTGGACACTCAGATCATCACCCTGAATCTGTAATAAGAGCCACGGGGACATTTAACAAGGGCCTGATGTACTCTGGGTCGTGGGGAGTCAGAGAAAGGAAAACATGCACTCACGAAAAGCAAAATTGCATGTGATAGTAAGATTTATTTTAGGAACGAATAAAGATCCCAGTTGACCATGAAGACCGCTCCAGGTGGATTCATGTCCCCGCCTGCAAGAAGTCCACAGCGGCCAGTCAACTTGGAAATAAATTATAAGCGACATAAAAAATTAAATGATGAGAAGTTAAGACACTTGATGGCAGAGATACCAAAAAAAAAAAAAAAAAAAAAGGCCCAGGGCGATGTGTAATTCATACCAAAGTCCGTGAACTCAGGTGCCCCCAGGTCAGAGTAGCTGGGTTGAGAAGGGGTGAGAGCTCTTGAAAGGGGGTTAGCAGCAGGGAGGTGGGAGAGAGAGGCAGGGAGGCTTGGACAAAGGTATCAGTGTAGAAAAAAGTCGTGCTTAATGACATGTTTGTGGGACACTGAGTAAACCAGTTTGTCATGATCAAAGCAGGGAGGAAGGAAGACTAAACAGGAACAGAATGGAAACCTAGCCTGAGGAACAACTACTTTCTGCTCTACATTAATCCAGGGCTTTGAAAAGCTTCCCTTTGAGTCAACCAAGCTCTTTATCCAGCTGTGTAACTCACTCACCCTTAGTGAGCTTTTACTTGAAACCTACCTCCAGCCTCCTCCCCACAAACATCCTGGGAGGTGGTATTGTGCAATAGTTAGAGCATGAGCTCTGAAGACCAGTGTCCGAAGACATTAATTCTTGGATTAATATCACTTGACAGCTGTGTGACATTGGGCAAGAACCTAGTTCTTTTATATGTCAGTTAAATGACTGTAAATGACAATGGCAGTGTCTGCCTCATATTGCTGTCCCATGGTGTATGAGTTTTCCATTGTTGCTTTAACAAATCACCACAAATTGAGTAGCTTAAAATGACTCAGACATATTATCTTACAGTTCTGTACGTTAGAAGTCTGTCACAGGTCTCACTGGGCTAAAAATCAAGGTGTCAGCATGTCTGTGTTCCTTGCTAGAGACTCTGCGGGAGAATTTGTTTCTTTGCCTTTTCCAGCTTCTAGAGGCCACCCACATACCTTGGCTTGTGGCCCCCTTCCTCCATCTTCAAAGCTAGCAGCATTACATCTCTCTGACCATTCTTCTGTGGTCACATCTTCCTCTGACTCTGACTTAGGCTGGAAAAGATGCTCAGTTTTTAAGGACCCATATGATTAGAGTGGACCCAACCATTTAATCCAGGATAATCTTCCATCTCAGGGTCCTTAACCTTAATCACATATGCAATACCCCCTTTGTCATGTAAAAATAACATATGCACAGGTTCCAGGGATTAGAATGTGAGCATCAGTGGGACCCACTGCCTACCAAACTTAGGAAGGGCCCTATAAAACATTGCTAATGCCCTCCTTCCTATTAATCTGGAATCTTCAGAGCAATGGATTCCAGCTATACACATCCATTGAGCTAAGACAGTCTTCCATTTCCTGCAGAGAGACCTAGCTTTTCATTCTTTTTGTGGGAGGGGATAAAATTTGTCTTCTTTTTTTTATGTTTCAGTTTCAATTTTCAAAAGGTTATTTTCCCCTCTCAAGAACTTCTTAGGTCGAGCACAGTGGCTCACACCTATAATCCCAGAGCTTTGGGAGGCTGAGGCAGGAGGATTGCTTGAGCCCAGGAGTTCGAGGCTGCGGTGAACTATGATAATGAGCAAAATGAGGAGAGCAGGGCATGTGGCACAGGCCAGTTTCCTATTTGACCAATGTCTCCAGCTGGGGAATTACTTTCCTGATCATTCCTTCCCTAGAACTCTACCCCTTTTCTTCACCAGTCCTGATACCTTTTATTCCAAAGCTGGCTCCAAGTGCCCCTGCTCTGGGAAACCAGCCCTGCTTAGGCACTCCTCAGGCCAGCCCTGTTTCAACACCTGCCCATAGAGATTACTTCAACATAAGCAGCAGTATCTTCCCCGAAATTCAAGTGAACATGGAAGGAAGTCCATTTACCACTTCTCCTTCTGAAACAGTTTTTGCTGGTTCCCTCTGAGACTTCTGACAGTTCCGTGAGTACCTGGAGGTTTTAGCTAAGAATTCAAAGCTAAATGTCCTAAATAACTAATTGCACATTTGTTTTGTTTGTTTGGTTGGTTTTTTCGAGACAGAGTTTCGCTTTTGTTACCCAGGCTGGGTAACAATGGCGTGATCTTGGCTCACTGCAACCTCCGCCTCCTGGGTTCAAGTGATTCTCCTGCCTCAGCCTCCGGAGTAGCTGGGATTACAGGCACGTGCCACCACGCCCAGCTAATTTTGTATTTTTAGTAGAGACTGGGTTTCTCCATGTTGGTCAGGCTGGTCTCAAACTCCCGACCTCAGGTGATCTGCCCGCCTCGGCCTCCTAAAGTGTTGGGATTACAGGCGTGAGCCACCGTCCCCGGCCCTAACTGTACATTTTAATCATGGACATAGATATATCAAATATGTCAATGTGGGGTGGGGGAAGCCTATCCAAGGGATAAATGATTTTTTTTTTTTTTTTTTTTTGAGATGGAGTCTCTCTCTGTTGCCCAGGCTGGAGTGCAGTGGTGCGATCTTGGCTCACTGCAACCTCTGCCTCCCGCTTTCAAGCGATTCTCCTGCCTCAGTCTCCTGAGTAGCTGGGATTACAGGTACATGTCACCACATCCAGCTAATTTTTGTATTTATAGTAGAGATGGGCTTTCACCATGTTGGCCAGGCTGGTCTCACACTCCTTCCCTAAAGTGATTGCCCTGACTTGGCCTTCTGAAGTGCTGGGATTACAGGCATGAGCCACCACGCCCAGCCCCAAGGAGTGAATGATTTAACGTCTGCACTGAGAAGGTTGCGGAGTAGCAGGGCACAGACAGGCAGATTGCAGATGCATGTGGAATTATTTTTTGGCAGTGGATATTGACTTCCAGAGATCAATCCAAAATCTCTTTTCAGGACTCCTGGAAGAAGAAAGATACACCAGGAAGACCAGCAGGACAGGAGATGCATTTTGTGTCCAGTATAAAAGTAATTGGCAAAGTAAGGATTTGACTTGTAAATAAACTCTTAGTCATTAGGAACTTAACTTTGCGCCTTTTATCTACAGACTAATGACCTGTCTTGGGAAAGCGCCTCCCTCAGAATGAGGTTGTAGAGTGCAACTGCTCTGGTCTGGCATTTAACTACTTGAATTCAAATTCCAACTCATCTCTTACTAGATGTCAGGCCTCAGGGAGTTACTTAACTTGACTAAGGCTCACGTTCTTCAAGTGTGAATTAAGGACAATAAGAATCCCTAGCTCACCAAATTATGTGAGGATTAAAGAAGATAATATATGTATTATGTTTAGCCTAGAGCTCAATCAACATTAGCATTGGCGACTAGGGTTATCAGGCATTTGCTAGTAAGCCAGAGAGCCCAGCATTTTAGCCTCCTCTTTGATAAAATAAAAATAAAAACCAGACACATAAATGTTCTTTTTCCTAATCATTAAAAAAAAACCTGATTGTGTATCAGGGTTTTCTGCATGTTTGGTGGATGTAAACCAACTGAAATATGTTTCCTGCTTTTGTAGAGAGGGAAACAGGAACATGTCTTTGGGTTGGATTCTTGGTTCCAGACCCATTTTAGTGAACCCTCTGGATCCTGCGCTTTTAAGGCAAGCACCTTTCGTTGTCCTTGGGAGCAGTGCTCACTCATCCTTGGAAGCACATATCATGGTGGTGAACAAATCACTGAGTCTGTCTCCATTTCCAGGAACTGCTCCTACATCAGGCACAGGGACGATGCCTGTATTGTTCACTGCCCAGCCCAGTGCCTTGCATATAGTAGAGGCTCAATTAATAAGTGAATGATCCACATGCAAATACTTGTCGTATTAAGCTTAATGTTGTAAATGGCATGTTTTTCTTTTTTTTCCTTTTTTTTTTTTTCTGAGACACAGTCTTGCTCTGTCACCAGGCTGGAGTGCAGTGGCGCGATCTCGGCTCACTGCAACCTCCGCCCTCCAAGTTCAAGTGATTCCCCTGCCTCAGCCTTCTGTGTAGCTGGGACTACAGGCACGTGCCACCACGCCCAGCTAATTTTTTTTTTTTTTTTTTTTTTTTTGAGACAGAGTCTCGCTCTGTCGCCCAGGCTGGAGTGCGGTGGTGCAGTCTCGGCTCACTGCAGCCTCCACCTCCAAGGTTCAAGCAGTTCTCTCCCGAGTAACTGGGATTACAGGTGCCAGCCACCACGCCCGGCTAATTTTTGTATTTTTAGTAGAGACAGGGTTTCACCATCTTGGCCAGGCTGGTCTTGAACTCCTGACATCGTGATCCACCCACCTCGGGCTCCCGAAGTGCTTGGATTACAGGCGGGAGCCACCGCGACGGCCCACTCAGCTAATTTTTTGTATTTTACTAGAGATGGAGTTTCACCATGTTGGCCAGGATGGTCTCGATCTCTTGACCTTGTGATCCGCCGCCTCGGCCTCCCAAAGTGCTGGGATTACAGGCGTGAGCCACCGCGCCCGGCCAAATGCATGCTTTTAGAGGTAGGGTACACATTTACAAAAAGATTCCCCTCCTCACCCCTGGGAACCCTATCATTATCCTCGCAAAACTTTACATCATTCAAATGTTTCTTAAAGAGTTTTAGAGCTCTTGTTATAGAATTATAGAACTGTATCAAAATGTAAAGTACAGGCAGTCTTTATACATTGGCTCTGATAAACTAATCCTTCCCAGTGGCTTTTAGCCACTCGTTTCAGATGTCCACCGTCGCAGGGGCCCTCCTCCAGCTTCTGCCTTTTTGGTGTGGTGACCCCAAGTGGCCACACTCTGTAAGTGCAAGAGAATAAACAAAGCCCAGCTGGTCTGGGAGGATTCCTGCTGTAAAACCCTGTGCAGGAATCGGCTGTTCCATAAAGATCTGGACCCCACGGTGGAGAACAATAGAAGGAAATTTGAAATTGAAGCCAAATAAAATCAGTTTTTTTCTAAAATACGGGCCAGTCCTCAGAGGAGTTCAAAAGCAACTAGCCCCGGGTTTTGTTCATTCAACAACTATTTTTATTAAATGTTTGCTGTGTACCATGTTCATGTATTAAGCTCTCAGACAGGGCTGGCTCATGGTGTGTGACCTACGCAGTTGCCTTTGGTTCAATACCCTGTCATCACCATCTTGTAATTCTTAATAATTTTTGAAAAAGGAATCTACATTTTCATTTTGCCCTGGGCCCCACAAATTATGTTGCCAACCCTGCCCTCAGAAAAATGTCCTGAAAGCCCTCAAAACTAAACATTTTAAAGTCCACTGAGCAGTTAAAGAACAATATCATTTTCTCTGAGTTCCATTCTCTCTTTCCTTCAAATAACACACCCCCCACCCCACCAACTCCACCACCACCACCAGTTTATAAGACAAGCAATTGTCCCTGCTCCCTACTCTTACCTTCCTTCTCCTTGTTGGTTTTCTTATTCGTCATCCTGTTCAATGCACTCTCTATTCCTCTCTCTTTCCCTGCTTAGCCTTCCTTTACTGCCCTTTGCCCTTTCTCCCTTTCCTCTCCCTTGTCCGATTTTTCTCTCTCCTCTTGGCAAAATAGGATTTGAAATGTAGCTAATGAAATGATGATGATGATGATGATGATGATGATGATGACAGCTGACATTTACTCCCTGGCTAGGGATATTAGCATCCCTAAATCTTCCTATTCCTTACCCTTTTTTTTTTTTTTTTTTCTGAGACAGAGTCTCGCTCTGTTGCCCAGGCTGGAGTGCAATGGTGTGATCTCAGCTCACTGCAACCTCCACCTCGCGGGTTCAAGCAATTCTCCTGCCTCAGCCTCCTGAGTAGCTAGGATTACAGGCGTGCACCACCACACTCGGCTAATTTTTGTATTTTTAGTAGAGACAGGGTTTCACCATGTTGGCCAGGCTGGTCTCGAACTCCTAACCTCATGATCTGCCTGCCTCGGCCTCCCAAAGTGGTGGGATTCCAGGCGTGAGCCACTGCACCCGGCCTGGTTTTTATTCTTCATAGCACTTATTAACACTTTTTTTTTTGGTGTATTTCTGGCTCTTTTCACTAAAATACAAGCTCCCTGTGAGCATGGACTTTCCAGATCTTGATCTTGCTGTATCAACGGCACCCAGACCACTGCCTGTCACATTGTAAATGTGCCATTATTATTTATTTACTAAATGAATGAGTGAATGAGCATTTGCTATGAGACATTACATTTCATTAATACATTTCATGCCTAATTCAACTAATCCTTTCAACAGCTCTATTAGTAATTATAAAGGCAGAATTTGAACCCATATCCTTCTGGTTCCAAAACCCATTCACTTAACCACTAAATAAGCAAAACTGTCCCCCTGGTTGGAATATTTGGCTCCTAAACATAAAAATGTTTTTAAAGTTTTATCTAGTGTTGCAATAAACATCACATAGCTAATGATATCACTTAAATGTCCAGCAAAAATTGGGTAACTGTATAGCCGAGTCTCATAAGACATTCCAGGCTTTTTGGAGGTGCAACAGATGCAGCAAGCCTCTGTCACAGTTAGGCCCAAATTTATTTCTGAACAATTTCTCTGGACTCCATTTTTATGTAGAACGCTATACTATTCTCATTAGAGATTAAATCAGGTCATGATATTGCATTAGTATAAAATATAAGCATTAGTGAATGTGATTTTTCAAATTGACACCTCTCTCCCCTGCATATAATGCAACCAAAATAAAATTTACATTACTGTAAGCCAGGCACAGAAATGCAAATACTGCATGATCTCACTTATATGTAGAATCTAAAAAAGTTGAACTCAGAGAAGTCGAGAGTTGAATGGTAGTTACCAGAGGCTGAGGAGAGACATAGATGGGAAAAGGAAAGATGTTAATCAAAGATGTTAATCAAAGTTTCAGCTGGACGGGAGAAATAAGCTTTGGTGATCTACTGCACAGAATGGTGGCTATAATTAATAATAATAATATACTGCGTATTTCAAAATTGCTCAAAGTAGATTTTAAGTGTTCTCACCACAAAAAGTATGTAAGGTGATAGATATAATAATTAGCTTGATTTAATCATTCTACACTGTAAACAGACAGTGAAACGTCACGTTATACCCTATAAATAGGCTGGGTATGGTGGCACACACCTGTAATCCCAGCACTTTGGGAGGCCAAGGCAGGCGGATTTCTGGAGTTCAGAAGTTCAAGACCAGCCTGGACAACATGGCGAAACCTCGTCTCTACAAAAAATACAAAAACTAGCCAGGCATGGTGGCACACACCTGTGGTTCCAGCTACTCAAGAGGCTGAGATGGGTGGATTGCTTGAGCCCAAGAGGCCACTTGAGCCAAGACTGTGCCACTGTATTCAAGCCTGACTGACAAGAGACAGACCCTGTCTCAAAAAAAAAAAAAAGTTCTACACTCTAAATATATGCGATTATTATTTGTCAAATTAAAAAAAGTTTTAAAAAATTTACATAACTCAATATTTCACACCTGCTCAGAATTTCAAGGTGTTATGCATGATTGTTTACTTCAGGACTCTAAAGTATGTATTTATTAAGTCATACTAGAATATCCATCCCAAATGGAAACTAGACAATAATAGTCAACACTAATATTTATTATTTACTCTGTGCCAGCCAACTATTATGCTAAGCACCCTATAGACACTAATTATTTGAGATAGGTTTTATCATAATCCCCACTTTATAGTTTCAGAAACTAAGGCCAAAATCATACAAGTAGTAAATGTTCAGTCCAGATTAAAATCTAGACCTTTGATCTTAATGAATATACTTGATAAAATAAGATTTAATACAAATCTTACATTTATAAAGATATAAATAGCAAGAACATTCTAGAACATCCACAGTTAAATTTAACTACTTATTTTTTGTTTTAGTATGTCATTCTAAGATTTTATAGTATATACAGTTTAGGGTTTTTTTTTTTAATGTTTTCTTTCCTTTCCTAAAAGCACGTTATCTTTATTCCTAAAAACATTAAAGTCAAAGAAATATGATATCCTGTTTGCTCTTAAACTGATAAAACTTCATGGTCAGCTTTTGGAAAAGTGCCTGAGAGAGTCTGTGAATACAAGTGTAAAACAATTATGTTATCATAAAACAATTACAAAAATTTCTTCTGGTACGTCATCTTGTACAATTCCCTTTTCCTCCTATTTTTCCCAGCCCTCTGCAGGGCCTTCTTTAGACATCCACCCCCGCCCCACAGCCCCCCACCTTTCTACCTCCCACTAACTTTGCAGTACCCTACAATGTGTCCATGATTTTATCATCTCAGGCTCAGCTACAGCCACAAAACATGCTGTGACTTCTGAACCCAAGTCGGTTCAGACATTGTGACCTCAGGACCTGTTCTAAGGGGCTAACAACACACCTGCAGGACCCCAAGGGGCATCACGAGCCCCAGGCTACATCCAGGTCTGAGTCAGTATCCAGGGGAGCAGGTCTGATGGGTGATGCCTGACAGCAGGAAGTTCTAGTGTGAATATGGTAAATAAATGTTATGAACACTGCTACTACCCTATCCTAGGACCATACTACCGTCACTAATTTATCAGGATCATCCTCAATATGAAGATTCAGGCAACCATTCCCAATGCATTGAATCGATATGCTACTTGAAACCTATTGACCATCCTTGTGCAAGGAATTTGATAATACTGAGTAAAACAGGGACTAATGTTGTTTCCTCGAACATGGCCCCGGACAGCCATTAAGTCTCCCAGGGACAGTCACGCCCCCTAGCGGAAGGAGCTGGCAAGGAGCCAGGCACATCTACACCAGATGGAGAGGCTACAGTGAAAATCAGGAAACCTAAACAGAATGAGAACATCCAGTGGAAATTAGCCTGTGGTTGCAAGCAATGAAAACAATGATGCCCAGGGCAAAAAGATTAGGGCAGCAAAACTAGTTGCAGACTTTACCTGCCCGTAAGTTTCAGCCTACCAATATTCTGCAAGCTAGGGGATTTTTTTTTTTTTTAGAGGAGTCTCACTCTGTCGCCCGGGCCAGAGTGCAGTGGCCCGATCTCGGCTTACAGCAACCTCCGCCTCCCAGGTTCAAGTGATTCTCCCGCTTCAGCCTCCCAAGTAGCTGGGACTACAGACGTGCACCACTACGACTGGCTAATTTTTGTATTTTTCAGTAGAGATGAGGTTTTGCCATGTTGGTCAGGCTGGTCTTGAACTCTTGACCTCAAGTGAGCTGGCCTTAGCCTCCCAAAGTGCTGGGATTACAGGTGTGAGCCACCGTGCCTGGCCTAGGTAGGGGATTTTGAATGGCCAAAGCTAAACCATGCTGGGACAACACAGGCACTGACAGTAGGCCTTCCTTTACATTTCTCCCTTTTTTCTTAAGTTCAGTCGCCATCTGCATGGCTAACATCAAATTCTACTTTTCCACCGTGGTATTTTCTTCCCCAATTCAAACTCTATAGTTGGCTGAGATGGCTTTAATGGATGTTTCATTGGCAATGCAAATAAACCTTGGGAAAAGTATAGAGTCTCAGCTCTCTCCTGAAACTATCTTTCCTTCAAACTTAATGCTATGGGCCTTAAACACCATTTCACACACAAAATGAAAACAAATGCAAGACCTCAGAATCATCTGATTCTTGTCCACTCTTTCAAAAAGAGGGCCAAAGGAGCCAACACAAGGGCTCATTGGGAAAGTCAGGCAGGAAACGAGCTGGACCATCTGGAAGAAGCTTGTCCTGGGAGTAGCCATGTATAAAGTCAGGAGGTGGGAAGAACACAGCCTGGTGGGGTGAAAGGCATTATAGGCCATTGACAATGACTCTTGGTCGCCACAACCCACTCATGACGTCTGAGACAGAGGAGACTTGTTTTCCCAGATGATGTGTGGGAATGAGTATGCGGGAAGGTTTGAATGCTCTGCAAAAGAAGTGCCGTTCAGTTACCCTTGAATTACACTGGTAGAAACCATCTCTTGAGTCCTGAGTCACTGAGCTCTCTGAGCTCACCTTTTTAGGGGAGCAAACTCCACCTGGCCCAGATATGAACTCTGACCTCAAATAGGCCACCTCAGGTTGCCTACCTGCAAAACAAGGTGGGCAGGGAAAGGAAGCTAACAGAGTTCAGGATTTTACAGCAGAAAATATTTGCCAAAGCAATGCCTTTTTTCTGTGACAGGGAAAAACACGTAGGTAAACGCTTCAGTATTCTCTCTACCTCAATTCCCAGGTGTAAGCTTTTCCCTGGGAATGTTTCTCTCTTGCATTTCCAGTCCCAGTATCCTAACCTTTCTCTCACTGTTCATTCCGGGGCCTCAAGGCAGGGCCTTCAGCTGCCTCCAGCCAAACTCCTTTTCCACCCTCTCAACCCTTATAGCTTATAGTTTTCTTTTGGTTTTGGTTTTGGTTTGTGTTTGGAGACAGGGTCTTACTCTTGTCACTCAGGCTGGGGTGCAGTGGCATGATCACAGCTCGCCGCAGTCTTGACTTCCTGGGCTCAAGTGAGCCTCCCCCTTTGGCCTCCCGAGTAGCTGAGACTACAGGCACAAGCCACCAACTAATTTTAAAAAGTGTTTTATAGGGACAGGGTCTCACTATGTTGCTTCAGCTGGTCTTCAACTGGCCTCAAGCGATCTCCCACCTCAGCCTCCCAAAGTGCTAGGATTACAGGCATGAGCCACTGCATGTAGCCAGAGCTTGACGTTTTAAAATACTTCCTCCTCCTTCTCTTCTTTGCTGAAATGATGACATTCTTGCTGGACTGCCTCTTTTCACTTTTATTAGAAAGGTAAGTATTTTCGTCACCATTAGCCCATGAGCTCGTATGAATCACATTCTTAGGGGCTTCCACAACTGAATATTCACATCTAGATGGGGATTCACAATGGAATATTCACATCTAGATAGGAGAGGCTTCAAAGAATTCAGAGCATTTGTTCTGGCTTGTGTGTGTGTGTGTGTGTGTGTGTGTGTGTGTGTGTGTTATGTTATAACCATTTCAGGCTAAAGATTCCTGAGGGCAGGGCCTGTGTCTTACTTATATCTTAGTAACCTTTATAGAGTTTCCACAAGGCCTAGCACCTAGCAGCTAGGTAAGTAGCACTAGAAAGAGCATTAGAGCTATGCCTTGCAAGATACATTGGGTTTTAGCAGGCAGAAAGAAGAGCGAATAATAGGGGAAAGGAACCCTAAGCTCCAGGAGGCATATTGTCAAATAGCAGAGTCTAGTTTGACTGAAATGAGAGTCCTGTCATTATTTTTCAACCCTCGTATTTGGCCACATGAGCTGATGTGTTCCTTAAGCACAGTTACAGTAGAAAATCAGCGACACACGTACATATGTATGGAAAGGCATCAAATGCCAATCTAAGAAATCTTCATCTAATCAACTTATTAGATGAACAGTTTAGAAAATTAGGAAAGCTTTTTGTTGAATACTGTCCCAGATAAAGGCTTGTTAGGGGGTTGCAACTTCACTCTACCCCCCAAAATAACATCAGTGTGTTTTAACAGTAGCCTTTGGAAAGGAGTGTTCTCACCCTTTTTTATACCCAAACATTAACCTAACAATTGGCATTTTAGGCCCACTGCATGGTCGTGACAGGGTAGCACCCGGGGAACATATCTATGCAGGCTCTGCCCTTGAGGGTGATGCTGAGAGAGTGCTGTGGCTGCCAAATCTAAATGATTTTTTGCTGTAGAAAGACAAGGTACAAGATTGGTACCAGGGATATTTTTCCTAAGAAGAGAAGGTAAAAAAGATCCAAGCACCAAGAAAGGAAGTCAAGTCCAACACCAGAGACAGACTAGCCGACAGGTTAGTTCTAAGGACAGACAAAGTCTGTAGATGTTGGCCAGTGTTGTGAGACCGGGGAGAGGTAGAAAGGGTTACAAGTTGAAGGCCAAGGGCTCTGAAGCAGCAATGGGAGCAGAGGCCATGGCCTAAAACACATCTAGGCTCCCTTCACCCTTTCTCTTGTTTCCACTTAGACTTAGCCACCTAGCATCTAGCACTTAACTACCTAGCACCTGGCACTTGACCACCTACCTAGCCACTAGGTGGATGCACAAGTTTTAGAAGGCAATGGTACAATTTAAAGTATGCCCCATATGGAAAAAAATTGTTGAGTTTTCCATTGCTACAAAGCTCTGATTTCTGCTATTGAAAATTACCAGCTCTTTTTCGCAGAATATTTATGATGCTCAGATAAGACAAAGGTATATGTAATAGTTATAATGGAGTTGTAATTATTTTGCAACTATACCTACATATTGATAATCCAAGAATCAACCAACAAATCTCAATTGTTTACCATGTCCCTAACACTACCCTAAGACCTTTGAAGATATTCAAACTATGTTTAATGCAAAATAAGATTTAAATAGCTGGGAGAAATTTATTCAGGTTTAAACTTTAGTGGATTTAGAAGCTCTTGGCCCTGGGGTCTTTCTGAGAATGAAGAGGTCACACACACACACACACAGATACACACACACACATATCCTTCCACTTAATCTACAAATATTAGTCAACAAATATTTATTGACTGTCACTATCAAATTCAGTGATGAATATCTTGTTCCCACACTGATAGGTGTCAGAGACAGGCAGACATAGAGAATTAAATTTTAAAAGCTGCCCTTTGAACACAATGACACATAGTTTTTCATTTTAATCCTGTTCTTGAACTGTGAAAATTAATACCCACATTACCAAAGAAGCTATTTTTAAACCTTATATATTGGTATTCAAGAAAATGTTAAAAAAGAAAAAATAAATAAACCTTATATGGAAACAAAATAATACATATCTGAATGGTCACCATACACTCAAGAAAGCAGCTACAATACAAATAAATGGTCTACATTTTTTCCTATGACTCATATCCACCCAAATGTAAATTGGCTTCATTGATATGTCTAATTGTTCTGAATGTTTTTCACTAAGTGATATGTTAAAGAAAACAATTGAAACCTCATATAAATTTATTTGGAGGTGATTGAGGTCCTTTTTGATCATTTGAAAGTCATAGTTTTTAATCTTATGGTGATGAGTTAGGAAACATGCAAAATAAAATGGATTAATTATGTCCTGTAATCTCTCTAAGGATAAGAAAACTTTGAGATTAAGTATATACAGAACTGTAACTGTTTTGCAAGAATATTTTTTACTCTTATAAAGAATTATAAAAAGCAGGGTAAAGGACCACCTTATCACCGCTAAAGAAGACACAATAAAATGCAACGGTGCCCTACCTTAAAGTAGCTTCAACAGGCAGTTCGAAAGACTGAATCTCAGCCAGGACATTCTCATAGGTTTGATCTGTTTCTTCTTCCAACATCGCTCGACAGGCCCCTAATTTTCCAGCTGCAGATGTCAGATATTGAGTGAAAAACTGTTGTAATTTATAAAAAAAAAAATACCGTTTTCCTTATAATTATTAGAAGGATTCTCTGTTCACCCAAAGGAGCAACAAAAACAAGCTCACTGTCTGACTTCATGCTATAAAAGTCTTTGCTTCCAAGAATGTTGCACAGCTGTTGCTGTCCTGTTTCCACTTATAACATTTTACTTACTATTAACCTTGACACAGTTCGGAAAGTTCCTGCCTAGTGCCAGCTATATTTATTCACTCGTTTCTCAAAGACAATAACTATATGTAGGAATTACAGTCATTACACTATACAAATTTATTAAATGCATTTGATTTGACAAGGCATATATATTAATATTATTTATGCTAAATACATAACTAAAGCTACATTCCTAGTTATTACCGCAACTATGCTTCCAGAAGCATTTGTATTTGTGGGCAAGGGCTTGCCCACAAACCCAAGGAGGTAATTTGCCCAGGAAAAATGAAATGTGCTATGGGATGTGATTTTGAGGTCACTAGGCTAATTCCTTGGTGCCCTGTCTATCTCCTTTGCTTCTCTACTTTGCTGTGTCAATTTCCTCCATTAGAGATAGAGCCATTAGTTCTTTTATCTCTTGTTCAAATACAAATGCTTCTGGAGGCATTTAGATCTTACTCCTTTTCAGTTCCTTATGCCTCACTGTGAATGAGTTTGCTAGATCCCTTCTGCAGAATAGGTTTTGATGGAGAGGAAGAAAGAGAATGAAGATGTCAGGGTTTTAAGAAGGCTAGCTGCCACCGAGAGGAAGAAAGAGTGCATGAACTAGAGGCCCAAAACAGCAAAGGAAAATGTGCCCTACAACCAGCCCCAAGTAGGCCTAAAGAACTAACGGGCATGTATTTCCCATTACCACTTGCATTCGATCTTCTTCAATTCAGTTTAGCCTCAGCTTTCTTGCTTAATACAAGAAATACAATATTTAAAGGAATGAGTAGTGACATTCTTCCATAAGAAGCTTTTTATTTTTTTTTGTTTTTATCAGACTTTTTTAAAAGCTCTGACCAAAAATTGACGTTTGTTCTCTTAAAAATGTAGTATTCAAAGCATGCTATAACTACAATCTATGGCATTTGTCATAGATTGCATCAGTTTGTCACCCCTGCCTGCATCCACACCCTTGCCAGTACTTCACTGTGGGCACAGTATTTGTCGTCCCATGACTTTGGGCTCAGCCATGTGACTTCTGCTGGCCAGTGATATACATAAGCTAAAATAACAGCATGTGAGTTCTGAGCCTGGACTTTCTAAAGCCTCTAAGGCATTTTTCTGTTTGTCCTCTTGCACCTCTGCCATCACCTAAGAAAAGCATTCCCTGAGAGCTACATGAGATAGAGTCATCCCCACTGGTCCACAGACCTTCAGGGGAAAGTATATATTTTCATCTAGCTGCAGCAGCCTGAAACAGAACTGCCTATTCAAATCCACTCTGATGAGCCAAGCCCCAACTGAACCACAGACACAAGAGCAATACTAAATGACTGTTGTTTTCAGCCACAGACTGATGGGTTATACAGCAATGGCAAACCAATGCAGCATTCTTCACTTCAACCCCACCAATAGCCCCCAACCCTCAGCCCTAGTTTTGCTCCATGGCAGGATGGAACAAATGCAGCACCAATATGGCTCACACCATTTCCCAATAAGA
This sequence comes from Homo sapiens, assembly GCF_000001405.40. Lineage (NCBI taxonomy): Eukaryota > Metazoa > Chordata > Mammalia > Primates > Hominidae > Homo > Homo sapiens. The sequence goes on along the minus strand of NC_000010.11, from coordinate 92,833,017 downwards.
TGAGTAAGTCCTTTGAGACTTGACAAAAAATAATAATTTTCAATCTATCTTAAAGTTCTTGGCACAGTGGCTCACACCCGTAATCCCACCACTTTGGGAATCCGAGGCGGGTGGATCACTTGAGGCCAGGAGTTCGAGACTAGCCTGGCCAACAGGGCGAGACCCTGTCTCTACTAAAAATACAAAAATTAGCTGGGCTTGGTGGCATATGCCTGTAGTCCCAGCTACTTGGGAAGCTGAGGCCCAAGAATCACTTGAGCCCGGGAGGTAGAGGTTGCAGTGAGCCAAGATCGGGCCACTGAACTCCAGCCAAAAAAAAAAAAAAGTTCTTTATGTGCAAGGTTTTAAACTTATACCAAATTATAAGATTATATGTGTGCAGAATGTCTATCTGATTCATATCTGTATTCCCCATAATGCTTAAGAGTGTACACCTTGTAGGCCGGGTGCTGTGGCTCACACCTGTAATCCCAGCACTTTGGGAGGCTGAGGTGGGTGGATCACCTGAGGTCGGAAGTTCATGACAGGCCTGGCCAACATGGTGAAACACCATCTCTACTAAAAATTAAAAAATTAGCCGGCTGTGGTGGCGGACGCCTGTAATTCCAGCTACTCCAGAGCCTGAGGCAGGCGAATCGCTTGAACCCGGGAGGCGGAGGTTGCAGTGAGTCGAGATTGCACCACTGCATTCCTGCCTGGGTGACAAGAGCAAAACTCCGTCTCAAAAAAAAAGAGTATACACCTTGTATACAGTTATAGTAGATACTCAAGAAATGCTTATCCAATGAATGAATGATTGTGAAAGCTACTAGCTGAGTTACCTCTGCCTTGTAAGGAAATGGTGCAAATTATGCAAAAATCTGACAATTCTAGATTGTGTTTGTCAGAACCTGAAAATACATAAATACATGATGAGAAATCACTCTTAAAAGAGCCATCAGCATCACTATATTACATTGAAGAGAAGAAAATTCATAAATAATGCCACATATTCATGAACACATACATCTGTGATGACTGATCCAGTTCTAAATATCACATGGTTTTAAAAATTCATTCTTCTCTCCACACAGCACAAATTTTAATTTTGAAAATTTTCAAACTTATAGAAGAATTACAGGAAGAATATAATGTGAACAAAAATATACCCTTCATCTGATTCACCAACTGTTAATATTTTGCCACATTTACTCTCTTTCTCTCTCTCTTTATTCAAGGAGATTTTAGAATGTAGGCATATGCTCCTAATATTGGAGAGAAAATATATTAATTTAAATAGAATAGGCTGGGCGCGGTGGGTCACACCTGTAGTCCCAGCACTTTGGGAGGCCGAGGCAGGCGGATCACCTGAGGTCAGGAGTTGAAGACCAACCTGGCTGGCATGGTGAAACCCCATCTCTACTAAAAATACAAAAAATTAGCCAGGCATGGTGGCACGCACCTGTAGTCCCAGCTATTCGGGAGGCTGAGGCAGGAGAATTGCTTGAACCCGGCAGGTGGAGGTTGCAGTGAGCCGAGATCACGCCATTGTACTCCAGCCTGAGTGACAGAGTGAGACTCCAACTCGAAAAATAAAAATAAAAAAAAAATAGAATATAGTATAGAAGAATACTATACTCTAAAGTAGTTTAATTAACAAACCACTATTGCTTTGACTTACTGTCACTGCATGACCCCGCTCCTCCTACACAGCACATTCATCCTCTTCCGGTACAGCCGGCTCAGCCTGGAGATTCAAGGTCTTCTGTCCTGGTGGCCCAGTTGCTTCCCTCTGCTCCTCAGCTCTCCCCACCCTCCCTCTACTCCCACCCCACTGTCTTCTGCTCCTCTCAGTCCTGCTAAGTGCAGTTTCTGTCTGCCTCTTACTTTCTTCTACACCGTAGGAGACACGGGCAACAACTTCCTGTTTCCACTGGCTAAACCAGCATCTTCCTTTTATTCAAAACTTTCCTTGAGTGCCATTTCCTGCCGGAAGTTCGCACAGATTAAATGAACAGGAGAGGCTCTCCTCCCAAAAGTAACAGAGAAAACAATCTCCCCTGTCTCATAGTGCTAACAACAAATTCATCAAATGAGGAAAAGAAAAGGAGGAAGTGGAAAGTTTTGAAACAGCCATATTCCAAGATGCCCATAAAAAAGAATGGCGTGTGTGACTGGAATGTTCCCAGTCTGGACCCTTAACCTCTCCTCCCACCTGCAGCTCAAACTCTTTGACTACTTCCTAGGATTAAGTCTGACCACTGACAAGAGAAGTTTAAGTGACCCTAGGCTAGTGGTTCTCAACTGGGTGATCTTGTGGGTCCCCTGCTCGAGGGAAATGTCGGGAGACATATTTGATTGTCACCGTGGGAGGTGGGTGGTGCTACTGATATCTAGTGAGAATGGGCCAGGGATACTGCTAAACAACCTACAATGCACAGCACAAACCCCCACCTGACCCGCAACACACATACACATGAATTATCCAGCCTGAAATGCCAGTAGTGCCCAGGCTGAGAAATCCTGCCCCAAGCTGATCTTTGGGACACACCATCAGGCTGTGTGTGAAGTTGATATAGTCCTGTTCCTTGGGGCCCTTTTCTGGGCCTTTTTCTTTTTTCTCTATAACTGAGTCACTGTCCCATTAGTCTGCTAGGAACCCCTGTCCCTCTAGAACTGGAAATTAACCTTTTTTTAAGTAAGTTTATTCTTCAAATAAAACTGCATCAGTCGCTCACCTTTCTCACTCCATCACCAGGACTAGATTCCCAGGCTCCTTGCTCTGTACTGGAAACACTAGTAGGAAGCATTATGTTTGTTACGAGAAAGGGGTCCCAAGAGAGGGTTCTTGGATCTCGCACAAGAAGAAATTTGAGGCAAATCCATAAAGTGAAAGAAAATTTATAAAGCAAATAAAGGAATAAAGAATGGCTACTCCATAGGCAGAGCAGTGGCATGGGTGCTCAGCTGCTTATACTTATTGTTACTTCTTGATTATTTGCTAAACAAGGGGTGGATTATTCATGAGATTTCTGGGAAAGGGGTGGGTGATTCCCAGAATTGAGGGTTCCTCCCCTTTTTAGACCATATAGGGTAACTTTCTGACATTGCCATGGCATTTGTAAATTGTCATGGTGCTGGTGGGAGTGTCTTTTAGCATGCTAATGCATTATAATGAGCAGTGAGGATGATCAGAAGTCACTCTCATCACCTTCTTGGTTTCGGTGGGATTTGGCTGGCTTCTTCACCACAGTCTGTTTTATCAGCAAGGTCTTTGTGACCTGTATCTTGTGCCAATTTCCTATCTCATCCTGTGACAGAATGCCTAACCTCCTGGGAATGCAGCCCAGTAGGTATCAGCCTCATTTTACCCAGCCCTTATTCAAGATGGAGTCACTCTGATTCAAATGCTTCTGACATGTTCATGTGTTTCATTGGCACAGGTGCCCCCTCTACAATTCACAGTCTCTAGGAAACATATCTGGGAAACTGGGGACAAGGCAGGGGTGCCCCAGAAGGTAGTGAAGTGGTGTTGTTGTCTGGCGTTGTTGTCCGAGGTTCATTGCCTCATGCCAAGGAAATCAAGGACATGGACACGTATGGAGTGAGGTTAAGAGCAGAGGCTTAATAGGCAAAAGAAAGAGAAAGGAGAACAGCTTCCTCTCCTGAGAGAGAGAGGGGCGCCCGAATGGGACTTCCAGCCTGTGGGGAGTGCATCGGATTTTATAGACAGGCTTGAGGAGGTGGTGTCTGATTTGCATAGGGCGCACAGATTGGCTGGACCAGTTGTGACGTTTACATAGTGCATGAAGAAGCTGGCCACCCTACCCTAATCTTATCATGCAAATGGGCTTACCACTTGGCCAGCCCCATGTTGTCTGCTCCCTATGGCACATGTGGTTGGAAAGGAAAAGGGAAGATGGAGCAGTCATTTTGAACATGCTTAGTCCCAGGTGGCCTTTCCCTATTGGCACAGCTGCCAGCATTCTACCCGCGCAAGCTTCTAGCCTGCCTTTCTACATCTGTAACTCGATTTTACAGGCTCCTCTTTGTTAGAAAAGAAAATGATTTGGAGGCTGCTTTTCATTAAAAGGAAAAGTTTACGGAGGACTTCCTTACTCTATCTGCCGAAATAATTTCTTCTTAACTCCTCTATCAGTAGAAGAATACCAGATGAAAGTGGCCCACCCCTGGCAAATATCACCTGGTGTTTAATCCTGCTCAGTCTTGGCGGAGTTGGAGTTTTCCCTCCTATCCTTAACCCACTACTTCTTGTGCATTTTGAAGGGTCCACAAAAAAAAAAAAAATACACACACACACACACACACACACACACACACACACACAGACACACAAAACTCAGCAACCTAGAAATAGAAGTCTATTAAAAAAAAAAAAAAAACTGGCGGGGCACAGTGGCTCACACCTGTAATCCTAGCACCCTGGGAGGCTGAGGCTGGCAGATCACCTGAGGTCAGGAATTTGAGGCCAGCCTGGCCAACATAGTGAAACCCTGTCTCTACTAAAAATACAAAAATTAGCCAGGTGTGGTGGCACACATCTGTAGTCTCAGCTACTTGGGAGGCTGAGGCAGGAGAATCACTTGAGCCCGGGAGGCCGAGGTTGCAGTGAGCCAAGATCGCACCACTGCATTCCAGCCTGGGTGACAGAGCAAGACTCATTAAAACAAGCAAACAAAGAAAACACTAATATCTTGTTTGCTGACTAAATGCCAAACATTGACCACCTCATCTCAGGAAAACAACAATCACTAGCTCTATTCAAAATTGTCCTGGAAATCTAGCCAGTGTAATAAGTCAAGATAGGGAAATAAAAGACGTAAAGATTGGTAAGAAAGAAGAAAAATTGATATTTGCGGAATACATGATTGTATATGTAGAAAATCTAGAGAGATCAACAAACAGAGTTAATGAGTGAATCTAGCAAGCACTCTAGACCAAAAAATGCTCATCTGTATACTAGCAACAGGTAGGAAATGAAATACAAAATCGATACCATATACAAAAGCAGCAAAATACGTCAAATATCTAGGAATGTTATATGCTACTGACTAGGATTTGGGGAGCTAATGGGCCATAGCTGAAAGTGCCAACAGAGTCACAAAACATTAAGGAATGTTAAGGTCCAAGATTTCAGAAAGGCAGAATGAGAGTTCCCAAACCCAGTGGAGCCAGAGGTCAGCGTTGAATTGGGGGCCTGTAAGATGAGCAAAAGTCCAAGAAAATCAGGAGCAACAAAGGTGTGGGAACCCCTGAGCCTAGAATGACCTTTAGCTCTTGCAACTTGCTTTTCTGGAATCATCTGGTCTGTGAGGGGATCTTCTGGCTTTAAGGGTCAGAGGTGATGCCACAGATAGCAGCAGCTTTTTCTTTGCCACAAGATATCACTCACCTGTCCCCTCCAACATGCTACCTTATACAAATCTGATAGTGTAAGCTGAAAGACAGAAATGCTGCCCAGGGTGTACACAGGTATTTTGCACTTCCTCTCCATTATACTCAACATGGGGATTTTTTTTTTTTTTTTTTTTTTTTTTTTTTTTGGCAACAGGGCCTCACTCTGTCGCCCAGGCTGCAGTGCAGTGGTGCCATCTCGTCTCACTGCAACCTCCGCCTCCTGGGCTCAAGCCATCCTCCCACCTTAGCCTCCTGAGTAGCTGAAACCACAGGAATATGCCACCATGCCTGGCTAGTTTTTGTACTTTTTGTAGAGATGGGATTCCTCCATGTTGCCCAGGCTGGTCTTGAACTCCTGAGCTCAAGCGATCTGCCCACCTCAGCCTCCCAAAGTGAGGGATTACAGGTGCCAGCCACCACGCACAGCCAAGTTTAATATTTAAAAAAAAATACTGTGTGGGCCATGGAATGCACCATAGGCACATTAGTCCTATAGACATGGTTTACATGGAGCGCATTCATAGGAAACTGTTATTCATTCATTCAAATAATATTCTTTCAAATAATATCGTTATGAATCAGACACATATCCTGCTTTTAAAATGATCTACAAGCACTCCATGTTCTGCCTCTCCCTCTGCCCTAGACTGCCCTGATGTCATCTCTTGCTCCTTACCTGTGTTTCATTCCACTTCAGTTGCACTGACCTCAGTGTTCCTCACACTTTACCAGGCATGCTCCACCTCAGGGTTTATGCTCCTGCTCTCCCCTCTTTCTGAAATGCTTTTGCCTTTGATATTCACTTGGCTCACTCCTTCAAAAATCACCTTCTCAATGATGGCTTTGCTAAAAATAAAATCCAGCATTTTAACCTTGAGCTGGGACTCTCTATCCCCACCTCACTCCCTCTGCTTTGTTTCTGTCCCATAGTACTTTCTGTCTTTGGACACACTGTACACTTCACTTGTTTATTATCTGTCTCTTCTATAAGAATGCAGATTAATGAGCACAGGGAATTTTTTTCTGTTTTGTTCACTGATACATCTCCAGTGCCTAGAACTGTGCCTGGAAATAGGAGACACTCAATAAATATTTGCTGGATGGACAGATGGATGGATGGACAGACGGACGGACAGACAGACGGATGGACGGACGGACGGATGGATGGATGGATGGATGGATTTTAAAAAATGAAGAAACACACAGATAAGAAAGGAAAAAAATAGTTTTAATACATGAAGGCAAAAGACGAGTGCTAGAAAAGAAGAAGGGATAAAAAAATGCCAGGAAAAGCAACCCAAGCACTCACCAATGGATGAATGCATCAGCAAAATGTGGTATAAACATGCAATGGAATGCGATTCAGCCTCAAAAAGAAAGGAAATCCTGTCACGTGCTACAACATGGAAGTACCTTGAGGACATTATGCTAAGTGAAATAAGGTAGTCACAAAAAGAAAATACTGTATCATTCCACTTATACGAGGTATCTAAAATAGTCAAATTCATAGAAACAGAAAGTGGAATGCTGGTTGCCGGGGTGAGGGTACAGGGGAGATGGGGAGTTGTTTAATGGATATAGAGTTTCAGTTTTGCAAGATGAATACGTTCTGGAGATCTGTTGCATGACAATGTGAATATCCTTAACACTACTGATCTGTACGCTGAAAAATGGTTACCATGATTTTTTAAAAACAGAGGGGCTTAGAAGAGAAGAAGAGTATCCAGAGGAGGGGTCATTGGAACTGTGAACTGGAAAGTGGATACCATTTGGATATTCCAGGGTGGTGAAAAAACTCATAGGCAAGTCCTATGCAAAGAAGTTGGTGGGAACAGGGACCGCTAATGTGGAGAGAGGACATGGCCAGGGAAGTGAAAGTATGGCCAGGGTGGTGAGCATGGGGCTGCTTGCCTGAGAAAAGGGTGGAGACAGATAGGTAAGCAGAGAGTTGGGCCCTTATTGTTGTTTTGCTCCTACAGAAGCTAACACCATGGCTGGCACAACATAGGTGTTCGATAAATATTTGCCTAACAAATAATCTGGACACAGGAACAGAGTGGTTTGTAAGTAAAGAGCAACCAATAAATATTTAATTATGATATCACAGAGTTTGTCTTGCAAATGCTATCTAAAATAAAATAGTTAAAAGTTGTTTTCATTGTATCAGTAGTAGTATTTCAACATTAGGAAATCTTTCAAGATATTCAGTTAAGTTCTAAAACTATAGCATTGTTATTTTCAGCAGAGTTACAATAAAACAGTTTGTTATTAAAAAGTTAGTTTTGTGTTTTGTGTTTTGAGACAGTTTCGTTCTTGTCGCCCAGACTGGAGTGCAGTGGCACGACCTCAGCTTATTACAACCTCGGCCTCCTGGGTTCAAGCAATTCTCCTGCCTCAGGTTCTGGAGTAGCTGGAATTACAGGCACCCACCACCACACCCAGCTAATTTTTTAATTTGTAGTAGAGATGGGGTTTCTCCATGTTGGCCAGGCTGGTCTTGAACTCCTGACCTCAGGTGATCCGCCCTCTTCAGCCTCCCAAATTGCTGGGATTAGACACATGAGCCACCACACCCGGCTAGAAAGTTAGCATTTTAAGAAAAATCTGTGGCATTAAAAATTGTGATTCTACAGAGCCATTATATATTTTCCATATCATCTTTTAAAAATTCAGGATATAATATTTCATAACAAAAATGGTTTGATCTTTCAACGGATCTGTGATTTCTCAGTAAATTATATTCCTACTATTCCTTAAATAATAAAATTTCTAAGTAATAGGAAAATAGTTGGCTGGGCACAGTGGCTCATGCCTGTAATCTCAGCACTTTGTGGGGCCAGTCAGAAGGATCGCTTGAGGCCAGGAGTTTGAGACTGGCCTGGGCAACATAGCTAGACCCCATCTCTACAAAAAAACTTTTTTAAAATAAATTAAAAATTAAATTTTTAAATTAAAAAAGTTTTAAAAAATCTATTCAAAATCTCTGATACGACTTACCTCATTTTTCTGTTTATAAAATCCTAGAGGTCATGGTATTTCTATGAATATTAGAATGTTACTACTGGTCTAATCCACCTGCTCCTTGGAACATGCCATGGTTTTGTACATTTCTGAGCCTTTATACGTGTTACTTCCTTTATCTAGAATGCATTTCCCAAACTAGTTTTCCTGTCTCTAACAGGGGGATAATAATAGTGTCACCTTCCTCAAATGGTGGTTGTGATGATTACACGACTTCTAAGCATTTGTTAGGTAAAGTATTTAGGAGAGGGTTTGACACATAATGAGCATCAATAAGTGTCAGTTATTACCATTATCTTACAAGACTTTGTTCAAATGCCACTTATTTTGTAATTTGCTGCTATCTCCCATAAATCTTTTGAACATGTCTTTACTGAAGTTCTTATCCCTTAATACTGTTGTTTTGTTATATATTTGTCCACCTTGCTGGGCCATGTGCTATGCAAAGGCAAGGCATGTGCCTCATGCTTCTTTAGATTCAAGGCATCTAGATGATGTTAGGTATGTAGTGGGCATGTACTGAATGGAAGTACTTCCAAGTGAATGGAAGACTTAAGTAGGAATGATAAAGACACTGATGAATCAAAACAAGTATGAGTACTCTAGCCTAGGCAACAAGAGCGGAACTCCGTCTCAAAAAAAAAAGAAGAAAAGAGAAAAGAAATCACTAAAGATCTTGCCGTCTTCTCTCTAGTATCTTTAGCAACTGTTCTACTCAAAACAAGTATGAGGAATGTTTACTACTTCATTAAACTGGTGTTTTTCTAATTTGACAAGGAAATTCTAGACTAATTGTTTTAATTAACTATAATTATTCTTTTTCTTTTTCTTTTTTTTTTTTTTTTTTTTTTTTTGAGACGGAGTCTCGCTCTGTCGCCCAGGCCGGACTGCGGACTGCAGTGGCGCAATCTCGGCTCACTGCAAGCTCCGCTTCCCGGGTTCACGCCATTCTCCTGCCTCAGCCTCCCGAGTAGCTGGGACTACAGGCGCCCGCCACCGCGCCCGGCTAATTTTTTGTATTTTTAGTAGAGACGGGGTTTCACCTTGTTAGCCAGGATGGTCTCGATCTCCTGACCTCATGATCCACCCGCCTCGGCCTCCCAAAGTGCTGGGATTACAGGCGTGAGCCACCGCGCCCGGCCTCTTTTTCTTTATCTTCATGCAAATCTAGGTGTTTTTTTAAGAGAAGGCTCAAAATCTCTTCCATCTTCGTTTCTCTGGGTTCTGAATAAAAATAATTGCTATAGTAGAAACTTCACCAAATAAATACTTGGTAAACCTTATACCTCTTCAGTTTGTTACGTTAGGGTCTTCTGATTGAATAATTTACAGCTGCTTTTGTTGGTCTTTTCTCAGACATAAATCTTAAAACGTTTGCATCCTGGCCAATACAGAATCAACACAGTGCTAGAGTCGTAGAGCTAGATTATGGTGCTACCTAGTGGTCAATTTTTGGCACATACGTCATTGAAACTGTCTCATGCTCTTGCACGTTTTCATTCTATTTTTTTATACTGACAATTGTAAAATGTCATTAGAAATCACTAAAGATCGGCCAGGCACGGTGGCTCAAGCCTATAATTCCAGCACTCTGGGAGGCCGAGGTGGGCAGATCACGAGGTCAAGAGGTAGAGACCATCCTGGCCAACATGGTGAAACCCGTCTTCACTGAAAATACAAAAAATTAGCTGGGCATGGTGGCGGGCGCCTGTAGTCCCAGTTACTTGGGAGGCTGAGGCAGGAGAATCGCCTGAACCCCAGAGCCGGAGGTTGCAATGAGCTGAGATCGCGCCACTGTACTCTAGCCTGGGCAATGAGAGTGAAACTCTGTCTCAAAAAAAAAAGAAAAAAGAAAAGAAAAGAGAAAAGAAATCACTAAAGATCTTGCTCTCTTCTCTCTAGTATCTTTAGCAACTGTTCTATGTGTCATTTCTCTTCCATTCACCTAGTTTGCATCTCTTCAACGAATAGAGAATTTAAAGGCATACTTCAAGACCTGTCAGATACCCTTTTCTCCCACAGGAAACTGGAACTTTTACAGGCAGAATTCATGACACCAGCTTCTTTGGGCCATGCTACCACACGCCCCCTCTGACTCCAGGCAGATCTCAAAGGCTGCCCATGACAAAGGCACGCCCCTTTGCACACATTCTTCTAAACAATCATTCCCTTTCCCTCTTTTGAAACCAAACAATTCCTTCAAAAACACAGTTTCAGGCATAAAATAGGAAATAGTACTAAACAAACGGAAATATTTTGCTTTAAATACTGAAGCCATTTGTTTACATTAAGAAATAGTTTGCATTCAAAGCCCATAAATGAAAAGAATCATGAATCATCCATCACAAGGGGACTTTATAGATAAGAAATAAGCTCTGGCCTGAACAATTGTATGAAGTATGAACAACTCTTCTCTGGGAGTTTTTGCTGAGTCATTTTTCAGGAAGTGGGCTGTCCAGGGAGATTTCTACGGAGGAACAATCGACAATATTTTCATATTAATAACCTCCAGTTGCTTTATTGTTCTCGAAACTTTTGTTAATGAGTATTTTCCTGTTCGGTGAAAAAAACATTAATCAAAAGACAAAGCCTAATCTGATTTATTTGTATGTGTTTGGGGTTCTTTTCTTCTATAAGTGATGTTAAATATATTTAACTAAGAGTTAGCTAATTGCAAACCTAATTGTCTTCATTAACTGAGTATAATCTCAGGAAATATTTTGTCCTGAACTTTATTTTTAAATATATGTGCAATAACAGGTTTTGGAGGGATGGTAAATACAGGCTGATACAGTTTGGATATTTGTCCCCACCCAAATCTCGGGTGGAAATATAATCCCCAGTGTTCAAGCTGGGGCCTGGTGGGAGGTGTTTGGGTCATGGGGACAGATCTCTCATAGCCTGGTGCTGTCCTCACCATAGTAAGTAAGTTCTGATGAGATCTGGTTTTTTAAAAGAGTGTGGCACCTCCTGGACTTGCTCCTGCTGCCACCATGTGAGATGCCTTCTTCCCTTCACCTTCTGATTGTAAGCATCCTGAGGCCTCCCAACAAGCTGAGCAGAAGCCCCGCCATGCTGCCATGCTTCCTGTACAGCCTGCAAAACCATGAGCCAATTCAACCTCTTTACTTTATACATTACCCAGCCTTGGGTATTTTTTTTGTTTTTTGTTTTTTGTTTTGAGACAGAGTCTCACTCTGCCACCCAGGCTGGAGTACAATGGCATGATCTCAGCTCACTGCAACTCCACCTTTCAGGTTCAGGCAATTCTTGTGCCTCGGCCTCCCAAATAGCTGGAATTACAGGCACCTGCCACCATGCCCAGCTAATTTTTGTATTTTTAGTAGAGATGGGGTTTTGCCATATTGGCCAGGCTGGTCTCAAACTCCTGACCTCAAGTGATCTGCCTGTCTCAGCCTCTCAAACTGTTCGAATTAAGGCGTGAATCACCATGCCCAGCTTTCAGGTATTTCTTTCTTTCTTTTTTTTTAAGGCAGAGTCTCACACTGTCACCCGGGCTGGAGTGCAGTGAGGCGATCTCGGCTCACTGCAATCTCCACCTCCCAGGTTCAAACAATTCTCCCTTAGCCTCCCAAGTAGCTGGGATTACAGGCACCTGCCACCACGCCCAGCTAATTTTTTGTATTTTTAGTAGAGACAGGGTTTCACCATGTTGGCCAGGCTGGTCTTGAACTCCAGACCTCATGATTCGCCTGCCTCGGCCTCCCAAAGTGCTGGGATTACAGGCATGAGCCGCCGCGCCCAGCCTCATGTATTTCTTTAGAGCAACACAAGAATGGCCTAACAAACAGGCATACTTTGCTTTATTGCACTTCATATACATTGCATTTTTTAAAATAAATTGAAGGTTATGGCAACCCTGTGTCAAGCAAGTCTATTGGCACATTTTTTCAACATCATGTGCTCACTTAGCATCTCTGTGTAACATTTTGGTAAATCTTGCAATATTTCAAACTTTTTCATTATTATTATATTTTCTGTGGTTATCTGTAATCGATGATCTTTGATGTTACTATTGTGATTGTTTTGTGGCATCACGAACTGCATCAAACTTAATCAGTAAATGTTGTGCATGTTCTGACTGCTCCAACTACCAGTTGAGTTCCCCATCTCTCTTCCTCTCCGTGAGTCTCCTTATTCCCTGAGACACATGATATTGAAATTAGGCCAATTAGTAATCCTACAATGGTCTGCCTGTAAGTGTTCAAGTGAGAGGAAGAGTCAGACATCTCTCATTTTAACTCAAAAGCTAGAAATGATTAAGCTTAATGAGGAAGGCATGTCAAAAGCCAAGAGAGGCTGAAAGCTAAGCCTCTTGTACCAAACAGCCAAGTTGTGAACGCAAAGGAAAAGTTCCAGGGAACCCATGAGTGATAAAGAGACAGCCCTATGGCTACCATGGAAAAAGCTTTAGTGCTCTGAATAGAAGATCAAACCAGCCACAACATTCCCTTAAAACCAAACCCTAATCCAAAACAAGGCCCTAACTCTCTTCAATTCTATGAAGGCTGAGAAGGGTGAGGAAGCTGCAGAAGAAAGGTTAGAAGTTAGTAGAGGTTGGTTCATGAGGTTTAAGGTAAGAAGTTGTCTTCATAGCATAAAAGTGCAAGTGACACAATTAAATGAGTCACACAATTTTTTTTAACCCCTAGTGAAGATGCTGCGAACATCACTGAAATGACAACAAAGGATTTGGAATGTTGCATAAACTTAGTTGATAAAGCAGTAGCAGGGTTTGAGAGGATGGATGCCAATTTTGAAAGACGTTCTAATGTGGATAAAATGCTAACAAACAGCATTACTTGCTACAGAGAAATCTTTCATGAAAGGAAGAGTAAATTGATGTGGCAAACTTCATTGTTGTCTTATTTCAAGAAATTGCCATAGCCACCTCAACTTTAGCAACCACCACCCTGATCAGTCAGCAGCCATCCACATCAAGGCAAGACCCTCCACCAGCAAAAAGATGATGACTCACTGAAGACTCAGGTGATTGTTAGCACTTTTTAGCAATAAAGTTGTTTATTTTTTTTGTGAGACAAGTTCTCATCATTTTGTAGCCCAGGCTGGAGTGCAATCAGAGCTTACTGCAGCCACGACATTGCAGGCTCAGGTGATCCTCCCACCTCTGCCTCCTGAGTAGTTGGGACTACAGGCATGCACCACCACTCCTGGCTAATTTTGTATTTTTTGTAGAGGCAGGGTTTCACCATGTTGCCCAGGCTGGTCTCAAACTCCTGAGCTCAAGCGACCCACCTGCTTTGGCCTCTCAAAGTGCTAGGATTACAGGCATGAGCCATTGCGCCCGGCTCTGCAATGAAGTATTTTTTAATTAAGATATGTACATTGGGTTTTTTAGACATAATGCTATTGCACACTTAACAGACTAGAGCCTAGTGTAAACATAATTTTTATATGCACTGAGAAACAAAAAAAAATTGTGTGACTCATTTAATTGTGATATTAGCTTTGTTGCAATGGTCTAGAAGCAAACCTGCAATGTCTCCAAGTTATGCCTGTAATCATTTTGGATTCAAATTCTCTTCAAGACTGGGGCTATGTTTCCACTTTATGCCTTGGAGCCTCTTCTCCCCAACTCCTTTTGAGATTTCTCTCAGTTACTTCTCAGATAAGGGACAATCAGTGTGGGCCCCTGGAGACCAACTAGAAGATACAAGGGCCCTTCAGAAAACACTCTAGCAGGGCCATCGAGGACAGACAGGGTCAGTATGCTCCCTGGAGACTTCTAAAATGTACATGCTTTTTGGCCCTGTCCAGAGGTGCTGAGCCTCTCTTTTAGTTTATGAATGAGAACTTGTGACAAGGGGCTGAAGCCACCTGCCTATGAGACTGGGAGAGGTAAATTGTCAAATCAGAACATCATGTGATTATGACTTCTGTTCATATAAATGATTATCATGCTTCTTGTCTAATTTAACACAAATACATTACCCATAACCTGCCCCAACCCCACCTGCCCCCATAGAAGCCGTGATGAGAAAGCCTCATTTCACATCACAATGTAGCTTTCCTTCCATACCAGGTGATGAACAAAATGGGTCCAGCTATGTGGTCAGGTCTCAGAATCAAGGGAGGCTTCTGTGTAGTGTAGCAGTTATATTCAAAGACTCTAGAGTCAGACTGCTTGGGTTCAAATCCTACCTCTGCTATTTATTAGTGATGTGGCCTTGGGTACTTTTCTATACCCGGAGTTTTCTTCTCTACGTAATAGACAAGCTCCTGTCTCATAAGTTTGTTGGGAGATTAAATTAAGTAATGAAAATAAGGTCTTCAGAATAGTGCCAGGAAAGTAATTAACCCTATAGAAGCGTTAGTATTATGCCATAATGAGGAAAGTTATTATGTACCACTGAAGATAATTATTTTAATTAACTGATTTCTATTTTTTGGTCTGGTGAAAAGGATTGTTCCTCTACATCTTTTCAAATGGACACATGTGGATATTTCTCTGATGTTCAATGATCAGTTTCCAAAAGATAAGTTGCCCATGAAAATGCTAGGTGACCACAATGTTCACCTGTTTATTATAAAGTTATTTCCAATGTACTGTTCTTAAGTTTGTTATGTGCTCATTCATCATTTTACAAAGACTATAGATTTAAGGACCTTCCATGTGCCAAGCCTTTGAGAAGCCAACAGGTCAGTGGAGAAATTTCTTTTTTATTCCAAATTAACTTGTCGGGGGCGTGAGGTCTTGGACTGAGAATGTGCACCCTATACCCAGGGTGGCTTGCACACCTACTGCAAGAATCCATCTCTGGACCTTAGAGTCAGGATCTGAACACAGATCTGCCTAACTCTAGAGCTCAGAACCACTATGTGATAGGCCTCCCTGGCTCATTGGTGCTTCACAATCCAGGACCATCCCTTTTGACCTGACTCCTAGAACTTTCCATCCGGCATGCAACCCAGGAATAACCGCCTATTTGGTCTGCCCAGGCTCCTGGAGCTTATTCATGGGGCGAAGAAAAATGAGCCTTGACTCCTAGGAAAGTAATGCAAATAAAAAGGACTGGATTAAACACTCCTTTAGTGTTTCCTATTCTGCTTCAACATTCCCCAATCATCACTAAAGAAGGACTGTACCATGGATAAAGGGGGAAGCTGCTATTTTCTTGTGGTCTTTATTCATATCCCCCGGCTTCTCATTCTCAGCCTCCTTTCCAAGTTCCTTTTCATCTGTTTGTCTTCTAAATGTAGTTGTTTCCCATGATTCTGTCCTCAACTCTCCCTTCCTCTTACTTTAGGGTCCTGTGTGTTCATCTTCCACTTGTGTGTTGATGAGTCTCAAATCTAGATCTCCAACTGCACTTCTCCCCTAAGCGCCAAACTTCATTTTTAACACCTACATTACATCTCCACCAGAATATCCTATCCCATCATCATGTCCAAAATTGAACTCATTAACTTCCCTCTCCTCCCACTGTAAGTCAATTTCCATGCATCAAACACCCACCTACTAATAATGATAATATCCCCACACAGGTATTCCCAACCTGCTCTTTCTCTCCAGGTCAATCTCTACCTAGCTCTTCTTCATTAGCTCTGACCTGGGTACCTCTGGGCATTTGTAGATGCTGTTCCTTTCATCTGGAATGCACTTCCGTCTGTCTACCTGGTAAACAGATTTCTATATGTTCTTCAAGATTCAACACAGACAGCCCCCTCTTCAAAACCACTCTAGGTCCTGAATGGTACATCTCATAGGACATAATTTGGATAGGACATATATGCTTTATTTCCAATATTAAACTGAATTCTTTGAAGACCACTTTTGGGTGTTATTCACTTCTGTAGTTCTCAGAGCACTTAGTACAGGACCTCCTACAGAAAAGTTTTCAATAAATGTTTGCTGGAATAATTAATCAATGTAGTAAATAATTAATAAAGTAGTCAATAACTCATAAGGTAGTAAAATGGAACCAGTATGCTTGAGTGGTGATTTATTTCTTCCTCCACCCATTCTTTGTCTTCAAATTTCCCATTGCCTACTGTCACTTTTCTGGATTGGTCACCACTCAGAAATTTTGATGTTGTAAATAGTTTATCTTACAAAATTTTTGGAGTTAATTTGGTTTATAAGGCCTGACACAATCTGGCCCCTTACAAGGACAGCTATTGTAGAGTAGAAACTGAGAGAATGACTAATGTGAATTCCTTCATTTCAAACACACTATGATAAAAAGAAAAGTTTCCATTTATACCACATTTTACAGGGTTATGGTTCAATAGGTGATCTGTATGCTTCCTTTTGACTTCCAAACACATGTGTTCCTTTGTTTCTCAGGAAGTAATCATCATGTAGCCATGGAAATCAATGAGTGCAAAGGAAATGTTGCAGGGGAATAATGAAGCCAACTAACTCGGCTCCACAAAGTTGGTCACATCCTAAAACAATTAAAATACATCCAAAAGCCCCTAGAGGAAGTGTTGATCAGTGCTTGGTATTTTGACAATAACTTGTACAGTATGTGAAAGCATTTCAAAAATTCTAAAGCATTTATGAAATGCAACATATTATCAAGATGAATGAACAAATATTTATTGAGTGACTACTATGAACTAGGTACTTTTGCATATATGCCCTCATTTTATTTCAACAGCCCTATGGAATAGCTGGTTTTGGTATTATTTCCATTCTATCAATTTTTTAAAAATACTAAGACTCTCAGAGGTTAAATGACTTGTCTAGTAAGTGAAAGAGACAACACTTGAAGGAATATGTTCTTTCCATCAATCAGAATTCATCTTAAAGATGAATTATGACCAGATCCATGGCCTAAATCTCAAGAGGGACCCAACACAGTACAAACCACCTCCCAACCAGCTTTCCATACTGGTAAATAAGACTCAACTGTTTCTCTCTCTGCTTAACTAGGCTTGCAATTTATATCCTTGGAGGCAGGTTTGTGATTTGGAGGTTTAAAACTTTATCTCAATAACAGGAAAGATCAGGACCATACATTTTTTGAAGTCATTTATAAGGCATCAACATCATATTAGTCAAATTCTGACACAGTGGACAATCCCATTATTCTCCTTTTCTTTTGGAAGAGTTTGTAATGTTTAAATATTCATAAAGATCCAAAGTTTGTATTATACAGAAATTTGTCTTAAGATGATGTTTCAGTGGAAGGAATTGAGAGTAGTAACTGCTTTAACCTTTATTTAGAGTCTTAAAGTAATGGAGCTTACCTTTGGTGAAAACCTATGGACTCAGTCTCGTTATTTTGTAAGCCATACCTTATATTTAATGCAAATTATATTATTAAGTTTCTCATGCAAAAGAGTCCAGATAAGGACTAGGGCAGTCTAAACCTGGTATGGTAGCTCCACAAAGTCATCAGACACCCAGACTGCTTCTACTTTTCTGCTTTCTAGCTTTAGCAAGTGACTTCCATTCTCAAGGTCATCTCAGGATACAAAAACACTGCTGCAGATCCAGCCACCAAGCCCCCAGTCCAGGCAGCAGGAAGGAGGCTGGGGAAGGACAAAAAGGATGTGGACCAGCTGTGTGTCCCCCTTACATAAGGGTTTTCCGGGAAGTTCAATCCGGCTACTTCTGCTTTTATCTCATTGGTCAGGGCTTAGTCACATGGCCAAACCTACCTGCACATGATGTTGGGAAAGATAGTCTTTATCTGGTCTAAAGAAGAAAGAATGGGGGAATGGATATAGGGGAGGTATCCACAATTGCAACCATAAAAGATGAAGCAGAGGGACAGAAAAGCCCACATAAAAGATCAAAGTCTTCAAAATAGAAGAATAATTGGGTCTGAATCTCATGTCTGCTATTTATCAGAGGTAGCCAGATCAGGGAGACCAGCTAGAAGGGGATTTGGACCAGGGTGGTAGTGATGGACATGGGGAAAGGTGGTCAGATTCTGAATATGTTTTGAAGGTAGAGCCAACAGGATTTGCTAATGGATTAGAATGCGAGGTCTGAGAGAAAGAGAAATCCAGGGTGACACCAAATTTTTTTGTTATTGTTTAAGCAGCTGGAAGAATAGAGTTGTTCACTTACTGAGAAAAAGAGAACACGGTGGGAGGAGCAGGTTCAGAATGGGAGTGGAAGGAGATCAGAGGCTCAGATGTTTATTAGACATTCAAATGGAGACGTTGAGTTGGAAGGTGGACATAGAGTCTGGAGCACAAGGAGGTGGTACAAACTGGAGATATATACATTTAGAAGCAAGCAATACATAGATAGTATTTAAATCCCTGAGACTGAATGAAATCATTAAAGTAGTATGTGCAGATGAAAAACGGAAGAGCTCCAAACAATAAGCCCTGGGGCACTCCACTGTTGTGGATGGCTAAGTGTTAACCAGCAGGCAGTGTTAACCATAAGCTGGCTAAGCGGGAGAACAGGAATGCATGTTCTCATTTAGGGCACAGACAGCCCAGGAAAACTGAAAGAACCCGACAAGAAGATGAGAAGCAGTGAGGTGGAAGGAAAACCAGGAGTGTGGTGGAAGCCATGTGGAAGAAGTCTTTATGAGCAGGGAGTCACTGTTTTAAATGCTGCTGATAGGTCAAATAAGACCACTACATTTGCTACGTTTGCCTTTTAAGAGTAATTTCAGTGGGTGGTGGGGGTAAAAGGAGAAGAAATAAGAGGAGAATTGGAGATAACAAGTAGATACAACTATTTTGCGGAATTTTGCTATAAAAGGAAAGAGAGAAATGGGGGTTGGGGTGTGTAGTAAGCTAGAAGGGAAAGTGGGACCAAGAGATGAGATTTTTTTTTATGATGAGAGATGCTTATATGGTACTGGGAAAAAAGGCAGAAAGTGACAATGCAGGGGAGTGAAGGGAGGATTGCCTGCAGCACTGTCCTTGACTTTGTAGGCAAGGGAGGGAAGGGGGTAGGGTTCTAGTGTGTAAGTGGAAGTGATGGTCTTTAAAAAGAGCATGGAGAGTTCTTCCACGGAAACAGAAGAGAAGGAAGAGTCTATAAGCCCAGATTTCGGTAGGTGGGTAGATGTTGTTGTGGGACCTTATGGAAGTTTTCTTCTGCTCACTTCCGTTTTCTCAGTGTATAGGAAGCAAGGTTATCATGACAATGAAGATGGAAAAGAGTGGTTGAATTTTTGAGAAAAGAACAAAAGGAATTAGCTGGGCATGGTGGTGTGTGCCTGTAGTCCCAGCTACTTGGGAGGCTGAGACAGGAGAATTGCTTGAACCCAGAAGGCAGAGGTTGCAGTGAGCCGAGATCGTGCCACTGCACTCCAGCCTGGGCGAGAAAACGATACTCCGTCTCAAAAAAAACAAAAAGAACAAAAGGTATGAAAGAGTCCTCTTCCAATAGAGTAAATGAATGAATGAATGGGCTAGGAAAACATAGTATGATCGCTAAGGGTCCACCAGAGATGAGTGATCAAGAATATAAAATGAGGCTGGGCACTGTGGCTCATGCCTGTAATCCCAGCACTTTGAGAGGTTTAGGCGGGCAGATCACTTGAGGTCAGGAGTTTCGGACCAGCCTGGCCAACATGGTGAAACTCCATCTCTACTAAAAATACAAAAATTAGCTGGGCGTGGTGGTACGCCCCTGTAATCCTAGCCACTCAGGAGGCTGAGGCAGAAGAATTGCTTGAGCCCAGGAAGGGGAGGCTGCAGTGAGGCAGAAGAATTGCTTGAGCCCAGGAAGGGGAGGCTTCAGTGAGCCAAGATCGCACTACCGCACTCCAGCCTGGGCGACAGAGCGAGATTCTGTCTCAAAAAAAACAAAACAAAAAAAAGAATGTAAAATGAGGTCAGCTTACCTGTGTCCTTTTGTTCAACTGTGAGATGGAGTAGGGAAAAGTTGAATTTAACAAAGATGGTAGTTTAGCCAAGATAGTTCAACAAAGTGAGAGGTGGGCAAGGAAGTTGAAGGTATATTCAGGTGAGTGATGAAAACATTTGACCACACATTTGAGCTGGGCAAGGAGGGAAGTAACATGGAAAAAGTTATTGACAGAAAACATATAAGAAGATCAATGGGTTTTAGGTTCTAATAGAGCAGAAGGATTATTGGAGTTCACAGAGTGTGTGTGAGCCCACTAACAACAACAAATAAAAAGTCCTGGAATTCTCAAATCTAAGCCTTAATGATGTCCGAAGATGTCTATAACATAGGGGCTTGCCAGTGTAAGTTCACCCACAAAAATAAAATCAATCAGCCTTCTTCCAGTCCTCTCCAACACTGACCTGAGACAGACAGAGTGGCCTCCTAACATGGCAGGATTAAATCCTGTTCCAGGATTCCAGATTTTTATACACTTCCTGCCATTTTCTGCAAATGGCAAAGGAGATATTCCAGTGACAAAGGAGGGCTCTGTGCCAGGTCAACCAAAGAATCTCCCATTTCTATAGCCTGAAGAGAACTGAACATCAGATCTCCAGCAGTCTATTGTGTTAACTGCCTTTCAGGGCAAGACCACATCTGTTTCTGAAGCGGTTCATTAAAGCTGCTGCACATGTACCAGGGCTGCCCTTTCCCTTTCCTGATTCCCACTCTTGCCTTGGGTGTGGAATAGAGAGAGAAATCAGAACCTCTCTGGCCAGGCTCTTTAAACAGGAAAAGGGAAGAACCCAACACCTTGGAGGTGTATAAGAAAGGAATGAAGTAGCCCTGAATCAAATCTCCCAGGAAAGACATTCCTTCTGGGTGTGTAGTCAGGGCCCAGTTTCTCTAGCCATTAACTAGTAAATACCATCCCGAGCATCTTCATATTATTGACTGACATTACAAAAATATCAGAGTCAAAAACACATTTGCAAAAGTCATGCTGAAATTCTCCTTCTTTCTCTCTATGCCACTGAAAAGCCCCAAGTTTATTTAGTATCTAAATTCATGACAGGCATTTTCAGCTTCCCTTATGCAAAAGTCTCTTATCTGGATTTTAGAATTTTTAAACCATTCTCTTCATTGAGTATACAGCCCTAAGAGAGAAGAAATGGTCAATCAATAGTCTTTTTTTTTTTCAGCTTCTTAAAAAAATCTCCCAGCAATAAATATAGCCCCAACTATCCAAAAGTTTTGAACTTGAGTTTACTTGATTATAATGAACAAAACCAGCAAGTAATGTGCTTTAATTTCTTGAAATTTTTTTAAAAGCCATTTTTGAATTTTTAAGTGTCAGATAGTACTCCTCTTTCACTTTTAGTCAATACTTCTAATACTAGTTACCCTTCACAAATCCCGGGTCCTATACATTGTTGAACTTAGGTAAGGTAAAGATTTGCCACTAGAGAATGGAACTGAAATCAAAATGTTCCGCTTCTGTGAGTTTAAGAAAAACCTTTAATGGTTCCTTTTAGTGTGGGGTTTGGAGTTGAGTAGTATTTAAAGCACTAAACTGTCTCTCCAGTATTTGAGGGGATTAGGTTTAGAGTTCATTGTGTTGACTGTCTTTTGAAAGATTAGATAGTTTAGTTAGGCTCCTACTGGCCATGTAAATGTCTCAGTGTTTATTGACTGTCTGCAGTCATTATCAAACACTCTGAACACAATCGACACCTTGTAAACAGAAATCCCATTATTTTTGTAGTACCGATAAGATTTACTGAGAATTTAATTTTTTATGATTGACTGGCCAGTTAAAGATATTAATGCATACAGGAGAGTGTGATAAATGAGTATGAATTCAGTCAACAAACTTGCCCTTTTTTTTGTTTGTAAGCTATAATCTCATTTTGCTTGTAGATTGTAGAAATAATCTATGTGGTATTCTTTTCAAAAATGCTTCTTAAGTACATTTGAATGTGCTATATGCATTTCTACAAATCCTTCAATGATCTACAAAGGGATTTATGTTTTGAGGGGAAGGATGTCTTAAATCTTTCAGTACCTAGAAAGAAAATAAATCTATGGATAGTGTACTAATTTATGCTGGGACCATGATAAGGACTTATTTGGGGGGTAGTTTGGGCCTGCATTTTAAAATGCTATAGCCAAAATAAAATTTGGAAAGGCAGGCAATAGATGTGTTGTGTTTGACCAGAGGCAAAATCCATGAGCTCAACATTATTTTGATTCTGAATTTAGTGACTTCTGCAAGGGAGTTGCTCTTCAAGCTTCCCTCCCCACCCCACAGTAAGGCATGTGCTAGACAGAAGAGGGTCAAGGAGTGTGGTTTTCTTGGGGACCTGCATGGCACAGCTTCAGGAGATGACTCTGACAGCATTCAGAGTTTAATCCGGGCAAGAAAAAGCCTTGCTTCAGGAAGCATTGAAAGGGGTCTGGGGTTTAAGAGAAAGCAGAAAGAAAGAATGAGGTTTAGACAGTTCTGCCTGAAAGAAGTGGAAAGTGTGCCCCCAACACCTTTGATTGCCTCAGTATAAAACATATATTGTTTAACACACACAAAACAAAATCTTTACAATGAAACCCCAACACTTTTCCACAGCCTCAGCTCCCAGCTCTGCTCTACTCATCTTTGAACACCTGCCCCGGCTCCACAGCATGCACCTCCATGCCTGTGCCTTTGCCTTCACTGTACCCTGCTTTCCCACTTCCTGATGTGAAACTGCTTTTCACCCCGAAAGTCCAAAGATCACCTCTTCTGTGACGTCTTATAAGCTCCCTCATATAACTCACTCACTTGCTCCACTATATGCATGGACTTCTTGTAATTTCTTTGTGTGTCTAGCTTCACTACATCTGTAAGCTCCTAGAGGGCAGGACTCAATCTTGCTCTTTTTTTAAAATATCCCCAGAGTCTAGCATATAATATGTACTAATAAGTGTATAGAGCAGGAAGAGGAAGAGCCACATCTGTGCTTTTGCTCACACACTCCATCCTCTTTCTTTTTTTTTTTTTTTTCAAGATGGAGTTTCACTCTTGTTACCCAGGCTGGAGTGCAGTGGCGCAATATCGGCTCACTGCAACCTCTGCCTCCTGGGTTCAAGTGATTCTCCTGCCTCAGCCTCCCGAGTAGCTGGAATTACAGGCACACATCACCAAGCCTGGCTAATTTTTGTATTTTTAGTAGCAACGGGGTTTCACCATGTTGGCCAGGTTGGTCTTAAACTCCTGACCTCAGATGATCTGCCTATCTCGGCCTCCCAAAGTGCTGGGATTACAGGCATGAGCCACTGCGCCTGCCTTCCATCCTCTTTCAATATAAAGCTTACGCATTCCCAAGAACAAAATTTTGTTTGTTTGTTTGTTTGTTTTTGTTTTTGTTTTTGAGACAGAGTCTCGCTCTTGCCCAGCCTGAAGTATGGTGGCGCAATCTTGGCTCACTGCAAGCTCTGCCTCCCAGGTTCAAGCGATTTTCCAGCCTCAGCCTCCCAAGCAGCTGGGACTGCAGGTGCACGCGACCACGCCTGGCTAATTTTTGTATTTTTAGCAGAGACAGGGTTTCACCATGTTGGCCAGACTGGTCTCAAACTCCTGACCTCAAGTGATCCACCCACCTTGACCTCCCAAAGTGTTGGGATTACAGACGTGATCCAACACGCCTGGCCCGAAATGCTTTTTGAAGACTTCCTTGACCAATGATCTCTCACATCTTTAAACTCTCATAGCACCCAAGTGAGAATTGCACACTTGACACTTAACAGATTTGTGACCCATCTTAGTTGTGTTTTTGTATCTATGTGCTATTTCTCCAACCACAATCAAAGAACTCTTTGGACTAGGGCTTGAGTGTTTAACCTCCTCGTATCACCCAGGAGGCTTAGGGGGCTTCATTTAGGGTTGTTACCTAACAAGTGGTTGTTGATGAAGAGCTGAGGAAGGTCTGAAAGGTAGATGAGGAAGATTATTTGACAGATTCAGTGAAGGAGGGCACGTTCAGAACAGCCCAGGCAAAGACCAAGGTCAAGCAATAAGGAGCAGCAGGTAGACCTCCCCCAAACCCTCAAGCACCTCAGAAGGAGACAAGGCAAGTCCACTAAGTGTTTAACAAGAAGAAATAAAATCTCTACACTTAATTAAGCTCAGGGAAAGCCAGGGCACTTGCAAGTAGGAGCAAATGTCCACAATCAGTGGCTGGTGACAAACGAGGCAAGGAGGAGAAAGTAATGAGAACTGAGGGAGAACAGTGAGAACTAAGCATTTGACATACATTCTTTTTCTAACACATTTTTATTGAGATATAATTTATATACCAAACAATTCACTCAGTTAAAATATACAAGTCAGCCGGGCGCAGTGGCTCAAGCCTGTAATCCCAGCACTTTGGGAGGCCGAGGTGGGCAGATCACCTGAGGTCAGGAGTTGAGACCAGCCTGGCCAATGTGGTGAAACCCCGTCTCTACTAAAAATACAAAAATTAGCCAGGCATGGTGGTGTGCACCTGTAGTCCCAGCTACTTGGGAGGCTGAGGCAGGAGAATGGCATGAATCTGGGAGGTGGAGCTTGCAGTGAGCCGAGATCACGCCATCGCACTCCAGCCTGGGCAACAGAGCGACACTCTATCTCAAAAAAAATAAATAAATAAAGTAAAAGTATACAAGTCAATGCTTTTTACTATATCCACAGAGTTGTGCAACCAACAGTACAATCAATTTAGAATACTCTCGTCACCCCAAAAAGAACCTCCATTCCCTTTAGCAATCACTCCCTATTCCCTTCCCAACATTACCATTCCACCCTGACCAGTAACTCTAGTCAACCACTAATCTTTCTGTTTCTACAGATTTGCCTGTTCTGGACATTTCACACAAAAATAGAACACAATATGGCTTTCTTTGTGTCTGGCTTCTTTCATTTAGCATAATGTTTTTAAGGTTCATCCATGTTGTAGCATGTAGCAGAATTCACCCCTTTTTATTGCCAAATAGTATTCCATCATATGGATGCATAACATTCTATTTACCCACTTACTAGTTGATGGACACTTGGGGTTGATTATTAACATATATTCTTTTATGTATCCTTTCCAATACTCCTGGGAGGTAGGTGTTAGTGTCCTCATTTTGAAAATGAGTAAACTGACACTCAGACTAACTATCCTGCACCTCTATATAAAGAATGGCACTGCAGGCCATGCGCAGTGGCTCAAGCCTGTAATCCCAGTACTTTGGGAGCCCAAGGCAGGTGGATCACGAGGTCATGAGATTGAGACCCTCCTGGCCAACATGGTGAAACCCCATCACTACTAAAAATACAAAAATTAGCTGGGCATGGTGGCATGCGCCTGTAGTCCCAGCTACTAGGGAGGCTGAGGCAGGAGAATCACTTGAACCCGGGAGGCGGAGGTTGCAGTGAGCCGAGATCACGCCACTACACTCCAGCCTGGCAACAGAGAGAGACTCCATCTCAAAAATAAATAAATAAATGAATAAGAATAGCACTGGGATTGATCTCGGTCTGCTTGAGTCCAAAGCCTCCATGTTTAATCACCACCTGTTATTTGGCAAACATTGTCTGTGGAGGGATGTGGCTCACGCCAAATTCCAAAGATTTATAGAGGTCACTGGTGCTCCCCACCTTTCAAGGAATTTGGCTACAAATTTTCAAATTTCATAGTTATATGATCTGGAGGAAAGAATATGAGTTTTGGAGCTAGATAGTCTTGAATTTGAATCCCACATAGTAGCTGTGTGATACAGGGCAAGTTGTTTAACTTCTCTGAGCCTCAGTTTCCTTTCCTATAAAAATGAAGATAATTCCTACCTTGCAGGGTTGTTCTGAGGATTAAATAAGCTAATAATAATATGAGGTATCTGACACTCAGTAGCTATTATTATCACAACTGTTTGCAGTGGTAGCAAAAGCAAGTAAAATACACACACACACACACACACACACACACACACACACACACAACCTCCCAGAGAGAGGAATTTGAGGAGGTGAGTTTAGGATATGTGGTGGTGAGAAATCTGGGCAGAAATCTCCAGTGGTAGACAGACAGAGATAAAAGGCAGGAACTCAGGTGAGAGGTCAGGGCTAGAGATATGGATTTGGGCGTTATCAGCATGGAGGTGAGGGTTGAAGCTGTGACAACTGTTTGGGTAGAACCAGGCAGAAAATAAAGAAATTAATCCAGTGCCTGAGCCTTGGGACGTCCATAATTAAGGCCAGCAGAAGGAATAGAAGGAATAAGAAGCAGTAAAGAGTATAGGGATAAGCATTTGGAGGGGTTGTGATGATATCAGAATAGTATTTAATTTTGAAAGCCAAGGGAGAGAGGATATTTAAGAAATGGATAAGGGACAGAGGAGAAAGTTGAGAAGGTTAGGTTGTAGAAAATTTTGCAATGATGAAAACTGAGAGTAGGCTATTACATTTGGAGGTCAGGAAGTCAACGGTGGCCTGACATGTTGAGCATCTCTCCAACCATCCATTCACTCATTCATCCATTTGTTTTTTCAGCATTCATTGAACATCTGCAGTGCATCTACAGGACGTTGTGCCAGGCTCCTGACAAATATCCAGGTAAGACATAATCCCTTGCTACACTGAGCATGACACAAAATGAAGGAAAGTTCAATGTTTTAAGGCCCCTTTTGTCTATGAATTGAGCCAGGCATGAGAAACTGGGCCCCATGGGACAATTGTGATGGAATGATCGTGCATTAACAAATCCAGGGGAAGCAGAAAGGCTTGTCAAAGGTTGGCTGAAAGAAGGCGGGAATTTATTTATTTATTTATTTTGAGACGGAGTCTTGCTCTGTCGCCCACCCAGGCTGTAGTGCAGTGGTGCTATCTCAGCTCACTGCAACCTCTGCCTCCCAAGTTCAAGCGTTTCTCCTGCCTCAGCCTCCTGAGTACCTGGGATTACAGACGCGCGCCACCACGGGCAGCTAACTTTCATATTTTTAGTAGAGACGGGGTTTCACCACGTTGGTCAGGCTGGTCTTCAACTCCTGACCTCATGATCCGCCTACCTCGGCCTCCCAAAGTGCTGGGATTACAGACGTGAGCCACCACGCCTGGCCGGGAATTTAATTTTAAAAGGAGGATTAAAGAGGAGGAAAAGAGAAGGCAGAAGCATTTCAGTTTACTTATTGGACACAAATGTCATCTGGAAGATTTTCTTTTTCTCATTGGTGTATGGTGGAGATGTCACTACATTGAGTCTACCAATTTTTGACACTTGGGGTGAATTTTTAAAGTTGACACTGCATTTTGATTCCATATATTAATAATTTATCAGCTGGATGCAGTGGCTCACACCTGTAATCCCATCATTTTGGAGGCCGAGGTAGGAGGATTGCTTTGAGTTCAAGACTAACCTGGACAACATAGTGAGACCTCATCCTTTCTAAAAATGAAAATAAAAAAATTAGCCAGGTGTGGTGACTCATGCCTGCAGTCCCAGCTACTTGGGAGGCTGAGGCAGGAGGATCACTTGAGCCCAGGAGCTCAAGGCTGCATTGAGCTATGATCATCCAGCCTGGACAACAGAATGAGATCCTGTTACAAAAAAAAGGAAAGAAAAAGAAAAAGAATTTCCCTTTTCTTCAAGGATCATCAAGGATACAAGTTCTCCTAGAACTTTGAGTAAAATGAATCCTTCAAGAAAATGCAATGTTTATCCTATAGTTCCAGTACCTTTTGACCCATTAGAGAAACTACAGACTCCTCCCCTTTCTTCATCCCCCAGCCTGCAGCCAAGGTACTCCTAGTTGAAGAAGCAAGTTAGAGAATGAGGATTTAGAATACCATGGCTTCACATTTGTAGCCATACTTTCTACTTACCATTAAAACAAATAGATCAAGAATAAAAATAAATTCAGGAGTTATGAATAGGAAATTAAAAATAAGCATAAAAGAAATGGGATTACTAAAATTAAGAAATAAAGCCAGGGCCAGGCGCAGTGGCTCACACCTGTAATCCCAGCACTTTGGGAGGCCGAGGCGGGTGCATCACGAGGTCAGGAGTTCAAGACCAGCCTGGTCAAGATGGTGAAACTCCATCTCTACTAAAAACTACAAAAATTAGCCAGGCGCAGTGGCAGGCGCATGTAATCCCAGCTACTTGGGAGGCTGAGTCAGGAGAATCACTTGAACCTAGAAGGCAGAGGTTGCAGTGAGCCAAGATTGCACCACTGCACTCCAGCCTGGGCAACAGAGTGAGACTCTGTCTCAAAAAAAATAAAAGAAAGAAAAAGAAAGAAAGCCAGAAGCCCAAAATTTAAAGGAGAAACTTATGACACATTAATATTAAAGAATAAAACAAATTAATATTGAAAAGGTTAAATAAAAAATTTAAGAAAGAAACTTTATATATATGTGTATATATATATATATATTTTTTTTTTTTTAGAGACAGGGTCTTGCTATGTTGCCCGGGCTGGTCTCGAACTCCTGGGCTCAACCAATCTTCCTGCCTTGCCCCCAAAGTGCTGGGATTACAGGCATGAGTCACCACAACCAGCCAAGAAAAAACTTTGAAGAAAAAAATATTGAGGCTGGCCCCAGTGGCTCATGCCTGTAATCCCAGCACTTTGGGAGGATGAGGTGGGTAGATCACAAGGTAAGGAGTTCGAGACCAGCCTGACCAACATGGTGAAGCCCTGTCTCTACTAAAAATACAAAAATTAGCTGGGCGTGGTGGCAGGTGCTCGTAATCCCAGCTACTCGGTAGGCTGAGGCAGGAGAATCACTTGAACCCAGGAGGCGGAAGTTTCACTGAGCCGAGATCACACCACTGCACTCCAGCCTGGGTGACAGAGTGAGACTCTGTCTCAAAAAAAATAAAAAAAAAAAAAGATTGAACTAAAACCACAAGAATCAAAAGATCACAAGCTAAAGTAACAATAAAATTTTTAAAACTGGATGCCAAGAAAATGTTAGTAACATTAAGATAAATAAAAAGATACTGTGGCTCATACCTATAATCCCAATGCTTTGGGAGGCCGAGGTGGGTGGGAGGATCACTTGAGGCCAGGAGTTTGAGACCAGCCTGGGCAACACAGTGAGACCCTGTCACTATAAAAAAAACTTTTAAGCCAGGCTCCGTGGCTCATGCCTGTAATCCTAGCACTTTGGGAGGTCGAGGCGGGCAGATCATTTGAGGTCAGGAGTTCGAGACTAGCCTGACCAACATGGGGAAACCCCGTCTCTACTGAAAATACAAAAAAAAAAAAATAGCTGGGTGTGGTGGCACATGCTTTTAATCCCAGCTACTCAGAAGGTTGAGGCAGGAGAATCGCTTGAACCCAGGAGGCAGAGGTTGCAATGAGCTGAGATTGTGCCACTGCGCTCCAGCCTGGGTGACAGTGAGTCTCAAAAATAAATAAATAAAACCTTTTAAAATAAGCTAGACATGGCGATGAGTGCCTGTAGTCCTAGCTGCTCAGGGGGCTGAGGTAGGAGGACTCTGTCTCTAAAAAAAATTAAAAATTTAAAAAAGATAAGTAAAAAGAAAGTAGAAGTAGATTTTAAAAAATCTAATCAAAAGATTAAAGGAATGAAACATGAAACAATAAAATAATAAGATAAAAGTGGAAAATAATAACAGTGCAAATAAATTAAAATAGCTAAGAATAAACCAGATTAAAAACCAAAAACTCAGATGTAAAAGAATAAAATTATATCAAAGCTAAAACAGGTAAAAATTAGTGAAACATTAAGAGAAATACAAATCGATTATAAAGTGCACTATAACACACAAATATAAACATGTTAAAGCTAAAGTGTTAAAAATGAATCTCTAGTACAATTAAACACCTATCTACAGAGACAAATTGACAGGTACTGTCCATTCCTAATGTGATCCTCCAGGTTCAATGAAGCTACACCCACCCAGGTCACCTAGGGGAGGGCAGAGCCAAGGAATCAAGCAGAGTGAGGTTCCTGTCCTCCATCTAGTTGGAAACACCATGCATGCCCAGGATGCCAAGCAAGCCCACCTGTTCCATGGGCAGCTGGGAGATGCCACGCTCCCCAGAGACTCCCTAGGCACGCACCACTGTTTCATTGTTGCTGCACACTGCAGAGCTCTTATAGGTGGTGACGTCATAGGACAACTGGCAGCCTATGAGGATTCTACAACTAGTCATCCTTTTCTCCCATACAAAAGGAGGTGTCCGTGAGGTTAGAGCTAGCTGCAAGTAATAGAGACCCAGAATAACAGCGGCTCAAACAAGCTAGAATGATGTTTATTTCTCATGTAACAATCAAAAAAGTAAGCCCAGACTGAGATGCTAGTCCTACTCTATAAAGTCCTCAGGGTCCCGGGCTCCTTCCAACTTTCTGCTCACCATTCCAAGGACCCTACACTTAGTTAGGCCTTGTTCTCATGGCCCATGATGAAGCGCCCGTCAGCTCTCTCCAGGAGCAAGGAAATAAGAAACTGTGAGGAGCAAACACCAGTTACCTCTTAAGAAAGATTTCCAGAAATGCCATCTGGCATTTCAACTTACATCCCTTTGGCTAGACTAAGTAACATTTAGCTGCAAGGGATGTTGGGAAATGTAGTTTTAATTCTGGGGCCATGTGCATAGCTGCAAATTCTGTTATGGTAGAAAGTGAGAACGGATATTGGGTGTCAGCTACTGGTCTCTGTTTTGGGAGGATGCAACATGAGCACTCTTCTCCCTCCCCCTCCTGGGGAATGCATCTTTATTTCAGGGGAGACCCAACTTTAAAAATCTTTTTCACCTTGGTCTAGGGGAGGAAAGAAAGCTCTAGTAAAACTACATAAAGAAATACTGGCATAAATATGAATGTTTGCACACATTTTGAGAGGGGTCATGATTTGATCAAAGACACCAACATCTCACTCTGGTCTAATGTATCAGGAATCTGTGAAAACTAAAGCAATTACAAAGTTGTGAAGACCCAGGTTTGCCTCTTCATATAAAGAAAGTCATTTGCTTTCTGGTTTGGCTTCTGTCTCCTATTGAGTTCCCTGAATATCTTGCCCACTGAATAATGGGGAGAAAGGTTACCCTATCCAGATACCCAATGGGGAAAAAGGTTACATATCCAGAATGGGGAAAATGGGAAAGGTTAACCTTTCTCCCCATCCTCCCCCATTCTCCCCATTTTCCTCTTTGGAATAGGCCTACTGGACCCAAAGAATTTACAGAGGAATTTAGAGAAATGTACAGGTCCCCATTATGTTTCTAGCAGTTTATTACTCACTAACAAGTATCAAAAAAGGAAAGGCCTTTGGACTAAGTGAAGAAAAGATACATTCATGGGACCTCAGTTTACCTCTGTGTAACAAAAGGACTGAATTAGATTTGATGGTTCTCAAACTATAGTCTGTATAAGCATCACACTAAGTAGCTGGTTAACAAAAATTCAGATTCCTAGTAGATAATATATCAATGTAATAATATAATAATGATATAGGCAATGATATAATCAATTATATGATTTCAGATTTCACATTGTAATTATCCTTTAAGAAATTGCTATTTATATAGTTTTGGTAAAATTGCAAAGAAAAAAATTCACAATGATCTGAAAATGCTATTAAAATACCCCTCTTTTGTTTTCAACTACATATCTATATGAGGTCAGACTTCGACCACACAACATAACAGATGCAATGCAGAAGCAGAAAAGAGCCCAGCTGTCCTCTGTTAATGTTAATATTATAAGATATTAAAGAGATTTGCAAAAATGTAAAGTGATACCACTATATGAAATGATAAAATGATAGCCAAATTGTAAAATAATATCCACTTTTTAAAATGTGGCTGCCAGAAGACTTTAAATTACATTATTTGTTGTTTGGGATGATATAATTTTTTTTTCATATGATATGCAATGTGCATTAACATAATGATTTTATTATTGCTTTTAAAAAATAAATAACTATTTTAAAAATTGTAAAAATGTAGATTCTAAGTTCCCTAAACTGCCACCCCCCCACCACCACCAGCACCAAGAATTCTGGTTCCATAGGAATGGGCTTGGGACTGGAAATGTTCATTTTGTATAATTCCTCCAGGTGATTATGATGCAAGCGGTCCTCAGCCTACCCTTCAGACAGGTGCTCTCTAAGGCCCCTCCCACTCCTAAACTGTAAACAGAAAGAAGGAAGAGAAATATATTATTTTAGGATCAATGGAGAGATTTAAAATGGTGTTTTGGTTTCCTCGGTGTAGATTTCAGGGCCAGTCATGTGACCTCACTGCAAACAAGTTTTTTTGTGTCAATGCCTCAAAGTGTCGTGGCTTCCTCACCTGTCCTTAACCCTGCCCTTCTGGCCAGTGCATTTAGCTATGTTTGAACTCGATGTTTCCTTTGGTAAAGCTTGTCCCCATTATAGTAATTTCTCAAAGAATTTATAACCTTCAAGGTAAAGGTCTCTGAAATAGGACTCTAAGGATGCTCCGCACCATTGACACATTAAGAGCACTTCAAGTACATTAATGTCCTAAGTCCCTGGATTTATTGCAACACAGTAAAGGCTCTTTTCAGAAAGCCTACTCTTAGTTCCATTTATTCAGCAGGCTTTTCCAGAAAGAGATTAGAAGTAAAATGATTTGAGATAGAATCAAAGAATTCCATCTTTTTAATTAGTGTGCTAAACACAGGAACACCTAATACAAATATTTGGCTATGTGGTCCAGCGTGGGCTCTAAGGTCACCGGAGAAAATTTACAGGGAACTCCAAAAGCCCTGCACAATAATTGTCTTGGGTTATGACTTTTCGAATTGCCTTCATTGTCGGTAGCACTACATTTGGAAATAAATAAAATTTGCTGAATTAGGGCACTCTTCGTGTTAAAATGTTTAATCTTCACTTTAATGAGTTTTGGTCATTGAAGCCTCTTTGTTTTGTGAAAGGGAGAACCTTTACACAAGGTTAGCTCTTTTTACACAGCCTAATGACTCACTAATTAAAAATCCTTTTTGGATAGATGCCAGGCTTGTCTGGTCAATGTGAGAGGGAAGGAAGCAGAAATCGATTTCAAAATATTTTAGGTTACTATAATTCTACATTGCATAATTTATTATTAAAGATATTCCATACATGACTTTATGAAATGCTGCAGTAGAGAAGAAGGTGCCAGTTCTGTACTCATATCCTGCTTTGCATGGTAACTTATCTCACAGATGAGATTTGACATTTGAGATTTCATTACATGATGTTTTATACCATGGGCTCTGGACCACCTGCCTCTGATGTGCCACATTTGTTCCTTGCCTGAAATGAGAAGAAGCTATACTGTGAGGTGAGAAGGGGTAAAGGAATCATCCACGGCCAGGACAGGCCATGAGAAACAAGGAGCAGGGTAGAGGGAAAAACCTTAGGAGCAGAGTGTGTGGCAGAGGAGTGTATGTTCCATTTTTGGAATATCTTTAAATGGACTTTTACCTTTTCACTAAGTTTTAACTTAGAGTGGTCTTTTTAATTTAGTTTAATTTGGCTGGGTGCAGTGGCTCACACCTGTAATCCCAGAACTTTCGGAGGCTGAGGAGGGTGGATCACCTGAGCTCAGGAGTTTGAGACCAGCCTGACTAATATGGTGAAACCCCATCTCTACTAAATACAAAAAAAAAAAATTAACTGCGCATGGTGGCACATGCCTGTAATCCCAGTTACCTGGGAGGCTGAGGCAGGCAATTCACTTGAACCCGGGAGGCAGAGGTTGCAGTGAGCCGAGATTGTGCCATTGCACTCCAGCCTGAGCAACAAGAGTGAAACTCTGTCTCAAATAATAATAATATAGTTTAATTTAATTTTTCAGATAGGATCTTGCTCTGTCACTTAGGCTGGAGTGCAGTGACACAATCGTAGGTCACTACAGCCTCAAACTCCTGGGTTCAACCAATACTACTGTCTCAGCCTCCCAAATAGCTGGGACTACAGGTGCATGCCACCACATCTGACCAACTTTTTCTTGTTGTTATTTTTTGTAGAGCTAGGGTCTCTCTATGTTGCCCAGACTGGTCTCAAACTCCTGGCCTCAAGCGATCCTATAGGCTTTTTTTTTCATTGGTTATTGGAGTACAGGTGGTATTTGGTTACATAAGTAAGTTATTTAGTGGTGATTTGTGAGATTTTGGTGCACCCACCACCCAAGCAGTATATACTGCACCCTATTTGTAGTCTTTTATCCCTCAACCCTCTTCCACCTTTCCCTCAAAGTCCCCAAAGTCCATCGTATCATCCTTATGCCTTTGCATTCTCACAGCTTAGCTCCCACATATCAGCGAGAACATATGATGTTTAGTTTTCCATTCCTGAGTTACTTCACTTAGAATAATAGTCTTCACTCTCATCCAGGTTGCTGCAAATTCCTTTTTATGGCTGAGTAGTATTCATATATATATATCAGTTTCTTTATCCACTTGCAGATTGACGGGCATTTGGGTTGGTTCCACAATTTTGCTATTGCGAATTGTGCTGTTATAAACATGCGTGTGCAAGTATCTTTTTCGTATAATGACTTCTTTTTCTATGGATAGATACCCAGTAGTGGAATTGCTGGATCAAATGGTAGTTCTACTTTTAGTTATTTAACGAATCTCCACACTGTTTTCTATAGTGGCTGTAATAGTTTACATTCCCACCAGCAGTGTAGAAGTGTTCCCTAATCACTGCGTTCACACCAATATCTACTGTTTTTTATTTTTTGATTATGGCCATTCTTGCAGAAGTAAGGTAGTATCATATTGTGGTTTTGATGTGCATTTCCCTGACCGTTAGTGATGCTGAGCATTTTTTCATAAGTTTGTTGGCCATTTCTATATCTTCTTTCGAGAATTGTCTATTCATGTCCTTAGCCCAATTCTTGATGGGATTGTGTTTTTTTCTTACTGATTTGTTTGAGTTTGTTGTAGATTCTGGATATTAGTCCTTTGTCAGATGTATAGATTGTGAAGATCTTCTCCGACTCTGTGGGTTGTCTGTTTACTCTGCTGACTGTTCCTTTTGCTGTGCAAAAGCTCTTTAGTTTAATTAAGTCTCAGCTATTTACCTTTGTTTTTACTGCATTTGCTTTTGGGTTCTTGGTCATGAAATCCTTGCCTAAGCCAATGTCTAGAAGGGTTTTTCCAATGTTAACTTCTAAATTTTTATAGTTTCAGGTCTTAGATTAAAGTCCTTAATCCATCTTGAGTTGATCTTTGTGTAAGGTGAGTGATAAGGATCCAGTTTCATTCTCCTACATGTGGCTAGCCAATTATCCCAGCACCATTTGTTGAAAACAGTGTCATTTCCCCCACTTTATGTTTTTGTTTGCTTTATCGAAGATCAGTTGGCTGTAAGTATTTGGGTTTATTTCTGGGTTCTCTATTCTGTTCCATTGGTCTATATGTCTACCTTTATACCAGTACCATGCTGTTTTGATGACTATGGCCTTATAGTATAGTTTGAAATCAGGTAGTGTGATGCCTCCAGATTTGGTCTTTTTGCTTAGTCTTGCTTTGGCTATGTGGGGTCTTTTTTGGTTCCATATGAATTTTAGAATGTTTTTTCTAATTCTGTGAAGAACGATGGTGGTATTTTGATGGGGATTGGGTTGAATTTGTAGATTGCTTTTGACAGTATGGTCATTTTCACAATATTGATTCTACCCATCCATGAGCATGAGATGTGTTTCCATTTGTTTGTGTCATCTATGATTTCTTTCAGCAGTGTTTCATAGTTTTCTTTGTAGAGGTCTTTCACCTCCTTGGTTAGGTATATTCCTAAGTATTTTATTTTTTTGCAGCTATTGTAAAAGGGGTTGAGTTCATTTATTTTGTTTTATTGTATTTTATTGTATTTTATTTTATTTTACTTTATTTTATTTTTTGAGACAGAGTCTTGCTCTGTCACCCAGGCTGGAGTGCAGTGGTGTGATCTCAGCTCACTGCAACCTCCACCTCCCAGGTTCAAGCAATTCTCCTGCCTCAGCCTCCCGAGTAGCTGGGATTACAGGCGCCTGCCACCATGTCTGGCTAATTTTTTGTATTTTAGTAGAGACGGGGTTTCACCGTGTTGCCCAGGCTGGTCTCGAACTCCTGAGCTCAGGCAATCCACCCGCCTTGGCCTCCCAAATTGCTAGGACTACACGTGTGAGCCACTGTGCCTGGCCAGGGGTTGCGTTCTTGATTTGATTCTCCACTTAGGTGCTGTTGGTATATAGAAGAGCTACTGATTTGTGTACATTTATCTTGTATCCAGAAACTTTGCTGAATGCTTTTATCAGTTATACGAGCTTTCTGGAGGAGTCTTTAGGGTTTTCGAGGTAAAAAATCATATCACCAGCAAAGAGTGACAATTTGACTTCCTCTTTACTGATTTGGATGCCCTTTATTTCTTTCTCTTGTCTGATTGCTCTCGCTAGGACTTCCAATACTATGTTGAAGAGAAGTGGTGAGAGTGGGCATTCTTGTCTTGTTCCAGTTCTCAGAGGGAATGCTTTCAACTTTTCCCCCTTCAATATTATGTTGGCTGTGAATTTCTCATAGATGGCTTTTATTACATTGAGGTATGTCCCTTGTATGCCGATTTTGCTGGGAGTTTTAATCATAAAGCGATGCTGGATTTTGTCTAATGCTTTTTCTACATCTATTGAGATGATCTCGCTGCTTGTTATTGGTCAGTTCAGGGTATCTAATTCTTCCTGATTTAAGCTAGGAGGTTGTATTTTCCAGGAATTTATCCATCTCTTCTAGGCTTTCTAGTTTATGTGCATGAAGGTGTTCACAGTAGCCTTGAATGATCTTTTGTATTTTAGTGGTGTCAGTTGTAATATCTCCTGTTTCATTTCTTAATGAGATTCTTTGGATTTTCTCTCTTCTTTTCTTGGTTAATCTTGCTAATGGTCTATCCATTGTATTTATCTTTTCAAAGAACCAGCTTTTTGTTTCACTTATCTTTTATATATTTTTTTTCAATTTCATTTAGTTCTGCTCTGATCTTGGTCCTTTTTTCTTGGACCTTGGACCTTGGACCTTCTTGATTTCTGCTGGGTTTGGTTTGTTCTTTTTTCTCTAGTTCCTTGAGGTGTCACCTTAGAATGTCAGTTTGTGCTCTTTAAATCTTTTTGATGTAGGCATTTAGGGCTATGAACTTTCCTCTTAGCACTACCTTTGCTGTATCCCAGAGGTTTTGATAGGTTGTGTCATTATTGTTCAGCCTGAAGAATTTTTTGATTTCCATTTTGATATTGTTTTTGACCCAATGATCATTTAGGAGCAGGTTATTTAATTTCCATGTATTTGCATAATTTTGAAAGTTCCTTTTGGAGTTGATTTCCAGTTTTATTTCACTGTGGTCTGAGAGAGCGCTTGATATAATTTCAATTTTCTTAAATTTATTGAGGCTCGTTTTGTGGCCTATCATGGAGAAAGTTCTATGTGCTGTTGAATAGAATGTGTATTCTGCAGTTGTTGGTGTTCCGTATATACCTGTTAAGTCCATTTTTTCCAAGGTATATTTTTAATCTATTGTTTCTTTGTTGACTTTCTGTCTTGATGACCTGCGTAGTGCTATCAGTGGAGTATTGAAGTCCACCACTATTATTGTGTTGCTGTCTATCTCATTTCTTAGTTCTATTAGTAATTGTTTTACAAATTTGGGAGCTCCAGTGTTAGGTGTACATATGTTTAGGATTGTGCTATTTTCCTGGTGGACAAGGCCTTTTCCCATTATATAATATCCCTCTTTGTCTCTTTTAACTGCTGTTGCTTTAAAATTTGTTTTGTCTGATATAAGAATAGCTACTCCTGCTCACTTTTGGTGTCCATTTGCATGAAATGCCTTTTTCCACCCCTTTACTTTAAGTTTATGTGAGTCCTTACATGTTAAGTGATAGCCTACAGGATGACCATGTTATTTTTGTATCCAGTGAAACTAAGCATCATATATGAAGGAAAGATAACAGTCTTTTTCAGATAAACAAATGCTGAGAGAATTCACTATTATCAAGCCACCACTATAAGAACTGCTAAAAGGAGCTCTAAATCTTGAAACAAATTCTGGAAACACATCAAAACATAACCTCTTTAAAGCATAAATCACACAGAACCTATAAAAGAAAAATACAACTTAAAAATCAAAAACAAAAAACAAAAAAACCAAGGTACACAAGCAACAAATAGCACAATGAACAGAATGGTACCTCACATCTCAATACTATCATTGAATGTAAATGGCCTAAATGCTCCACTTAAAAGATACATAACTGCAGAATGGATAAGAACTCACCAACCAACTATCTGCTGCCTTCAGGAGACTCACTTAACACACTGTAATCTCAGTGCTTTGGGAGGCCAAGTCAGGAGGATCTCTTGAGCCCAGCAGTTTAAGACCAGCCTGGACAACGTAGGGAGAACCTGGTTCTACAAAAAAATTTTAAATTAGCAGGGCATGGTGACTTGCTCCTGTAATACCAGCTACTTGGGAGGCTGAAGTGAGTAGATTGCTTGAGCCCAGAGGTTGAGGCTGCAGTGAGCCATGATCTCGCCACTGTACTCCAGCCTGGACAACAGAGCAAGACTCTGTCTCAAGTAAATAAATATTTCTTTGGGTAGATCCTGAAATGGTTTCTTTTTACAATATACTCCTCTCATACCACCCCAAAGATGACTGTCACTCCCAGCACGTACCTGAATGTCTTTATTTCCATTTGTAATACCCTCTAGGATACCACTCATAACATCACGGGCTGTCCTGCCTCTTTGCATCCCCAGGGCCTAGCCCGGGGAGATGTTAGATGTCATTAAATATTTGTTGAATGCATGGATAGATGGATATAGAGAATCATTAATTTAACACACAGTGTTCAAAGTACAGTCCTTCCTTATGATGGTTAGAGAAGTATTGATCATTGTCACTAACTTAATCATATTGGTTTCTCCCAGGAAGGATTAAAGTAAAGAGGAATTTTGGAGCATAGGGCACTAGCAGAGAAGAGACAAGGAGCCAGGACTGGGTCAGGACACCAGTGAGCAGCCAGGAAGAAACCTGAAGGATAGGGTGAGGGGATGAAGAGTCCCAGGTAATTTTCCAAACTGGGACCACATTATTCTTCTTGCTGAAGGCTTTCACATTCCTGGGATTGAAAAAAAAAAATTCTTTCTATTTATCCCTGAAAAGCCAAGCTGTCCTCTAACCAGAAAAAAAGGAAAAACAAAAACAAACAAACAAACAAACAAAAACACTTGCAAAGACTTATTTTGAGCATCTCAGGGGGAAATGGTATAGCTCAAAGAGAGGCATCAGCAATGGCCTCAGGCTATACAATTTGAACAATGTATTTATTTATTTATTTTTATTTTTATTTTTTTGAGGCAGAGTCCCACTGCATTGCCCAGGCTGGAGTGCAGTGGTGCAATCTCAGCTCACTGCAACCTCCACCTCCCAGGTTCAAGTGATTCTCCTGCCTCAGCCTCCCAAGAAGCTGGGATTACAGGCTTATGCCACCACGCCAGGCTAATTTTTGTATTTTTAGTTAGCGATGGGCTTTCACTATGTTGTCCAGGCTGGTCTCGAACTCCTGACCTCAAGTAATCCTCCCGCCTCTGCCTCCCAAAGTGCTGGGATTACAGGCGTGAGCTACCCACCTGGCTGAACAACGTATTTAATTTATCAGTCTCTGACGGACTTTCCATTCTCCTCTCTAACAATGTTGCTATTTTCACCATCAAAAACAGGCTGTCTTGTCCATTGCTGTTCTAAAAATAACAACAGTAAATTAGAAATAGCTTACATGTCCATCAACAGGGAAATGGTTAAACTACAGACTACTATGCAACAGTTTAAAAGAATGAGGGTGAAATTTCTACCAACATGAAGAGTTTTCAAAGTCCTATTGTTAAATGAGAAAAGCGAATTGAAAGAAATTATACTATGTCATCAAAAAAATATTTTTTTTGAAACAGGGTCTCACTCTGTCACCCAGCTAGAGTGCAGTGGTAAGGTCATAGCTCACTGCAGCCTTGAGCTCCTGGGCTCAAATGATCCCCCTGACTCAACCTCTCAAGTAGCTGGGACTACAGGCACATGCCACCACACTCAGCTCACCAAGCTTTTTTTTTTAAACACACACATCAGCGGGCCATGGTGGCTCATGCCTGTAATCCCAACACTTTGGGAGGTCAAGGTGGGCAGATCACCTGAGATCAGGAGTTCGAGACCAGCCTGGCCAACATGGTGAAACCCTGTCTCTACTAAAAATACAAAAATTAGCCATAATCCCAACTATTTTGGAGGCTGAGGCAGGAAAACTGCTTGAACCCAGGAGATGGAGGTTGCCATGAGCCGAGATTGCACCGCATCCTCCAGCCTGGGCAACAAGAGTGAAACTCCGTCTCAAAAAAAAAAAAATTAAAATTAAAAAAAAATTAAATGAAATAAAACACACATATCAAAGATATGCTTTACATATATGTAAAATCATACAAAATAGATCTAGAAACACCACACTGCTAACCGTGGCTACTTCTGGAGAGAGAATTAGGACCAGAGGCAAAGGGGTAAAAGGTTACTTTTGCTTTGTCTGTATTGAGAACAACAACAAAAACCCCTCAAATTATGGCCTTTTCTCTGGGAAAACAAAAAGGGAGACGCTCACCATTTATTAACTCACATTCTGGTGGATCTCTCATATTGTTGGCTTATGGGGTCATAACCTCCAAGGGTAGAACCAGTGCCTTTGTACTTTACATAATCTGTGTCTCTGTTGTCCAGTATGATTGCTACATGTGGTTACCGAGCACTTGAAGTGTGGCTAGGCTGAATTGAGATAGACTGTAGGTCTAAAAATACATGCCATAAATCAAAGATTTAACATGGAAAAAAGTAAACTATCTCATTAATAATTTTGTATCACATGTTATTACATGATATTATTATTTGTTGAAATGGCATATTAAATAGAATATACTATTAAAATTAATTTTACTTGTTTATTTTACTTTTTAAAATGTGGCTGCTGGAAGAGTTTAAATTACATATGTATAGGTGGCACACATTACATATTTATTGGACAGTGCTGGTCTAGGTGATAAAAATTTTAAACCTGCTAATTACCTGAATAATTGTATAAATTACTGTATTTGTATCGTAAACAAATTTTTCCATCTAAGAAAAGTTAGATGCATGTTTCCACAACTTTGGATCCGTTTTGGCTGGTTTACATTCAAAACGTACACTGATATTTCCAGGACTTTAAACTGAGCTTCTGTTTTCCCATCTGTAATATTACCCACCTTGTAGTATGTTACAGTGATGTTTACAAGGGATCATCTACTCAAGTTCTTTAGTCTACAATTGTCTAAATGTGAAGTCCTCTTTGGGCTGGAAGCCTAAAGTATATTATGGTTTTACCCCTCCTTGTCCTTCAATGGCCCTACAAAAGCCTAATAAATGTAAGTGTCCTCCTCCTTCCTCTATTCAGTTGTAAGAAAGCACTCATTCACCTATCAATTGTTTCACGTGGATTTTTTTTTTTTTTTTTTTTGAGACAGAGTCTCACTCTGTCGCCCAGGCTGGAGTACAGTAGCACCACTTTGGCTCACTGCAACCTCCACCTCCTGGGTTCAAGCGACTCTCGTGCCTCAGCCTCCCAAGTAGCTGGGATTAAAGGCGCATAGCACCATGACCGGTTTTTTGCTTGTTTGTTTGTTTGTTTTGTATTTTTAGTAGACAGGGGGTTTCACCATGTTGGCCAGGCTGGTCTGGAACTCCCGACCTCAGGTGATCCACCCGCCTTGGCCTCCCAAGGTGCTGGGATTACAGGCGTGAGCCACTGTGCCCGGCCCCACCTGGATTTTTTTAAATGACTTTTTCCAAGTTAACTCCACTTAATATATTATCTCCTTCTGTTCTTTTTTTTGTTTCCTTCTTTTGGATTTGTTCATCATATTCTTATAAAATTAACACTTCATTCTCAAAGCTCCTTGTTCTCTAAGAAACCACCACCAGGTACCCACCTCCTCCCCACTCCCTCCCACTGTGTCCCCTGCAAATACAGACTTCCTAGAAAACCATTTCCTACAGCCTCAGTGATTTGGACATAGCTGTTTGTTTGAAGCAACCATTTCCTTACATGCTCTAATTTCACTTTCAGGTTATACGTCCTTGGTTATTTGGTTCTCTAATTACAGATCCCCTTTTCTAGAAAGGAAGTACAAAATCATTTTACCGTATGTTGTAGCACTGAAATCTGTTTCCCAATCTTTTATTATAAAAGAAGTTGAACTTACACTGTTTAAGATCTATTAACTTTCCTGCAGGCAAACTATTCTTCAATGTTTAAAAAAGTAATTGAGCCAGTCTTTTTCTCTCTCTCTAAAGAAAAAAAATGTTTTGCTCTAGTTCTCAGTTGAAATTTCTAATAAGGGGTCTTAGTAGACAAAAGGGATAACAAAACCTGACATGTGTGAGTGCTTATTATAAATTAAACATTGTATATGTACTTGATAGTTAATATTTCCAACAATGATTCCTAAACACTGCCTAGGGAGAAATTGCTAGGTGCGTTCGTTACCCTGTCTTCTATTTGTCCTTTTTTTGTTGTGTGCTCAGGAAAACCTCAGGGCCCGGGCTTCCCAATACTGGTTTCGAATATTCACACCCGAAGTCACTAATCTTTCTTGTGAACACCTTGTAGTTTGGCCCTTGATTAATTCAATCAGTGATTAGCACTTCTACAACAAGTGTTAATCTCTCTTTTGAAATACCTCTCAAAGCCCAACCCTTTACTGAGGATTTCTGCCCCAGTCAGAGTATACTGGAGAGGATTTCCCTATTGTGAGCAATATCTACAAGGCATTTCCCCTGCACACCACCAGTTTGGGAAAGGCCTGCTTCAAAGTCCTGTTGCACAATTAAAGCACAGAATTATAGGCTCAGGTTTGCACCTACTGCATGCGGTAGACTCCAGCTGAGCATAGCTAGTGATCCTGTTAAAAGCAGGGGCCAG
The DNA here is from genome assembly GCF_000001405.40 of Homo sapiens. Classification (NCBI taxonomy): domain Eukaryota; kingdom Metazoa; phylum Chordata; class Mammalia; order Primates; family Hominidae; genus Homo; species Homo sapiens. Next base: position 92,789,783 of record NC_000010.11, on the reverse strand, counting down.
GCTGGGCATGGTGGTTCATGCCTGTAATCCCAGCACTTTGGGAGGCCGGGGTGGGCAGATGGCTTGAGGTTAGGAGTTCAAGACCAGCCTGGCCAACACGGTGAAACCCTGTCTCTACAAAAATGCAAAAATTAGCCGGGCATGGTGGCACACAACTGTAGTCTCAGCTACTCAAGAGGCTGAGGTGGGAGGATCACTTGAGCCCAGGAAGTCAAGGCTGCAGTAAGCCAAGATCGGGCCACTGCACTCCGGCCTGGGTAACCAGAGTGAGACCCTGCCTCAAAAAAAAAGAAAAAGAAAAAATATTTTTTTGTTTTTTAAAGCAGGGGGCAGATTCTTTTGCAAAGCTGGAGGCCTTAATCAATAAGAAATAAAAATAATTTTAAAAAAACAGAAGAAGAAGAAAAGGAGCCAGATTCTTCAACACCAGGAGACCAAAACGAATAAACCTCCAGAGGGCACCCCCAGCAGTTCAGTCTGGGATGAGGGGACTCGAGGCCGGACAGAGCCGAGCTAGGCACCGTTCTTGGGTTTCCAGCCACCCAGATGCTCAGTTGCTCAAGTGTGACAACTAGGGCCTTCTCAGAAGCAGCCGGTACAGCCTCAAACGCTTCAGCTGGCAGGTGTGAAGGCCTCCAGCTCTTCGAGAGCAGTTTTCTTCCTGACAATGGGTGTCTATCAACTAACAAATAAAATTTGAGATGGACCCTGCAATTGTCCTTCCCATTTTACAAGGGAGGATATGGGTTTGCCTTGACCACTGTCTAGGCTCACACTCCGCAAGTGGCAAGCCCTGAGAAGACACCCCACATGAAGAAAGACAAACACAACCAGCTAACTTCTCCTCTTGCATTTGAAAGAGAACAGCTTTGATCTTAGTTTCATGGTAGGTGGTCAGCTTTCATTGATTTCAACTTTTTTTTTTCTAAGTTTCCCATAAAGGAAAATTTCTCCATCCTCCCCACTACTTCCAGAATACTGGGGGATTTCTCTCAACATAAAAGAATGTTGGAGTCTTTTAATTTCTAAGGGATCATGGCAACCAATTTGAATATTTTTCTCTATAGCACAACAGTCATGTCACAATCTTACCTTTAGAATATGTTTTCATTCTTCCCACTCATCAACTCTTTGACATAGGTACAGAAAATATCTTCATCCTATTTTGCAGATCTGAAAGTAGAGGCCCAAAAAGATCCTGTGTCTGACTTAAACCACACAGCCATGTTACTGAGTGGGGCTGAGATTTAAACTCAGGTCCCTCCAACTTCCATGGCCAAGACCGTAACTACCATGCTCTTAGCCACCATAATCAGGAGCCCTGATTGGGCTTCTTCTCAATCAGTGGGATCAAAACTTGGTGTGAACTAATTCTTAGCAGCAGAGCAACGACTAGAAAACAATTGGCAGGCATCCACAGCTGCACCAGGCCAAAGAGAGTATGTATTTGTCCACAGCCAAGCCAAGGGAATGGAAGAGCCCCAGAGCCAGGCATGGTGGTAGCAGCCAGTTGTACAAAGACCCATGGAACTGGGGCCAAAAGGAGTGAGAATTCCAAAGGAAGTCAAGGGCAGCCATGAGTGAACATGTGCTTTCATTACGCTTCCCTTTCATACTCTCCTAGACCAGATGAACCTGGACCAATGAATGGTTCTTGAGCTTTATAGTAAGATCTCTGAGGAAGGGTTGGGGGTGCTTATTAAAACACAGATTTCTAAGTCCACCTTATTCCTATGAATCAAAATCCCCGAAAGTGAGACCCCAGAAGCTTGTGTAAACAAGCTTCCCAGGGATGCCGACCACACCTGGAGAAGCAAGGACCAGATGGCAGAGGCGGGTCTGCAGGTGTGTGTGGCTTCCTGCAGTAAAGACAGCTCTGCCTGCTCCTGCATTTAGTTAACAAAAGCAGATGAGCAGGAGAAAGTTTCTCATGTGCTGAAACAAGAAAAGAGAAAAGAGTTACTAAAAGACGTGTGAAAGCGACAGGAGCAAATGTCCCAACCTATCCCAGAGAGGGCTTCAGCAGCACGGAGGCACAGGTGTGGTGAGGTCAGAGGGAAGACGCCGCCACCTGGGCATTGTCTACCAAAACCAGGCAGTGCAGGTGACAGGTTCCTTGCTGCAACGGGAAGGGGAAGCAGATGAGAGAACAACAGCAAGGAAGAAGCTTGTAATACGTGTTTTACCTCAGCTGTCATTCTAACTGCTGCACACGCAGGCACACAAAACATTTTTTTAAGTTTTTGTTTGTTTGTTTGTTTTTGAGACAGCCTCACTCTGTCGCCCAGGTTGGAGTGCAGTGGTGCAGTCATGGCTCACTGCAGCCTCTATCTCCCAGACTCAAGCAATCCTCCCACCTCAGCCTCCCGAGTAGCTAGGACCACAAGTGCATGCCACCACGCCTGGCTAATTTTTAAATTACTTGCAGAGACAGGGTCTCCCTATGTTGCCCAGGCTGGTCTCAAACTCCTGGGCTTAAGCGATCCTCCCACCTCAGCCTCCCTAGTAGCTAGGACCATAGGTGCACGCCACCAGGCCTGGCTAATTTTAAATTTTTTTGTAGAGACAAGGCTTCCTGTGTTCCCCAAGCTGGTCTCAAACTCCTGGGCTCAAGCTATCCTCCCAACTCAGCCTCCCAAAGTGCTGGGATTACAGGCTTGAGCCTCTGTACCTGGCTTTAAGTTGTTTTAATAGCAGCAGTGGAAGCCTTCACACACTAGGAAAGAATAATCTGTGTTTGCTGAGATGGGTAGGCTATGGCAAGGCTCAGCCTTAGCCACTGAAAGAAGGCATTTTTCAAAGGCTGACTGGGGACATTAGGAATTATTTTGGAGAATTAACAGGAAGACAGGACTGCACTGATACTTTATATGCCCTCTTACTGTTGTCGTTGTTGTTGTTGTTGTTTTTCAGTCTCCCAATAGATAGAAAGTCCTCTTGTTATAGACTGAATTGTGTTCCCTGAAATTCATAGATTGAAGCCTTAACTCCCAATGTGACTGTATTTGGAGATTGGGCCTTTAAGGAGGTGATTAAGGTACATGAGGCTGAAGGGGTGGGGCCCTAATCCAATAGGATTGAAGTCCTTATAAAAAGAAGAAGAAACATCAGAGAACTGTCTCTCTCCATCCTGGCACAGATGAAAAGCCATTTGAGGACACAGCCAGAAGGCAGCTGTCCGCAAGCCAGGAAAAGAGGCCTCATCAGAAGCCAACCCTGGAGGCGCCTTAATCTTGGACCTCCAGCCTCCAGAACTGTGAGAAAAATAAATTCCTGTTGTTAAAGGCACCCAGTTTGTATCATTTCTTACGGCAGCCCTAGCAGAAAAATACACCTCTCTGAGCCTCAGATCCTTCATCTGCAAAATGGGGATAATCACATTACCTTTGCCATCGAGTTACTGAGAGAATTAAGTGAAATAATATGTGTAATAATGTGATATATGTAATAGGTTAACTGGCACACAATAAGTGCTAGTTATTATAGCCCATGTCATAGGATTGTTAATTGGACTAAGTGAGATAATCAATGTGATACTCTTGGTACAACAGCTGCACATAGTAGGTGCTTAATAAATTGTAACTATAAACACTGTTATAAACTTTTATTCATTTATTTATTTATTTATTTTTCAGACAGTCTTGCTTCATCGCCCAGGCTAGTCTTGAACTCCTGGCCTCAGGTGACCCACCCGCTTCGGCCTCCCAAATTGCTGGGATTACAGGTGTGAGCCACCATGGTCAGCCTATAAACTTTTAAATAACTTTAAATGCAATCATGTTGCTAAAACAACTTGCAATCAAATGCAGCCATGGTGCAGTCACAGCTCCCTGCAACCACTATCTCCCAGGCTCAGGTGATCCTCCCACCTTAGGCTCTTGAGCAGCTGGGACCACAGGTGCATGCCACCATACCCAGCTAATTTTTAAATTTTTTTTGTAGAGACAGTGTCTTCCTGTGTTGCCCAGGCAGGTCTCAAACTCCTGGGCTCAAGTAATCGTCCTGCCTCCGACATAAGTAAATGTCATGATTATTATATAACAGCTACCCTTCCAAAATGCTTTCAAATTCATACAAAAGGTTGAAAAAGAGCTACATGTTGACTATGTTATAAAGGAGAAATGAAGAAGACCAGTAAGCTTAATTTTGGTGCCCACGAAAATACAAGGGAAAAAATTAATACAACCAATTTTCAAACACCTCGAGAGATCAGAGTGCACAATACTAATTTTATTAAGAAAAACTCTGGTCAGGCTAAGAAGACGGATTATCCAGAGCAGAGCAGCAGCAGAGCAGAACCGACCTGGCTAACTGTAGTGAGACTTTTGTCCCACATCCTTGGGTTTTCTAAAAGGTCAGGAAACAGAAGTCCAGTGACATTGTTCTTGGCTGGAAAGGCAAAGATTCTCATTAAATCAAGGAACCGAGGAGAGTTTTGAGAGGTCAGTCCTGGGTCCAGTGCTATTTAAAGGGTCCATTAGGGAGGATTCAGGAGGAAAGAAGGGCACTGCCACGGCTGTGGAGAGGTCGGCGGGCAGGGGTTGCACTGACAGGCACCCCACCTTAGCAGGTGCCATCCCACCTCCCTCGGAGCTTCCCGCCAGCTGGGGAAATATTGGTGTGGAATTTCCAAGCTTGTTAAAGCAAGAGCCACAGGAGGCAGAAACAAAGACCAGATTTGTACTTCTTCCCTCGCTTCCTCGTTCACTCTTTCCTTCATCCACACGTTTGCAGAGCATCTCCTAAGTGCGAGGCTCTGTGCTAGGCAGGAAATAAAACCAAATCCTTGCTTTCAATGGAGGGAGAGGCGGACAATAAAATTATAAGTAGAGGCCAGGCATGGTGACTCACACCTGTAATCCCAGCATTTTGGGAAGCCAAGGTGAATGGATCACCTGAAGTCAGGAGTTCGAGACCAGCCTGACAAATAGGGTGAAACCCCGTCTCTACTAAAAATACAAAAATTACCTGGGCATGGTGGCACGTGACTGTAGTCCCAGCTACTTGGGAGGCTGAGGCAGAAGAATTGCTTGAACCTGGGAGGTGGAGGTTGCAGTGAGCTGAGATTGCATCACTGCACTCTAGCCTGGGTGACAGAGAGAGACTCTGTCTCAAAAAAAAATTATAACTAAATGTGTGATAAAATGTCAAGATACAGGCTCGGTGTAGTGGCTCACATAAGTAATCCCAACAACACTTTGTGAGGCCAAGGCAGCAGAATCGCTTGAGCCCAGGAGTTCAAGACCAGCCCGGGCAACATAGCAAAACCCTGTCTCTACACAAAAAAAAACCCACAAAAATTAGTTGGGCATGGTGGTGTGCACCTGTAGTCTCAGCTACTCGGGAGACTGAGGTGGGAGGATTGCTTGAGCCCAGATATAAAGGCTGCAGTGAGCCATAAGGGTGCCACTGCACTCTAGCCTGGATGACAGAGTGAGACCCTGTCTCAAAACAAAACAAAACAAAACAAAACAGTGGGGATATGGAAGGTGCTATGAAGAAAAATAAGACAGGTAAGGGAATAGAGAGGGATGGGGCAATGAGGTGCCATCTTAGATGAGTTGGTCAGAGAAGCCTTCTCTGAGGGAGTGAAGTTTGAGCAGAGACCTGACTGAAAGGACAGAGCAAGCCATGTAGATCTCTGAAGTAAGAGAACCACAGGTAAAGGGACCAGCAAGAGGCAATGCTCAGGAAAGGAAAGGAGTGTAGTACCGGGGAAACAGCGTGGAGGTGGGTATGACCAGAGTAGAAAGAGAGAAGGAGGTGGGTTGGAAGACCTATCTGGGGGCCAGATTATATATGAGAGCCTTTTAAGAGGGGCCTTATTCTACATGTGTTGGAGAGTTACTGGGAAGCAAGTGAAGAGGCTATTGAAGAATCCCAGGGAAAGATGATGAAAACCAAGACCAGGGTGGCAGAGGTCAAGGGAGGAAGAGCAGACTTGGAATATGGCTGTGATTGCCTAGCACATGACACAGACATTCATTTTAGAATAGAAGGATGTCTTTTCCCACAAAGCTATATGGATAATAAGTTAACAAGTTCTCTCTCTCTCTCTCTTCTTTTGAGACAAGGTCTTGCTCTGTCACCCAGGCTGGAGTGCAGTGGTGTGGTCATAGCTCACTGCAGCCTTAAACTCCTGGGCTCAAACTATCCTCCTGCCTTGGCCTTCCAAGTAGCTAGGATTACAGGTGTGTGACACCATGCCAGACTAATTTTCTTTGTTTTATTTGTAAAGATGGGGGTCTTGCTATGTTGTCCATGCTGGTCTCAAACTCCTGGCCTCAAGAGATCCTCCCACCTCAGCCTCCCAAAGTATGAGGATTGCAAGTATGAGCCACTACATCCAGCCACAAGTTCTCTTTTAATTATGTAAATCATTGTTCTAAAATTATTTTGGGAAAGAAAATTAAACTAACTGGCTGGGCATTGTGGCTCACACCTGTAAGTAATCCCAGCATTTTAGGAGGCTGAGGTGGGCAGATCATTTGAGGCCAGGAGTTTGAGACCAGCCTGGCCAACATGGTAAAACACTGTCTATTAAAAATACAAAAATTAGCCAGGTGTGGTGGCATACGCCTGTAGTCCCAGCTACTCAGGAGGCTGAGGCACAAGAATCACTTGAGCTTGGGAGGCAGAGCTTACAGTGAATCGAGATCATACCACTGCACTTCAGCCTGGGCAACAAACAGAGCAAGACTGTCTCAAAAATAAAATAGCCAATTTGTGACGTTCTGGTCAATAATAAATAGCTATCATTTTTTAAGCTGTTTAAAGTATGACAAGACACTGGGTTTAATAGTCTTGTGTATATTAATTATCCTGTTGAATTCTTACAAGAATCCCATGAAATTGACACTATAGTTAGTCTATATTTTACAGATGGGGAAAGTGAGGCTGACTTAAAGAGTTAAATACCTTCATAAAGGTCACACAACAGAGTGGGATTCAAACCCGTGTTTGTCTAACACCAAAACTCACCATCCTTCTACTTGTCATTTCCCTGTCTCCCCTGCCCCAACTTTTTGTTGTCATCTGGGCATCCCATTTCCACTGTTTCAGTGTAGTAATATTTGAGAATACATACATACCACCAGCAATAGCCAGGATGTGCCTATTGATGACATTACTGAATCTATTTCTTTAAAAGAGGGATTTATTTATTTATTTATTTATTTTTATTTATTTATTTATTTATTTATTAGATGAAGTCCAGCTGTGTCACCCAGGCTGGAGTGCAGTGGTATGATCTCGGCTCACTGCAACCTCCGCTTCCTGGATTCAAGCAATTCTCATGCCTCAGCCTCCTGAGTAGCTATGATTACAGGCACATGCCGCCACGCCTGGTTAATTTTTGTATTTTTAGTGAAGTCAGGGTTTCACCAGGTTGCCCAGGCTGGTCTCAAAGTCCTGACCTCAAGTGATCTGCCGGCCTCAGCCTCCCAGTGCTGGGATTACAAGTGTGAGCCACTGCGCCCACCCTAAAAGAAGGATTTTAACCTAGCATCCATGGATCCCTATGTTGGGGATGAGAGTGTCCATGGATTGTTTATCAAAATGTGTGTGAATCCCTAAAACTGTGTGCAAAATTTGGGGGATATAGTGTGCATTTTTGTGGAAAGAGAGTACCTAGCTTTGATTATGTTCTAAAAGTAGAACATGAAGCCAGCACTTAAGAGGTGATGACTTACAAACCACCATTTCCTAGTCTGTACTGTTTGGCTGCTTTTTCATTTCAGATTATTCTAGTTTTCTAGTCACAGGGCATTTTCTCAGAAAGAAGGAAATTTTTTAAATGAGCAAAAAATATTTAAAGGTCTCTTTTTCTCCTCACCATCTTACGAGTTTAAAGGCATTCTTTATTGGTGATAGTGTTGCCGTTCCTTCTTTTCACTTGCTAGAGCTGGAAAGTTAATGCTATTCACTTTGATATTCCTTAAAAGGTGCATCTTCTCCTGGCTTGACTTTTTTATTCTATACCTAAAAGACAGGGCTCCTTTGACATATTCTTTCTTACCTATACAGCCCAATTTCCATTTTGTCAGTGGAATTTTCTCTTATCACTGAAACGGGAAAGGTTCCCTTGTCCCCCAACTGGGTGTGTGGTGGGGGTGGGGGTCGCTTCTTCAGTGCCCTGCTGCTCAAACCTCTAGGGGAGCATACAGATGGGCAGGCTGTGGGGTTCCGACCCCATGGCAGTGTCTAGCGGCGAATGTTTACAGCTCCTTAAGCCCCAGTGGATGTGTGTTACAGGGTACTCTTAGTTTGCCATCTATGGGCGGCTTGTGTTAGCTTAATTAGACCCTCTACCTTGTTGCAAGGACAGAGGGCTTTCTGTACCCCGGGGTTTCTTGCCTTGGTGTACTGGAAGAATTGGACCATACCTAGGCTTGGAGAATGAGTGCAAAGATTTTTTTTTTTTTTTTTTTTTTTTTTTTTTTTTTTGAGATGGAGTCTCGCCCTGTTGCCAAGGCTGGAGGGCAGTGGTGCAATCTCAGCTCACTGCAATCTCCCCCTCCCAGGTTCAAGCGATTATCCTGCCTCAGCCTCCCAAGTAGCTGGGATGCACCACCATGTGCCACCAGGCCTGGCTGATTTTTGTATTTTTAGTAGAGACGGGGTTTCACCATGTTGGCCAGGCTGGTCTCAAACTCCCAACCTCAGGTGATCCTCCCACCTCAGCATCCCAAAGTGCTGGGGTTATAGGCATGAGCCACCGCACCCAGCCTCTTCTTATATGTTTAATAGCTATTTGTATTTCTCCTTCTGCTTATATATTTGCCTATTTTCTACTGGGTTTTTGTCTTTTTCCTATCTTTTTTTGAGACAGAATCTTGTTCTGTCACCTAGGCTGGAGTACAGTGGCATGATCATAGCTCATTGCAGTCTCAAACTTCTGGGCTCTAGCAATTCTCCTGCCTCAGCCTCCAAAGTAGCTGGGACTACAGGTGCATACCACCACACCAAGCTACTTTTTCAATTTTTTGTAGAAATGAGGTCTCACAGTGTTGCCTAGGCTAGGGATGGTCTTGAAATTCCTGGGCTCAAGCAATCCTCATTCCTCAGCCTCCCATAGTGCTGGGATTATAAGCATAAGCCACTATGCCCAGCCTCTTATTTTAGAAGTTCTTTAAGTATTCTAGGTGTCATTAATTTATTATTTATTGCATTGCAAATATCTTCTTCCAGTGTGATTTTTTTTACTTTGTTTTGGTATCTTTGGGCATGCAAAAGTTTTATATTTTAAAATAATCGTATTTGTCCATTGTTTTCCTTTATGGTTGATTTTTTTGAGTTTCACATTTAGATATCTTTAATCCACATGGAACTTATTGTTTGTGGTTATGTGGTAGGAGTCAAAAATGGTTTTTCTGTATTCTGTATGGATAAACAATTGGGTCATCATTTATTGACTGGTTCTTTCTTTTTCCTTACTGATTATAATGTCTCCTCTATCATATATCAGGTTTCTTTTACCTCTTTTTTTCTGGGAGACAGAGTCTAGCTCTGTTGCCTGGGCTGTAATGCAGTGGCACAATCATGGCTGACTGCAGCCTTAAACTCCTGGGCTCAAACGGCCTCCCACCTCAGCTTCCCAAAGTGCTGGGATTACAGCTGTGGGTCACCACACCTGGCCAGTATCTGGGACTACAGGCATGCACCCCTATGCCCAGCTAATTAAAAATTTTTTTTGTAGAGGCAAGGACTCACTATGTTGCCCAGGCTGGTCTAAACTCCTGGCCCCAAATGATTCTTCTACCTCAGCCTCCCAAAGTGCTATTATTACAGGATAGATATCTTTAGATATTTGGCTTTATTTCTGGGTTCTCAATTCCGTTCCATCTGTCTATTTGTCTCTCTCAAGGTAAAAATGATATTGTTTAACTACTGTAGCTTTATAACAAGTTTTCATGTCTAATAGGATGAGTACCACTATGTTATTTTTCAATATTGTCTTGATGAATCTTGGATATTTGCTCTTTCATATGAATTTCTGAGCTCCTCAAGATCTATGAAAAACTGTACAGGAATTTTTATTTTAATTGCATTAAATTTATAGATTAAATTAGAAAAACATGACGTTATTTTCATAATGAGTCTTCCCATTTATGAGTATGGCATATCTCACTTGATTTAGGTCTTCATCTCAGTCCATTTGTGCTTTTATAACAAAATATTTGAGACTGGGTAATTTATTAAAAAAACAGAAATGTATTTCCTCACAATTCTGGAGTCTGGGAAGTTTAAAATGAAGGTACAGGCAAGTTCAGTGTCTGGCGGGGGCTGGGTCTCTGCTTCCAGGATGGCACCTTGAATGCTGCGTCTTCACACGGAGGAAAAGGAGAAGAGATGGAAAGGTAAAAAGGTGCCTAAGCTAGTTTCCTCCGGCTCTTTAATAAGGCACTAATCCATTCATAAGGGCCAAGGCCTCACGATGTAATCACCTCCCAAAAAGACCCCACCTCTTAATACCACCACAATAAGGGTTAAGTTTCAACATGAATTTTGTAGGGGACACACATTCAAACCGTAGTATCTTTTGAGAAGGGTTCATAATTTTTGTCATAAGGGTCTTGCACGTTTTCTGTAAATTTTATTTGTAGATACTCTCTGTATCCTCATAAAGTTTTCTTGCGAAAAAGTAATGAGATATACCATGTAAAAAGAGCCTGGCACATAGTAGATAGTATATAAATATAAATTCCATTCCCTTACTTGCTCATATTTTGTCTTACATTACTAAAATCAAATAGAAAGGTCTAAAATTTGAATAATACCTTCCATAATGAAAATTTAAAGTATGCATGAGAGGAAAGAAAAAGGGAGTTACCCGGCTGTCTTCTAAATATAAAGTGCATCACAATGAGAGTTGGGACATTGGTTAAAGAGATGATATAAAGTGTGTACCCATGAACGGTGGAACTTCAATCCTTACGCCTAGAAATCACACTCTGAGTTTCACCACCCGTGCAATTGTTCATATTCATTTATTCATTCCCCATTAATTGGAGTCCTCCTATGGGCAAAGAACATGTACATGTAGCATACATTATTTTATATCTTCAAGAGCAATTTGATCACTGGTTCCACACGGGAAATTTATATTCCACACAGAACTATATAGCGGCTAGTAAATGGTGTATTTACTAGCCACTATATACACTTAATAAATAACACCTACTATAGAAATTCAAAAAGGTGAGGCAAAGTGTTTTGTTTTTTTTTAATTAACACCTACTAGATGCATGGTGTCAACTCCCACCCCCAGGAATGTAACTTTCATTCTCAGGTTGGAATTTTTGTCAGTTTTATCCACTGCTATATCCCCAGCATATAGAATAGTACTTGACATAAATGTTTGTTGAATGAGTCAATGAATCTTTTACCTCTGTAGAATTTCTATGGTAGGTAGACTTTCTTCCCATTTGAGTCTTCCTATTTCCCTAAACTTGTTGAAATCTGTTCATTGTCTGAGGTTCACATGAGGCTTAAAATTGTGAAATAAAGAGAAGGATGCCAGCTGAGTTTAGTCACCTTAAGACAAATGATAACACACAGAAAATGACGCTCAGGACATTTCAGTCTAGGTCATGTCAAATGGACCTGAACTAAAGTGTAATAATGTGACCAGGCACCATGCTAAGCACATTACATTCATAATCTCATGTACTCCCTCCAATAACCAAAAGAGAAAGGTATTATTACCCCTGTTTTATAGATGAGGAAATTAGGATTTAGAGAAGACAGTTTATCCAAGAATCAGTCACCCAAATAGTGAATAGTAGAGCCAGGATTCAAAATCAAGTCGTCCAACTCCTAAAAAAATGCTCTGAACCACTTTGTCACATTACCTTATCTGAGAGCCAAAGCCCCTGAATACGAAATAGACCAATACAGAGGGGTCTTGAGGTGCAGAACCAACCAAATCACCTAATCCTGGAGTCATCTTGATCCATATGTCAGAGATAGCCAAGGCCCAAAGCTCAGATTATCATTCATAGACATCCAACACCGCTGGTATCCGGCTCTCACCAGGAAAGGAACAGACCTTCCCCACTGACCAGCTATTACCTTTTTTTTTTTTTTTTTTTTTTTTTTTTGAGGCAGAGTCTCACTCTGTTGCCCAGGCTGGAGTGCAGTAGCATGATCTCTGCTCACTGCAACCTTCACCTCCCCAGTTCAAGCGATTCTCCTGCCTCAGCCTCCCAAGTAGCTGGGATTACAGGTGTGTACCACCATGCCTGACTAATTTTTGTTTTGTTTGTTTGTTTGTTTGTTTTTTAGTAGACATGAGGTTTCACCATGTTGGCCAGGCTAGTCTTGAACTCCTGACCTCAAGTGATCTGCCCACCTTGGCCTCCCAAAGTGCTAGGATTACAGGCATGAGCCACTGTGCTCAGCCCAGCTATTACTTATTTTCACTATCACCCCTGTGAATAGCTTCTATTCATGATATCATAGTAGGTCATTGGAGATCAATAATATTTGAAATCATGCTAGCCAGACATATTTTAATTTTTAAAAAGTTTTTATTATAGAAAATGTCAAACATATTGAAAAGGTGAGGGAAATACCTATCCCTCACTTTATGAATTTAGTCCATTCCTTATAATGTTTTCCCTAAGAGAATAAGGAAAACAAGTTTAGATAAGTATATTAGTTTGCTAGGGCTGCCATAACAAAGTACTACAGACTGGGTGGCTTAAACAACAGGAATTTATTTTCTCATAGTTTTGGAGGCTGAAAGTCCAAAATCAATGTGTTGGCAGGGTTGTTTTTTTCTGAGGCCTTTCTCCTTAGCTTCTAAGTGGCTGTCTTTTCCCTAGATCTTCACACTATCTTCCCTCTGTACATAAAGTGTTCAGATTTCCTCTTCTTATAAGGACACCACTCATATTGGATGTGGGTCCACCCTGATGACCTTATTTAACTTAATTACCTTCTTAAAGACTATCTCCAAATATAGTCACATTCTAAGGTTTGGGGTTAGATCTTTATCATATGAATTTGGGGAGGGACACAATTCAACCTCTAACTCTAAGTAATTAACGACAATTGGAAATAATAATAAACACCACTCATACGTAAACTGTAACATAATGGAAGTTCATTGTACTCACTCGAAGAGGAAGAAAAGACTTGATGGGGGTCATAAGGGGTGGAGAGAGGAGATAAGAAGTCTTTTTTATTGGAAGGGGCAGTTTCTGCACCATTTTTCTCCACTATTTTTTCAAACTTCGGGGTCATCTTACACTCAAGCTGCACTTAAAAATTAAGTTATGGCATAGAAAACCATGTTGAAAGCAAAGAAAAAGCAAAAAGCTAAAGCCAGAAAAGAGCACGTGTAAGAAACAGACCTAAGAGTGGTCAGTGGTCCTGCATCTTCACATCTTTCTTGACATCTACATGTAAACCAAAATGGTTTGGGTTCATCCTAAAATGGTAGGCAATGCAAATTTGTTGAGTAAATTGGTGAATGTGTCTTTACCTAAAACCATAATGTTGAAATAGCACTTCTTGTGATGTATTTACTTAGAGTATGATGGGCTGAAAAGTCATTACCAAAAGAAAGTGGGTCATTGCCCAAAAAGAGGTATAACTTTTCAAGAGCTGCTGTGGTAAAAAGTGATTAGTTGAGCAGTCATTATTTAAATCTGTACACTGAGCTCTCATGCTTTAATTCACCCAGCTACAATCATTAACTCATGGCCAATCTTGTCCCATGTACCCCCTCACCCAGATTTCCCTCCCTCAAATTATTTTGAAGCAAGTCTAGATCATATTTTATCTATAAATCAGAATATTTTTAGAAAAGAAAATTGCTAAGCTTTTAATAGATTACATGCAAACCACAGTGCGCTAAAAGTTCTACAAGTGTTGTCCAATATCATGTTAATCTCCTGGTAAAGAATCTTTTTAATGTTTATGATTTAGATATGGTTTCAAAGTTCAACTCTGTCATTTATTTGCTATATGATTTTGGCAAATAATGTAACTTCTCTGAGCCTCAGTTTCCTCATTCAAAAAATGAGGGCTGATAAATGTATTTCATAAAGTTGTATTGAGCAAACTAAATTATATATAATGCACTTACCACTGGCCTGACATCATGTATACATAATAAAGGCAGCTATTTTTTTCTTTCAGTGTCTGGTACAGAGTAGATGCTGAATAAAGTGTTGTTTACCATACAGTTATTCCATCCTTTTGAGAAGCTTCTGTGACATCTGATGAATTTTGCTGGTACAGTTACTGATGCCTGACTCTGCTAAGATTGCATGACTCTAAATCTAGAATCTTCTCCCAGGGTGAATTCTCCCTGGGTACAGCTCAACCGAGCAGTCAATTCCCTTTCCTTTATTCCCTCAAGGTAATTAAAAGTAGGTAGAGCACAAAACCTAGACCTCAAGTTGAAACTTGAAAGAAAGAAAAACAGGCAAAGTAGAAAGAATTCACCAAACTATAGCCTAGCAAATAGAAGGTCTGAAAATAGCTCCTTATATTAAGCATGAGCAAGATTTTCAAAAGCAGTATGGCAGCTATGCAAATATGCTGCAGCAAAGAAAGGAGAAAAAAAGAGTTCGAAGATACTATGATAATAGAATGAGATGAAATGAAATATAGAGGTTAAGGAAACAAATCAAAGGCCAAAGTAATATTACTGAAGAACTATTGAATAAACAGAATCTACTGGGAAAATAATATACATTTGCTTACAATTGAATTGTTATTATTATTATTATTATTATTATTTTGAGACAGAGTCTTGCTCTGTTGCCCTGACTGGAGTGCAGTGCTACAATCTTGGCTCACTGTAACCTCCACCTCCTGGGTTCAAGCAATTCTTGTGCCTTAGCCTTCCAAGAAGCTGGGATTACAGGCATGCACCACCACACTCAGCTAATTTTTGTATTTTTAGTAGAAATGGGGTTTCACCATGTCTGCCAGGCCAGTCTCGAACTGCTGGCCTCAACTGATCCACCCATCTTGGCCTCCCAAAGTGATGGGATTGCAGGCATGAGCCACAGTGCCCAGTCTAAAATGAAATTATTAATGCAAACAATGGGCTTCAGTTTTGCTTTTTAACAAATGCCAGGAAAAATGCAGAGACATTAAAGTAAATATAGAGAAAACAGAAATGGAAGACAGACAAAAACAAGCCAACAAAAGATAACTGATGTATAAGTTGCAAAGGAAAAAATGATATAGCACAAGCAACATTGAGATATATTCTGGTTGTAACTGAACCTTAAATATAAACAGTTCTTCACTAATACAAGCAAGAAAAACAAGCCATTTACAAGGATGTTTTGTTGTTTGTTTGTTTGTTTTAGAGATGAGGTCTTGCTATGTTATTCAGGCTGGACTCAACTCCCAGGCTCAAGTTATCCTCCTGGCTCATCCTCCCAAGCTGCTGTGACTACAGGCATGCATCACACCCAGCTTAGGATTTTTTTTTCTTGGTAGAGACAGTCTTGCTATGTTGCCCAGGCTGGTCTTGAACCCCTGGCCTCAAGCAATCCTCCCACCTAGCCTCCCAAAGTGCTGGGATTGCACACATGAACCACCATGCCCGACCTCAGTTGATTTTTTTTTTCTTTTTGTAAGCCACATTGGCTTCAAGCCCTCCCTGGTCTCATTCCATGTCAGAAGGAGTGGAACATGCTTATAAAGACAAGTTGTCATTCATGAATAAGAGAAACAAGCAAACATCTCAAATATGAAAATAGACAAGCTCAAGTCAAATAGCACACATAAACCCTTTGTGGAAAAAAAAATCCAATGATGACTCAAACTAACAAGAAGGCAGATAAAAAAGCCATGGTAAGAGACAAAGTTCAGCACCTTATGCCAAAAGACAATGGAGAAATAGCTACCAAATTCTGAGAGAAAGAAAGAGTGACTCAAGAATTTTGTATCCAGGCAGGCTACAAAGTAGTAAAGTAACAGAAAGACATTCTCAGGACTCTAAGTATTCAAGGACTACAACTTCTACAAGCTCTTCTTGTGTGTGTATGTTGGAGGTAGGGGAGTGGAGGATAGAAGGGGTAGTACTTGATGAGGAAATTGATACAAACCAGAGAGAAATTAAAGAACTCTAGAATGGAGAAGACATGAAAAGAGGCTGGTATAGAGCACTGAATCCACTTAAATTTAAAACAAAAGCTAACCAACTATGGAATCTATGGTTGCAAGACAGAATGTAAATATTAAAAACCTAACCACATAAAATGAAATGAACCATCTAAAATCAGCAGCAGATAGGGGAGATTGAGAATATTTAGTGTACTAACATCCTCAGCTCTCCTAGGAATGCATCAAAGATGCTCTCTAAAAGTGTAACATGAATGTGGCAAAAAAAACACATAATTCAAAACTCATATTGCTTATTATAATTTTTCTTAACTTTAGAATGTCTTTAAAGAACTAATGTTCCTTGTGATAAATATTTATTTCAAATGCAGTAATTCCTTCAGTTTCACTTTTGATACAGTATAACTTTGGTTTCTTTTTCTTTTGTCAAATTGAAATAAGATTAAGTGTAATATTGTTATTAAAATAGCATATCTGGAATGACCCCATTTCTGTCCAGTAGTCCTTTCTCTGTATGTGCATAAGATGCCTGAGCAATGTTCTCTATGAACAAGGATTAATGGGTAGGATTGGGAGTAATTTTTATAATTTTTTACTTCTTTTCCCCTACCTTTGCTATCTTCTCCTTCTTTTTCTTCCAGTGAACCTGCATTATCTTTATAAAGCAGCAATTGGTATTTTGAAAAATAAAAATGAGCATGGAAGAAAGATGGTCAATGCACAGATTTTTTGTCACAACTTACCTGGTTATAAACACAGAGACATGACCCTAACAATTCTTACTCACATAAGGATCTGTAAATAGAAAACACCAGTTGTACAGAAAATGCCAAGCAAGCTAATGGTAATGAAAATGATAATGGACAAGGAAATGAGAGGACAACCTGAAGAAGTGGTGCAAACTTTGGTTTGGGAGTCAAAAGACCTGAGCCCTTTTTCTGGTTTAGACACTTATTCTTGGTATCACTTTGGATAGATCATCGAATCTTTCTGATCACCAGGCCCAATACTGCAATATTTTCTCACTTTTCATGAAGGTCTGGAAAATATATACATATGTGTGTATATATATATGTGTGTGTGTGTATATATATATATATGTGTGTGTGGTGTGTGTATATATATATATATATTCTAGTCTCATTTTTCATGAAAATCTGGAAATATATATGATATTTAAACTCTGGCAACTAACCCAAAATATTTTAAACATTTATAGCCTGAACAGAGCACATCTGGATCCATATATAGCCTGTGGGCTTACCAGTTGGTGATCTACACGGAAGCTACAACTAATGGAAGCTCTTCAGTAGTCTACTGGAGCCAGCTCATACAGGCTTACAAGAGCCAATTGTATGTATTCTTCCCAGCTCTATGTCTAATGACACCACATTGATAGACTGAAATCAGCCACAATGGTAGTATTTATACCATGGAAATTAGTAAATACTACAAGCCAGTCCCTCACCCCCAACCCTCCATCCCTCCCCAGGCCCTTTTCCCATACAGCTGATTATAAAACATTTACCAGAATGCCACTGTAGCTATCTGTCCCAGCTGATCCTAAAGTCGTGGTACTGTATATCTGAACTAGAAGAGACCTAAGATATTCTGCCAGAAAAGGAAACTCAATTGAACTAGTTGGGGCCAAAAGAGGGGATATAATTGAGAAAGGGGTTGAACTTCCAAACCTTAAGAAAGCCAGGGATATGGTCTCCTGATTAATATAGGAGGAAACATCAGACCCAAATGTCACCCAGAAATCCTTCTCTCTCCATCACTAGTGTTGGCCTCTCTCTAGGTGTTAAAGCTTCATTCTCTCCTTTGGCTCCTCCCCTGTGGCAAGGATCAAGGCTGGGGACAGCAAAGAGAAGCCCTTGCTCCCTTGAGAACATGAGTCTGCTCCTGGCACATACGGCCCCTTCTTCCTCTCCGCTGAGTGTACAGCAGCTTGGTATGGGTCACAGGCTGGGTTTCAGCCCTCATTGACCCCCATGTGGCCTATGTGCCAGGCAGAAGTTGCACAGCCATACACAATGCTCCTATATGAGCACATTCTCCAAAGTGGTGCCTTTTCAATAAGCTTTAGCTGAGATGTTGATGTAATGGTGTTAAGAGTGTGATGAAAGGCAACAGGAAGCCGGGTGATGGCTCACGCCTGTAATCCCAGCAGTTTGGGAGGCCGAGGCGGGCAAATCTCCTGAGTTCAAGAGTTTGAGACCGGCCTGGGTAACATGGTAAAACCCTGTCTCTACTAAAAATACAAAAAAATTAGCCAATGTGGTGGCTCACATCTGTGGTCCCAGCTACTCAGGAGGCTGAGGTGGGAGGATCTGTTAAGCCTGGGACATGGAGGTTGCAGTGAACCAGGATTACACCACTGCACTCCAGCCTGGGTGACACAGCGGGACCCTGTCTCAAAAAAGAAAAGAAAAGAAAAAGAAGGGAGGGAGGAAGGAAGGAAGGAGGAGAGGGAAGGGGAAGGGAGGGGAGGGGAGGGGAGGGGAGGGGAGGGGAGAGGAGAGAAGAGGAGAGGGCAACAGGGAAGCCAGAGTCAGTTACTTCAAAATAGAGCTCAAACATCTGTGATTTAAATTGGAAATTTGAGAGAAGGAGCCTCTACTCCCCATCTGTCGCCCAGGCTGGAGAGCAGTGGTGTGATCTTGACTCACTGCAACCTCCACCTCCCAGGCTAGTTTTTGTATATTTAGTAGAGACGAGGTTTCACAATTTTGGCCAGGCTGGTCTCGAACTCCTGACCCCAGGTGATCCACCTGCCTCAGCCTCCCAAAGTGCTAGGATTACAGGCATGAGCCACTGCGCCTGACCCCATCTCCCTTTTTTAAAAATAAACTTTTTGTTTTAGGATAATTTTAGATTTAAGAAAAATCGCAAAGATAGTTTAGAGGGTTCCCACCCCTAGAAACAGAATGGCTGATGAAATATTTTTGTAACCTTAAAACTTAAAAAAGTATAAACAAATGATTTTACTTTGTATTTAGTTCATTAGTAGAAAAGACGGTGAAAGTCATCTTTAAAGTTTAGAGTCTTGTGCTAAGTTTGTTCAAATCTGTTTTGAAATATTCACCAAATTGATAATTCCCCACACCTACCTTCCTATAGTATCTTGTATTGAAAATAAAACCAAAGGAAGAAAAAGGCTGTTAATAATCATGACAATGGCCCGGCACGGTGGCTCGTGCCTGTAATACCAGCACTCTGGGAGGCCAAGGTGGGTGGATTGCTTGAGCTCAGGAGTTCAAGACCAGCCTGGGCAATATGGCAAGACCCCGTCACTACCAAAAGTACAAAATAATAGCCAAGCCTGGTGGTGTGCGCCTGTGGTCCCAGCTACTTGGGAAGCAGAGGCGGGAGGATTGGCTGAGTCCAGGGGCAGACGGTGCAGTGAGCTGAGATCACACCACTGTACTCCAGCCTGGGTGACAGAGCAAGACCCTGTCTCAAAAAAAAAAACCAAAAAATTATTTTAGAAAACAACAAAAATAAATAAATAAGTAAATAAAATAAAACTAATGGGAACTCATTAAAGGATTTTAAACAAGGGAGTGATTTAATCTTGCACATATATTTAAAGGAATATTCTGGTTGGAATGTAAAGAACTGAATGGGGAGAGAAGTCAAGGACCGGATGTGGTGAGAACAGTTAGAAGACAGCAGTTCAAGTGAGATGGGCTGGGCTTGGACCAGGTGGTTGGATGCTGAAATGCAGAGACATTTTATCATTTGGGATTTGGAGTAGCCATAACTGCAAACTCCAAATTACAGCGGCTTGGACAAATAGATATTTATTCCTCTGTCATATAATTGAAGCCTGTACATAGTCAGCCTAGAATCTGATTGGTGGCTCCACCGTTCTTAGGGACCAGATTCCTTCCATCTTATTTCTCAACATGTGACTTCCACCTCCCAGTCCAAGGTAGTTGCTCTAATTCCAGCCACCTTGTTTACAGTCCAGCCAACATGAATGAGGAAGGGAGGAGAAAAGGTATGTTTCTCTCTTTTTAAAAAAAAATCTTTTTTTTTTTTACTTCTTGCAGTGGTAGCATGACTGATGTCCCTCCCTTTAAGAGCATTTCTATAAATTATATGTGACACTTTTAGTTACAGCTTATCACACAGAACTTAGTCACATGGTGCCATCCAAATGCAAGGAAAGATGGAAAATAAAATGGTTACTCTAGGTTACTGCAGGTCTGGCTGAAAATCAGGAGTTCTACAACTAAGAATGAAAGGAACAACGAACATTGAGGAATGGCCAACATCTTCCGCAATAGAAGTAGACAAAGTTGAGATATGTTTCGCAGGTAAAATTAGCTGGATTTGATAGTTGATTTAATGGATGGGTGGGGGGTGAAGAAAAGAGAAGGAACAAACCTGATTCCTACTTTTCTGACATAATCAACTGAATAAGTGATAGTGCCTTAGGGAAATGGGTAAATAAAAGGAGAGGCAGATGTGAGGCACAGAACAAAAATTAACTGCTGAGAATGTGTCCACTCAGCCCTCAAACTTATAAGGGAAGCAATTTATCAGCTTTTTTGTGTACCCTTCCAGAGATATTCTATGCCCACACAGGCATGTGTTTGTATACATTTGTGTATGATCTATGTGTACATAGACACATTTTTTGCTTTTACAAAAACTGATAGTGTTTAATTACACCATTATACACCTTGACTTTTTCACTTTGTATGCCAACAATATAGATCAATAATTATTTTTTGGCATTTGTCTTTTAAATCATGTAGGAAATAAAAAGTGGAGATACAAACTAAAAATACATTAATACTGACTTTTATATTTACTTGCATACTTACCTTTACCAGAGATCGTTATTTCTATTTCTTAACAATTCTTGGTTCACAGGTATTTTTTTTTCTTTCAGTGCTTTAAATATATCTTCCCACCGCCTTCTGGCGTCCATGGTTTCTGATGAGAAATTGGCTATTAATCTTATTGAGAATCACTTGAATGTTTCTTCCCACTTGCTGCCTTCAGGATTTTCTCTCTCTCTCTCTCTCTCTCTCCCTCCCTGCCTCCCTCTCTCTCATCTCTCAGCAGTTTGATTTTAATATGTCTTGGTGTGGATTTCTTTGAGTTTACCACACTTGGAGTTTGTTGAATTTCTTGAATGTGTAGGTTCATGCTTTTTATCAAATGTGGAAAGTTTTTGGTTATTATTTCTTTAAGTAATCTTTGTATCCCTTTTTCTTTCTCTTCTCTTTGTGAGACTCCCAAAATGCAGATGTTGATCAGGTGGATGGTATCCCACAAGTCCCTTGGGCTCTGTTCACTTTTCTTTTCTTTTTTTTTTTTTCAATTCTACTGATCTGAATGAATCATTTCAGTTGTCTTACCTTCAAGTTCACTGATTCTTTCTTATGCCTGCTCAAATTTGCTATTGAGTTCCCTCTAGTGAATTTTTCACTTCAGTTGTTGTACTTTTCAGTTCTGGAATTTCTATTTGTTTCCTTTTTATAACTTCTCTTTATTGATATTCTTTTCGTATTCATGTATCATTTCCCTGGTTTCTCTAGTTTTTTGTACATGATTTCTTTTAGCTCTATGAGCATATTTAAGACCATCAATTTAAAGGCTTTGGCTACTAATTTTAATGTCTGGTCTTTTTCATGGATGGTTTCTGTCCATTTATTTGTTTCCTTTGAATAGGCCATACTTTCTCATTTTTTGTATGCTTTGTGATTTTTTTGTTGAAAATTGGACATTTGAATATTATAATGTGGTAACTCTAGAAATCAGATTCTCTTCCATCCAAGGGGTTTGCTCCTCTTGATTGTTGAAGGCTACAGTTATCCACTTGTTTAGCGACTTTTCCAAACACGTTTGCAAAAACTGTATTCTTATGTGTGGTCACCAAAATCTCTGCTCCTTTAGCTGTGTTCAGCTAGTGTTTTCAAAGAGATTCCCTTGATGCCAGGAGATTAAAAAACAACAACAACAACAACAAAGAAACACTTTTCCCATTCTTTGCAGGTTGGCCATATTGGGGCTCTCCTTCAACACTTAGCCAGCCTTCTTACAGCTCTGCCTTAGCCTTTATTTGTTGCCTGCGCTAAGTCTAGAAGGTGAAAGCATAGGTGTTTCTCAGGGCTTTTCTGAGCATGCGTCCTATCTTGGGCATGTGTGTGGCTTTCTAAATTCCCCAGTTTACACTGGCTCTTTTGAGCGCCTTAATTTTCTTAAGAAAGTCTCTCCCCAACTTTTCCTCCCAGGCTTGGGGCAGTGTATTGTGTATCTCAACCATAATCTTTTGTCCCAGGTGGCTGCAGGTTTTTTGTCTACCTTATAATGTGAGAGCAGTGCCTACTGCTTTTCTGCCCTAAGTTCTAAGTTCAGTGAAACAGAGACAAGCACCTCGCATCAGACCTTCATTCACATAGCCTCCAGACAGTGTAGAATAGATAGACACAAGAATTTGTGAAGAAGGTTTCTTCCTGCTTCCTCCAGAACCAGGGCCAGGGTCCCACACTGGGAGCTTGGGCTGCTGTCTTCCAAACAGCCATCTCTCCAGGGAGTGGGTGGGGTAAGTGCAAGTAAAAATGCCACAGATATTTCCTTTTTTTTTTTTTTTTTTTTTTTTTTAACAGGGCCTCTCTCTGTCATCCAAGCTAGAGTGCAGTGACAACCTCATAGCTCACTGTAACCTCAAACTCCTGGGCTAAATTGAGCTAGAACTACAGGAGCACCACCACACCCAGCTACTTTTTTTTTACTTTTTGTAGAGATGGGGTCACACTATGTTGCCCAGGCTGGTCTCAAACTCCTGGCCCCAGTCAATCCTCCCGCCTCAAGCTCTGAGATTATAGGCATGAGCCACCGCACGCACTCTTCTTACCATTTTTAAGTTGCCTTTCTCTTCATTCAGCATTCACTTGATTGCTTTGGATTTTTTTTCACTCTTTTCCAGAGTTCTGACAACATTGGTTTTGACAGTGTCTGGTTTTTAAAAAATGTTTCCTGGAGAGAGAGATGTTTGGAACTGCCTATACCATCATATTGATGATGTCACCTTTTTGTAAGCTTTTGAATTTGGATTTTTAAAATAATTTCAGGCTGTTATAAGGTTGGAAAAAACAGTACAAATCACTCCTGTATATGTTTCTGTAGTGTCCTAAATTTTCACATCTTTTTAAAAAATAATCTCAACTTTTATTTCATTTTATTAATTAATGTATTTATCTACTTTTGAGACAGAGTCTCTCTCTGTTGCCCAGGCTGGAGTGCAGTGTCATGATCTAGGCTCACTGCAACCTCTGCCTCCCGAGTTCCAGTGATTCTCCCACCTCAAACCTCACGAGTAGCTGTGACTACAGGCATATGACACCACACCCAGCTAATTATTGTATTTTTAGTAGAGGTGGGGTTTCACCATGTTGGCCAGGCTGGTCTCGAACTCCTGACCTCAGGTGATCCACCTGCCTCGGCCTCCTAAAATGTTGGGATTACAGGTGTGAGCCACGCGCCTGGCCCAAGAGGTCTTAAGATTTGCATTTGGGAAGCTGAAGGCCCAGTAGATCCCATGCTATCGGTTCCAGTCTAAGAACAAGTCTGAAGGCAGGAGAAGACCTATGTTCCAGCTTCAAGACAGTCAGTCAGAGAGAGGAAACTCTCCCTTACTCTGTCTTTTGTTCTATTTAGGCGTTCAACATATCAGATTAAGGTTACATATATTAGGAAGAACAACCTGCTTCACTCAGTCTACCAATTCAAATGTTAATCTCCTCCAGCAATTCCCTCACAGATACACCCAGAATAAGGTTTAATCAAATATCTAAGCACCCCTCGGACTAGTCAAGTTGACACATAAAATTAATCATCACATTTGGATTATCAGTTTTTCTACTAATGTTCTCTTTCTGTTCCAGGGAAGAATCCAGGATACCATATGACATTAGAGGTAGCTCTTCTTTTATGTGATTACTCCCCCACTAACCCATATCACAGGGAATCCCATACTTTTCCTCTCTACACTAGAGCCTCACTAAACTGGTGATATGGTTACCAGTGGCTACCAAGTTTCACTTCTCACATGTTCCCACCATAAGAGAAGAACTGCTCATATTCTCTGTGGTTCAAACTCAAAAATCCTAGAGAAGAGTTTTGATGGACTCGTCTTGTAACAAATGACTTCCACTAGATCAATCAGACATGGCTACTGGGGTGCCACGCTTGTGAAGCAAGCTGTTCCTGCAGAAAGGGGACTCGCTGTAAACTGGGCAGTGACTCCAGCTGAAGTCCACACTACTAGTGACCAGCTAGCCCATTTACCTCATTTCACAGATGAGAAAACTGAAGTCTAAAGAGGTAAGTTACTTCCAAAGACCCAGAACTAGTCTTTAATAAAATGAAGGCTAAATCCAGGCCTAATTCCTAGTCCTAGCACTTTCCTTTATGTCCCCAGCACTACATGATTTGGGTATTAATCCCAAGAATCAAAGAATCTGAAATTAGAAATAACCTCAAGGCTTATCTAGCGCCTACTGGTGCATGAATTTCCCAGTGTATCCAAGCAGATCCCAGAGAAATGGGAGCCTTTCCTGTTTATTTTTCTCCAATATTGGAATTTCAAAGTAACTCACACTCAGCAGGTTAAGATGAAAACTATTTTACTTAGCACAGAATTAGGGGGGAGGAAGAGGATGTCCATCAGTAGGTTTGTTTTTTGCTTGTTTGTTTGTTTCAGACAGGGTCTCACTCTGTTGCCCAAACTGGAGTGCAGTGGAGTGATCTCCACTCACCGCAACATCTGCCTCCCAGGCTGAAGCTATTCTCCTGACTCAGCCTCCCGAGTAGCTGGGATTACAGGCACGTGCCACTACCACCTGGCTAATTTTTGTACTTTTAGTAGAGACGTGGTTTTGCCATGTTGGTCAGGCTGATGTTGAACTCCTGACCTCAAATGATCCACCAGCCTCGGCCTCCCAAAGTTCCGGGATTACAGGCGTGAGCCACAGTGTCCGGCCAAGTAGGTTTATTAAACAACCTAAGGTATAATCATGTAATGAAACATTATACAATCCACTAAAGAGAATGAAGAGATATGTATGTATTGACAGAGGAAGATGTTTCATATATAGCATTAAGGGAAAAAAACAAACTGATGAAAAAGGTGTGAACAGTGTAACCTCTTTATGTGGGAGACAGCAGGAATAGCAACTCACACTACACTGTCAATAGTTGTCATCAGTGGTACGTGGGATTACAGAGTATTTTTCCTTTTCTTCATTATACTTTCCTGTAATGTTTGAATTTTTTAAATAATGAGCATGGACCTTAAAAACATTATGCTAAGAGAAAGAATCCAGACACAAAATGTCACATACTGTATGATTCCATTTATATAAAATATCCAGAATCGGCAAATACCCAGAAAGGGAAAGCAGATTTGGAGTTATCAGGAGCTGGGGGTGAGCGGGAATGGGGAATGACTACTGAATGAGTATAGGGCAATGAAAATGTTTGGGGACTAGATAAAGTTGATGGCTCCACAACACTGCCAACCACTAAATGCCACTGGACTGTACATTTTTAAATGGTTAATTTTATGGTATGTGAATTTCACCTCAATTTTAAAAAATTCTTTCCTGAAGCAAGAAAATCCCAGGACCACATATACTCTTCTGTGGGGTATGGGCAAATTGCTTATCTTTGCTACATCAGTTAGTTCATCTGCAGCTGGTCTCTAAAATACCTTCGGGCTCTGATGCTATGATTCTGGGCACATTCAACTATAATTCTAGACACATTCATCCCTTTGTCATTTAGGCTAAGATCACAGAAGCTTTTTTTTTTTTTTGGCAGATATATCACACTGATGACGTAATATTAAGAGGGAAGAAGAGGTAAACCATCTTTTTCAAAGATCGTAAATGTATGGCCTCATCCAAGCCTAATAATGAATGGCAAGTGACTAGAGAAAGAGAATAGGAGAAAGAAAATCAAAGGCATAAAGGCAATAATAATCAAAAGTAATACGTATTGAGTGACTTCCATGTCTGGAGTGTCTTCCAGACATTATTCTAGATGCCTAATAAATACTTATATTTTTAAAGGCAATCCTTAAAAGAGAAAATTAAAGCTCAAAAAGGGTAAGCAACTTGCCAAAGGACCCACAATCAATAACTAAAAAGCGTAGTGTTAAAATTCGGGCCGGGCACGGTGGCTCACACCTGTAATCCCAGCACTTTGGGAGGCCAAGGCAGGTAGATCACCTGAGGTCAGCAGTTAGAGACCAGCCTGACCGACATGGTGAAACCCTGTCTCTACTAAAAAATATATAAAAAATTAGCCAACCGTGGTGGTGCACGCCTGGTAATCCCAGCTACTCTGGAGGCTGAGGCAGGAGAATCTCTTGAACCCGGGAGGTGGAGGTTGCAGTGAGCCAAGATCACGCCACTGCACTCCAGCCTTGGCAACAGAGTGAGACTCCATCTAAAAAAAAAAAAAGAAGAAAGAAAGGAAAGAAGTTCAGGTATATTTATACTGTAGAGTTCATATTTTTCCACTTATCCATGCTGTTTTCCAAAAAGAAAAAGGAATCAAGGAAAACAACCTGGTGCTGAAGGCAAGGAAATACAAAAACAAACTGTAAAAAAAAAAAGTGAAAAAGGAACAACAAAAATCCAGGATTACCCTGTGCTTATAAGTGGCCCTCCCTGGGCACATTTTCATCCTGACCCTTGGGCATACCTTCTGTCTAGCTATGGTAAACTGTTCTTTCACTATAATCTGCTAAAAACAGTTCCACGGGCTTTAAATAATCTTACACCACTATTTCCATAAAGGAAACTAAGAATTATTACAGAGCTTGGATATTATTTTATCCTTTCATTTTAAAAATGAAAGGAGCTAAACAAAAAAGAAGTAATCTCCAAAGTAGATAAATGGAAAATAAAGAAAAATAATTACAGGACGGGCACCGTGGCTCACGCCTGTAATCCCAGAACTTTGGGAGGCCAAGGTGGGCGGATCACCTGAGGTCAGGAGTTTGAGACCAGCCTAGCCAACACGGCGAAACCCTGTCTCTACTAAAAATACAAAAATTAGCCAGGCCTGGTGGCCGGCACCTCTAATCCCAGCTACTCAAGAAGCTGAGGCAGGAGAATCACTTGAACCCAGGAGGCAGAGGTTGTAGTGAGCCAAGATGGTACCACTGCACTCCAGCATGGGCCACAGAGTAAGACTCCATCTCCCAAAAAAAAAAAAAAAAGAAAAGAAAGAAAAAAGAAAAGAAAAATAATTACAAAGAATAAGTGGTACTTAGAGCATAAAATATTTAAACAATGCAAGTGTACAAGTGGTTAAGATAAAGCAGCAAAGGTACCATCAAGCAATTTGAAGAAGTTGAAGCAGGAAGGGAGCAGTAGAGACCGACCGTGGTTTTTCCCAGCATGAGAAGCTACTTGATAAAGGAAATTTAAAGTTTTGGGCAGTGGGGGCAAAACAAGTCCCAGACCTTCATTTGGCAAGGACACCAGATCACTTGCTGGTGAACAGTTTCTTGGCACAAATCAGGGAACAGCCAGTGGACAGACTGGCTGGTGGATCTGGAGGGAATCATTCCAATGGCTTCATACAGAACCAAAGAAGAAAACGGAAAAGGTGAGGTGGTCAATGGCTTGGGAATGGCAGATTTGTCATTTAGCCAGAAGGAAAATGCCTTAGAAGTTAAGTAGACACTAAAAACTTTCTCTAAGTGAACCTGTTTTCAAATCAAACTCAAGTTAGGAAGGAAAGGCTCAGCTAGGAGGAATAAAAAGCACAAAAAGCATGCACAGAGCCAAAGAGCAAAAAAGACCACTGCTTGCACAAGGATTTCACTGTCTGAAGCAGCCCAGTCAAGGGGGTGAGCATATTCCAAATCGAAACCATGCGGCTACTCATCAAGTTAGCTGCCTGCCGCAGGCATCTTTCCATCCAAATTGGAAAGGAAAAAGTAAAAATGTCTCTGTTCAGAGTATGACTATGTACGCAGAAAAGTCTAAGGAATCTACACACACAAAAAGCTACTAAGACAAACAGCAGGATACAAAGTCAACACACAAAAATCAATTCTATTTCTAGATGCTAGCAACAAGAAATTGGAAAGGAAAAATTTTAAGTCCATATACAATAACACCCAGAAACGAAACAATTAGGAATACATCTGAAAAACAGCCGTCCAGGATTCTCTATTATTACAAATGAAAGCAAATACATTCCTCAGCCTAATAAACACCCAGCTTAGGTATCACTGTAACTGCTGTGTTCATCATGGGATAGGGAATAGGGGAAGGAGGGAAGTAGAGGGGAGTAACATTTACTTGAACTTTCATTTTGGAGTTGTAGAGAAAATAAGACTGGCTCAAGGGGCTGGGCGTGGTGGCTCATGCCTATAATCCCAGCACTTCAGGAGGCCAAGGCGGGTGGATCACCTGAGGTCAGGAATTCGAGACAAGCCTGGCCAACATAGCGAAACCCCGTCTCTACAAAAAATACAAAAATTAGCTGGGTGTGGTGGCAGGCGCCTGTAATCCCAGCTACTTGGGAGGCTGAGGCAGAAGAATTGCTTGAACCTGGGAGGCGGAGGTTGCAGTGAGCCGAGATCATGCCACTGCACTCCAGCCTGGATGACAGAGGAAAACTCCGTCTTAAAAAAAAAAAAAAAAAAAAAAAAAGCTCAAGGGAGAAGGATAAAGATCACCTAAATGATTCTGGAATGGACCTTCATGTCCATAGCCAAAATTGAGTGCCTTGGTACCCAGAAGATGCCAGCAAGACTCTGAAAGCAGAGAATGTGAACCTGAGGAGGTCTCTTAGTCTGATTAAAAGACATTTTGCTAGTTACAAAGGAGTAACTAAGATCCGTTTCTATTTCCTCTGACTGAGATTTGCTGACTCACAAGACATAAACAAAGCAAAAATACACTGTAACTGCCACCTCCCATTCTTACTCTGCCCAGTGAGAGAGAAGGGCACATCCTTGGCCCAGAAGAGATGAAGAGGGTTACAGTTTCTCATGTTTCCAGTCAGAACTCAGCATCTATCAAAAAAGGTAGATATTGTTACAGCCCTTAAGAAAACAATCTCCCTCATCTCATCTGGAGAAGTCTAGAAATTCCACCGGTGGACCCTGGCTGGCCTAACAGTGGCTACAAAGACCAGAGGCAATCCTTCTACCTTTGGCTGCCTGGAAAAGAAGGCCATGGAGCTATCCTACTTTTGGGAGCTGAGTGGTGGCATTATGACTTACTGAGAGTGGCCAGATATTATGGAGCTGGGATGCCCATGTTCAACTCATACATATAGCCTTTAAAGATACATCATTCAAAGCCAACAATCCTTATATTTTATTTTATTTTATTTTTTTGAGATGGAGTCTTGCTTTGTCACCCAGGCTGGAGTACAGTGGCACAATCTTGGCTTCCTGTAACCTCCATCTGCCGGGTTTAAGTGATTCTCCTCCCTCAACCGCCTGAGTAGCTGGGATTACAGACACATGCCATCACAGCTGGCTAATTTTTGTATTTTTATTAGAGATGGGGTTTCACTATGTTGATCAGGCTGGTCTCAAACTCCTGACCTCAAGTGATCCGCCTACCCCGGCCTCCCAGAATGCTGGGATTACAGGCATGAGCCACTGTGCCTGGCCCAATCCTTATATTTTAGGCACAGCATACAGCATTTGCCCCTAAATTCAAATTGTTGCATTACAATCAAAGTGCATGCGCCTGCTTCAACTAATTCAGGAGACGTGATAACTAAAGGGGAAATTTTTATTTAACATAGCAGATGCAGACCCAGGCACGGCGCCTCACACCTGTAATCCCAGCAATTTGAGAGGCCAAGGCAGGTGGATCACTTGAGTCCAGGAGTTCAAGACCAGCCTGGGCAACATAGCAAGACTCCTTCTCTATGAAAAATTAGCTGAGTGTGGTGGTGTGCCCCTGTGGTCCCAGCTACTTGGGAGGCTGAGGTGGGAGGATCACTAGAACCCAGGAGGTGGAAGTTGCAGTGAGCCAAGATCATGACACTGCACTCCAGCTTGGGCAACAGAGCAAGACCTTGTCTTAAAAAAAAAAAAAATAGCAGATGCATGGGCATCTTGGCTTAGAAAGGGACACGTGACCCAATCTTGGCCAATGAGACATGAGGGGCGGGGTGCTGATGTCTGCAAGGAAGCTGCTAGGAAGAATTTTACTCCATGATCAGAAGAGAAGCTTGAGAATTTGGGGGTTGGGGAATGGCTTTTTGGGTTTTGGAGGTGGTTGTTATGTGATGACTGGAACTATGGCAGCTGTCTTGAACCACAAGAGGACAAGTTGAGTAAAACATAGCAGAAAGAGTCTGTGTGCAAAATCAATAAGCCACTTCCCAGCCCTGGAATGCCCTACCTCCATCCAGACACTGTGTTTGGAATATAATAAGCAATAAATATAAGCCACCTTTTAGTAAGGATTCTGTATTTATAGGCCAAAACATCCTAACTGATGCTCAGGTCATTAAAAAGACAATTCAACTTTGTCCAACTTTTGTTCATTTGTCCAACTTTTCAATGGACAAACAATACAAACAGAAAACTCACAGAGGAGGAGATACAGGTAACTAAAACACATCTTTAAAAGATGTTCAGTTTTGTGAATAACAAAGGAAACACAAATGAAAACAAATTTTTTTGCCTATCAGCTCTATAAAATTTGCTAATACTAAGGCTGATACATGTTTGGGGAAACAAGACTTTTCTGACTTTTGGGTAGATTGCAAGCTGTTACACTGGTACTCAATTTAGCAATGCATGTTAAAATTTCAAGGGTATGTACCTTTAACCCAACAATTCTACAGAAATACACATAAGCACAAAAATGTTTGCACAAGGATGTTCAGTAGTACTGTACTGTTTGTTAAACCAAAAAAAAAAAAAAAGGCTGAAATAGTCCAAAGTCTACCAATAAGAAACTGAGTAAATAAATTATAGCACATTATTCTGTGGAATAGCCACAGCCGCTCAAAATAAGAAGGTAAATCTGTATATACTGACATTTAAATCTATACAACATATACTATGAAGGAAATCACGTAAGTTTCAGAAGAGTATGTGTACATCCCATTATCTTTTTCTTTTTTATGATGCTTTTATTGTACTGAAATAAATCTTAGAACAGCATACAACAAACAAATTATCATTAGTAGCCTTAATATGAAGGTCTGAAAATTTAAACTTTATACGTTTCTGTGCATAGGGGTGTGTGTATGTGTATGTGTAAAGAAAACACATTTATTGCTATTATAATTGGAAAAAAAGAAGTTTAATCTCATCAATCTAACAGAAAGTGCTGGTCTTCACTTAGCAGTCACAGTTATCCTAAGAGGGCTGTAGGCAAATGTCCCAATTCTATTCCTAGTCAAGGGGAAGCCCAGGATACCAGAGACACACAGGGAATCTGCGTCCTGCTTAGGATTTGAGGGTGAGGTGAAACTGACCCTGTGGCCATTAAGAGGAGTCTAAGAAACAGATCTGAGTGGCTGTGGCTATTCCACACTATCATGTGCTATTATACTAAGGGCAAAAGCTGAAAAGACAGCCTAAGAGCCCATGCCAGGGACAGAGAGGCAAAATCCAATGGATGGGAACCTGTGGCACCAACCCTAAGCCAGCAGCACTGAATGGAGGTGACTGGTGTCTCCAAAGTGATTCTCTAAACAGCTGAGGCAGAGTGTGGCTCACAGGACACCTGCCACCTCACGGTCTGGATCGGAGGAAGCTATGAAGATAGCAAGCTATCAGTGAATAACTGACGTATAAAGAAGCAATAAAGTCTCTCTGGCCAAGTGAGGCAAAAAAAAAACAGCAACAAACCCTTAGGCTGATTGCAATTTTCTATGCAAAATTGTTTCAGATTTTAAAAAAGAAAAAGAAAAACCATTTACCTTCTTAAAGCATACAATTTTTTAGGTGTAACTTAAATTTCTTTCCGGTCATAGGCCTGTGAAAGTTCGCATACTTCCTGATGCAAATCATTTTTTTAAGAGTGCCTCATTCTATTCCACTGGCTCAAAGAGATTGTACAGAATCAAGCTCTCTCCCTCTTCCTTTAACACCTGCTTTTGGTAAATGAGCATCATATGAGAGACTTGCCACAAAATGATACCCCAAACTCCTGAAGAATTGAGCTGAGAGGGAGAAGTCCGCTCCACCCTTTCTCTCTCCAGAAAACTGTCTGTCCAAAGCCTCTGGGGCAGCCAGCCATATCCTAGTGCAGCAGGGCTGGGTGAGAAGTCCTTTTTAGGCAAGGCATTAAAAAGAGTTGGCTGAGCAGATCTAAAAACCCTTGGTCAACAGGGCGGAGCCAGGCCTGAGGCAGAAGTATTACTTCACAGTTGCATTGGCTTCCTGTGGCCGCCAATAGAGGCAGCATCTGGCAGAAAGCCCACCACAGAGAAGAGGGAACTCCACGGAGAAGAAAATAGTAACGAGGCCCCAAAGGTGGAAGTACAGCCTGAGAAACTTTGCCCAGCCTGGGACTGGCTGCCCTGCCAGCTAGTCTTGCTGCTCTGCAGGGCCTGGGGCGTGGTATCCCCTCAGACTTTAAAATCCTGATATCCCTCCAATGGGGAGCACTTTTTATAAGCGCTCTTCATATATTCTTTAATCTGTGTCATTTATTCCATACCATGAAGCTATGAGGCAGGTGCTATTATTAACTTCATTTTTCAGATGGGAACACTGAAACGCAGAGGTGAAATAATTGCCCCAGGACACAGGGAAGTCAAGGTTTGAAACCCCCACATGGCCAGCCCTGAAGCCCAGACTACTGAGACCGCAGCAACTGAGTTCTCAAGTGAAAATCAAGAAGATGAGGTAAGGGTTAGTGCTACCTCCAACTGACACTGTGGATTGGGGCAATCTTGCCTCCTCCCTCATAGGTAATATTTTGGGTTTTCCTTCCTTGCACATAACCAGGCAAATGACTGCAATTCTAAAAAGATACAAATATAAAAACAAGAAGTGAAACAGTGCAGACACCTGAAACCCAAAACCCAACCATTTCTGAAAGCGCGAGCTAGCGGAGCTGCCGCACAACAGAAATAGTTGTGTCCTGTTTAGATAGGCTTTGTTTTGCTACATGGCTGCGTTTGCAGTGAAGTGATATCAAGTCCTGAGGGCCCACTCCTTTGATGAGTTAAACACACAAAGGCCTACATTTTGATGTAATCTGATAGCATGTAGCTAAGTCCTAGACAAACTGCAACTGTGAGGAAGTGATAAACCCAACTTCCTGCACAAAGCTGCCTGAGATAACACTTTCCATGGACTGGAAGGAAAAAAAAAGAGAGAGAGACATGATTGCTACAGAATTTTAAAGGAACTATTCCATTCTTAATAAATAACCTCTTTTTCATGTGGTCCCAGAAAAACGAAACAAAGCTGATTGTCATCCAATGACTCTGTCGTAATTCCACATATGATTTAATTCCGATTTTACTCAGGCAAAATCGGTCACTTGAGATTCACTTGCTTTTCTCTGTTAAGGATACTACAGTTCTAACTTGAAATCTCAGTTATCTTCTTAGCCAAGAGAATGTCTCTGAAATTTTACAAGAAGTCAGATTGAGAGAACTGAGGTTGCATTAACTGGCTCCTGGGGTTCTCACTGAGCCCCTAAAGAGGCCCATTCAGTTTGAATAAACACACATTGGAATCCTTGCCAACTTATCCAAGGGCCAATAGCTGTTTCTACAATACCAAAACAGGGTCAACGTGGCAATTTCACTAAGTGTTTATGTAGGTTGTGTCATATAGAAACAACCAATAAGAGCAGATTGTGCTGGGAATTTTCTGCGAATGCATTCATTCATTCATTTAGTAAATTTTTTTTTTTGTTTTTGAAATGAGTCTCACTTTATCACCCAGACTGGAGTACAGTGGTGCAGTCTCAGCTCACTGCAGCCTCCGCCTCCTGGGTTCAAGCTATGCTCCTCCATCTGCCTCCCAAGTAGCTGAGATTACAGGCGTCTGCCACCATGCCTGGCTAATTTTTGTATTTTTAGTAGAGACAGGGTTTCACCACGTTGGCCAGGCTGATCTCGAACTCTTGACCTCAAGTGATCTGCCTGCCTGGGCCTCCCAAAGTGCTGGGATTACAGGCGTGAGCCACCGCACCTGGCCAGTAAATATTGAGTGCTTACTACGTGCTAGGAAATGCAGTGGTAAACAAAAAAGAGATAGCCCCTGACCTCATGGACTTCCCAGTCTAGTTAGAGAAGCAGATATTAAACACGCAAATAATGTTAAGTGCTCTGAAGAGAAAGAATAGGGTGGTCCAATTTCCGTTTAGATGAGGTGGTCAGTGGAGGCCCAAATATTAATACCAGTGGAGGCCCAACTGATGATGTGGTATTCAGGCCTGAATCATCCAAACGACCAATGAATGAAGGAAGACAGCTCCAGTAGAGAAAACAGTCTATTCGCAAGTCCTGAGTTAGGAAAGAGTTTTGTGCCTTTGAGGAACTAAAGGAAAGCCTGTGTGTCCAAAATAAATTACATGAAGAGAGAGGATAGGATAGGAGGCTGGAAAGGAAGGCGGATCCAGAAAGTGCAGGGCCTGGTAGGCGTGAAGTGTGGCTTTAGACTGAGTGTGGTGGGGAAACATTGCACTAATACTGCTTGACAGGATGGGTGTGGTGGCTCACGCCTGTAATTCCAGCACTGTGGGAGGCCGAGGTGGGTGGATCATTTGAGATCAGGAGTTCGAGACCAGCCTGGCCAACATGGTGAAACCCTGTCTCTACTAAAAATACAAAAATTAGCCAAGTATGGTGGGACACGCCTGTAATCCCAGCTACTCAGGAGGCTGAGGCAGGAGAATCGCTTGAACCTGGGAGGCAGAGGTTGCAGTGAGCTGAGATCCCACCACTGCACTCCAGCCTGGGCAACAAAAGCAAGACTCTGTCTCAAAAAAAAAAAAAAAATGGCTGGGTGTGGTGGCTTACACCTGTAATCCCAGTACTTTGGGAGGCCGAGATGGGTGAATCATTTGAGGTCAGTAGTTCGAGATCAGCCTGGCCAACATAGAGAAACCCTGCCTCTACTAAAAATATAAAAATTGGCCAGGCGTGGTGGCAGGCCCCAGCTACTCGGGAGGCTGAGGCAGGAGAATTCCTTGAACCCGGGAGGCGGAGGCTGCAGTGAGCTGAGATCGTGCCACTGCACTCCAGCTTGGGCAACAGAGCGAGACTCCATCTTAATAAAAAAAAAAAAATGCTGTTGACCTCTCATCGTGTTCTGCTCCTAGATTGTTTTCTAGGCAAGGATCTCAAAAAGAATGCAGCAGTCCTAAAGGCCTTTGAGAAAAATTGTGAGATGAAATTCCTCCAGGTAATTTGGGACATCAAAGATATTCCCTTAAATTCAGTCAGTTCAGCCAAACCACACACCAGGATGGGGAAAAAAATCAGGACAATAAAAAAAATTAATCACTTGGATCACTTGTCATTTTACCATTTAAATATGATTCTAGAGTCACATGGTTCTTACATAGAGATAGGAAGTTAGCAGTCATGTGGACCAATTCTTTCTCATTTTACAAGGGAAGTAATTGAGGCCCAGAAAGCACATGGCCTTATCTCCTGGCTCCAGGCAATCTCCACCATATAAAGCTGCCTCTGAAGAACAGAAGTCAGGGCTGCCACACTTTCTTTCCCTTTCTCCTTCTCTGAGTGGGACCTAGAATTCAGAATCTGTTTCTAGATTGCTAAGTGATCTGTGGCATGCTACTTACCTCCAAGGCTTACTCTCTCTCTCTGATTCTTTATAATAATAATAATAATTATTATTATTATTATTATTTGTCTGGCGATGGGGGTCTCATTATGTTGACCAGGCTGGTCTCAAACTTCTGGCCTCAAGCAGTCCTCCTGCCTGGTCTGTGTATTGAGCTTCCACACTGGACTTCAGAGATTCCTTTGCTGAAGTTATTGGGATGGGAAAATCAACAGCTCAGTGTTCAGAATTGCACCAGCCAATCACTGAGGACAGAGGGCCTGGAAACCTGGGATTGGAAAGTGCAAAACTAATTTCAGGTTCTCCCCACTTTGAGTCTTCTCAATGTGTTGGTTTCATTCCACAATCAAATGTCCTAAAGGGCTTTAAGGTACAGGTTAATAAAATTTCTGTCCCCGCCTGTCATGTGTATTTCCAAGTCCTAACCCTTGTATCTCTGAGAACCTACTCTATGTAAGCCCCACTCATTACCCGGCCCTCAACTCTGGGGATTTTGAAGTGCTGGGTATGATTAGAAGTTTGCTTTTCATTCTTAAGCTCCTGATAAAAGATCCTACACTCCTTCAAGTGAAGGTGAAGAGCTTGCTGGTCTGAGATTGAATTGAGTCATTTAAAAATGTTGACACCTCCAGAACAAATCAGACTTTGCCTGTGCTATTCTGGTAGCTTTCCTCTTGGGGTTGACTGGACTCCTGCTTTATAGTCGCTGTCTGATCTTGGTAGGATTTCATTTAGTTGACCTCAGGCAAAATCCTTTACCTCTCTAGCCTCCACTCCCCTTTGGATGATGCCTTAGGCCCCGGCATTTCCAACATTCTACATGTTCAAGACAAATCAGGCCAGGCGCGGTGGCTCATGCCTGTAATCCCAGCACTTTGGGAGGCCGAGGCGGGCGGATCACAAGGTCAGGAGATCGAGACCATCCTGGCTAACATGGTGAAACCCCGTCTCTACTAAAAAATGCAAAAAAAAATTAGCCGGGCGTGGTGGCAGGCGCCTGTAGTCCCAGCTACTCGGGAGGCTGAGGCAGGAGAATGGCGTGAACCCGGGAGGCAGAGCTTGCAGTGAGCAGAGATCGCACCACTGTACTCCAGCCTGGGCAACACAGCAAGACTCCGTCTCAAAAAAAAAAAAAAAGACAAATCAAAAGGAGTTTCGAATCACAACAGACAGAGTCCTTAATACCTCACTTCCATTTTTTTTTTTCTTTTGAGATGGAGTCTCACTCTGTCATCCAGGCTGGAGTGCAGTGGCACGATCTGGGCTCACTGCAACCTCCACCTCCCAGGTTCAAGTGATTCTCCTGCCGCCTCAGCCTCCTGAGCAGCTGGGATTACAGGTGTGTGCCACCACACCCAGCTAATTTTTTTTACTATTAGTACAGGCGGGGTTTCATCATATTGGCCAGGCTGGTCTCGAACTCCTGACCTCAGGTGATCTGCCCGCTCCTGGCCTCCCAAAGTGCTGGGATTATCTTTATTTTTCACTTTTTATTTTTTATAGAGATGGGGTCTCGCTCTGTCATCCGGGCTGGAGTGCCATGGGCAATCATAGTTCTCCACAGCCTCGAACTTCCGGGTGATCCTCCTGCCTCAGCCCCCCAAGTAGCTGGGACTATTGGCATGTGCCACCAAGCCTGGCTAATTTTTAAATTTTTTATATAAAAAATTTGCTGTAGGGTCTTGCTATGTTGCCCAGACTGATCTCAAACTCCTGGCCTCAAGCAATCCTCCTACCTCGGCCTCCCAAAGTGTACAGATTACAGGTACTGGAAAATACCTCACTTTCTAGAATGGAAGAAAGAAAGGGAGGGAGACAGAGAGAGGAAAGAAAGTGGGGGAAGCTAGGGAGAGAGGGAGGGAAGGGAAAAAGAAGGAAGAGAGGGAAGAAGTGATCGGTGAACAAACTAAGGGAGGAGAAAGGGGGAGAAATCTGTGCTTTCCAAACCTCTCTGCAGCCTTCATACAAATATATCAGGCTTTTGTTGTGAATAAGTTAATGCTTATTTAGCTTTCAAAATACAGCTCAGTGGAGTATACCTAGGAGCCCTTTGCAGCCTTTGAATCTGGAAGGGAGGAAAGACATGTACGTCAGCAACTTCTGTTTAAGAAAGCAAATGAAACATCCAGAGAAAAATTGTTAGAGAGGACTGACAATGTTTTTATTTTACATTTGAAATACTTTCTATTTCATTGATTTTGTGAACTGTTGAAATTTATGAAAGGCATTTAGCCCAGTGCCTAGTACTTAGCAAGTGCTCAGTAAATGTTGACTATAATTTTTCCTAAAGCGGACTTTTGGTTCAGGCACCAGAAAGTGTGTATTCTAGACCTCTGAATAACCATGTGACCTTAAGTAAGTCTCTCTGCCTCTCTGGGTTTGTTTTCTAATTTGTGAGGCTGAACTGAACTAGAGGGTGAATAAGAGCTTTTTCAGCTGGTATTCCTCAATTCCATTTCTCCTACGTGGTGCCTCCATCGTATAATTCTCACATCGTATAATAAATCACTTACATAACTTGGAAGAACACTTCTTCCTTCTCAAAATTGGTGGGGTTTGGAGCATTAAAATTAGAAAGAAGTAAATGGGATTAACGTTCGCCTAAAGGACCAATTGTGAGGGCAAATTTT
Source organism: Homo sapiens (assembly GCF_000001405.40). Classification (NCBI taxonomy): domain Eukaryota; kingdom Metazoa; phylum Chordata; class Mammalia; order Primates; family Hominidae; genus Homo; species Homo sapiens. The sequence goes on along the minus strand of NC_000010.11, from coordinate 92,751,257 downwards.
GAGCAACTAATTAAAATGTAAATCCTCGTAAATTTCAACATAGCGAGTCTGATTCTAACACTGCATTGTGGTATTTGGAGGACTGTCAGCGTTTCCCCAAGCTCTGCTGGCTCTTAACCCAAATCACATTGTCCACTGAAGACTTAGTACTTCCTATAACTGGGTTTCGAACATCCTTGGGAGAGTGTCATTTCCCTAAGGGCTTTTCTTCCAGTTAAATTGTTTTTGCTTTCCCAAACTGTGTCAACACATCTGTTCTTACCTATCTTAAAATCTTCATCCACCCAACAATTCTCCAAAAGGAAGAGAGAAAAAAAAAAGCTATTGTGCAATGAAAAAAAATTTGGCAAATCTCATGAAAACACATTCTTAAAACATCTCTCATTTCTGAGAAACAAAGTAAAATGTATGAATTTTTGTTGTTGTTGTTGTTTGTTTCATGACTAACAAAATGAATCATTGCTACCAATGTAGTATTCTGACCATATAAAACAAGTATGAAGGAATGTTCAATTCGAAAAATAAAAATAGGCTGGGCATAGTGGCTGACACCTCTCATCCCAGCACTTTGGGAGGCTGAGGCAGGCGGATCACCTGAGGTCAGAAGTTCAAGACCAGCCTGGCCAACATGGTGAAACCCCATCTCTACAAAAATACAAAAATTACCCAGGCATGGTAGTGGGTGCCTGTAATCCCAGCTACTTGGAGGCTGATGTGGGAGAATCACAGAGGTTGCAGTGAGCCTAGATCGCGACATTGCACTCCAGCCTGGACAACAGAGCGAGACTCCATCTCAAAAAAAAAAAAAGAGAAAAAGAGACGTGATGCTATTGAAGGATGTGGTGACTGGAAGGGGTGGGAGTCATAAACTGAAGCAAGCCTCCAGGGTGATCTCCCACCCTGGGGGAGCAAGGTGGGTGATGGGGCCAGTCTCTGAGACCAGAAACTCAGGAGAAGAAACATCTTTAAGGAAAAGATAAATTCAATCTGGAACATTACACAAAGGACTTGGCCAGGCACAGTGCCTCATTCCTATAATCCCAGCACTTTGGAAGGCTGAGGTAGGATGATTGCTTGAGCCCAGGAGATCAAGACTAGCCTGGACCACATAGAGAGACCCCCGTCTCTACAAAAATAAGAAAATCAGCTGGGCATGGTGGCACATGCCTGTAGTCCTAGCTACTTAGGAGGCTGAGGCAGGAGGATGGCTTGAGCTCAGGAATTTGAGGCTGCTGTGAACCATTATCTTACCACTGCACTCCAACCTGGGCAACAGAGTGAGATCCTGACTCAAAAATAAATAAATAAAGGGACCCATAAATACCCAAATATGACTGCTGGGTAATTGGATCTGTCTCTCCAGAACTCAGAGGGAGAGAACTGGGTTTGAGAAACACCCTGGGGTATCATCATTGTAAGGTGGTATGGTCATTAAAGCCATGAGTTTGAATAAAGTTTCTCGGGGGAGGAGGCTAAGAAAGTGGCCAAGGGAAAGCGATGTTTAAAGAGTGCTATAGATTGAATTGTGTTCCCCTAAATGTTATGTGTTGAAGTGCTAACCCCCAGCGCCTCAGAATGGGAGCTTACTTGGACATAGAGTCAATGTAGTTGTAATTAGCTAAGATGAGTGCTATGCTTTAAATGTTGGTCCCGTCCAAAACGCACAGTGAAACTTAATCCCCATGGTGGCAGTATTGAAAGACGAGGGCTTTAAAAGACGATTGGGATTGGGTCATGAGGGCTCTGCCCTCCTGAAGGGACACTCCACGCCCTCACCATGTGATACCCTGCGCTGCCTCAGGACTCTGCAGAGTCCCCACCAGCAAGAAGGACTCATCAGATGTGGCCCCTTGACCCTGCATTTCTCAGCATCTAGAACTGTAGGAAATAAATTCCTTTTCTTTATAAATTACCCAGTTTCGGCCAGGCATAGTGGCTCACACCTACAATCCCAGCACTTTGGGAGACTGAGGCGGGTGGATCACCTGAGGTCAGGAGTTCGACACCAGCCTGACCAACATGGCAAAACCCCATCTCTACTAAAAATACAAAAATTACCCGGGTGTGGTGGTGTGTGCCTGTAATCTCAGCTACTCAGGAGGCTGAGACAGGAGAATTGCTTGAACCTGGGAGGCAGAGGTTGCAGTGAGCCGAGATTGTGTCACTGTACTCAAGCCTGGGCAACAGAGTGAGACTCCTTCTCAAAATAAATAAATAAGTAAATACATTACCCAGTTTCAAGTATTCTGTTATAAGCAACAGAATGAAGTTATGGTAGAGGAGGGGAGCTAATATGATATGACCGGTGTCCTTACAAAAAGGAAAAATTTGAACATAGAGGCATGTAACAGGGAGAACACCATGAGAAGATGAAGGCACAAATCAGGGTGATGCTTTACAAGCCAAGGAACTAGTCCTGCCAACATATTAATCTCCAAATTGCAAGCTCCAGGACTATGAAACAATACATTTTTGTTGCTGAAGACACACAGTTTGTAGTACTTTGTTATAAGGAAAAGCCCACAAAGAATATCAAGATAATCAGGTCCAAGAAAGGAGGAAAGCCAGAAAAGCATGGCATCATCAAGCCGAGAACAGGAAAGAGTCTCAAAGGGAGGTCATAGTCAACAAGATCAAGTGTTCCCAAGAGGTTGAGGAGGACAGAAAAGTCAGCCTTGGTAAAGCAATGGAGAGGTCACTGGTGACCTTGGGAAGGGCAGTTACAGTGAATTAAAGAGGTGGAGGACAGATTGAAGTGAGGAAGAAAAATAAACTTTCCAGACATTTAAGGAAGGAAAGAAGATAGGAAGGAAGTTGAAGAAAGATCATTGGGTCATGTAGTTTTTCCTTTTTTGTTGTTTTTTGTTTGTTTGTTTTGTTTTTTGTTTTTAAGATGGAGTTTCACTCTTGTTGCCCAGGCTGGTGTGCAATGGCACTATCTCAGCTCACTGCAACCTCCGCCTCCCAGGTTCAAGCAATTCTCCTGCCTCAGCCTCCCCAGTCGCTGGGATTACAGGCATGTGTCACCACACCCAGCTAATTTTGTATTTTTAGTAGAGATGGGGTTTCTCCATGTTGGTCAGGCTGGTCTTGAACTCCTGACCTCAGGTGATCCACCTGCCTCAGCCTCCCAAAGTGCTGGAATTACAGGCGTGAGCCACCATGCCTGGCCTATTTCTTCCTTTAATGGGAAAAATTTGGTATAGCTAATGGATGAGGATAACTAGCCAGTGGAGGGAGAAAGTGTGAAGAAGCATAGAGAAAGAAATAGATGGGGGGGAAGGTGAGGAGGCAGAGGGAGAAGAGGGGGAAGGGGAAAGTAGAGGTGGAAAGGGAAGGAGAGGGGAAGCAGAGAAGAGGCTGAGAACCACAGAGAAGCCATTCTGGTGGCTGGGCTGACAGTGGTAGTGGTGACAGCCACACCCGTTTCCAGGCAACAGTGGCAACAAGGCCAAGGGCAGGGTCTGGGTTCTATGAGGGCAAACAGCAGAGGCATCCAGCGATCAATGGTGGCAGCAGCAGGCTGGATTTATGGCAGGATTTTGACTATGGCCCTGGCTACTGCCCTTATTTCTATCTATTCTCTGAGCTGCCTTTCTAGCCTCTTTGGGGATTCTGGAAGCTGCCCACTGGCTTTTTGATCCATTCTTTTTTCTATTTCAATCAACTTGAGTCAGTTTCTGTTGCTTACAGCTGAGAACTTTACCTGATTCAATCACGTACAATGCTGAGCATTTTAGAAGGAGTTTTAAAAATCCTCCCAGCAAATCTAAGAAGTAGACTTATATTATCATCTCCATCTTCCCAATGAGGAAGCTGAGAGATGAAGAGCTTAGGTAATATGTCCAACATCACAAAGCTAGTAGGTAGCACAGCCAGGCTCATACCCAGGCCTATTTGCCTCCAAAGCACTTAACCACCGCAATCTCCTGCCCCTTCCTTGGGCGAGCTCTGTCACCTCCTGCAAATGGCGTTAGCGCACAGTGAAACCGCCTCCCTGTGTCCCAGCACTGGGGAAACACAGTTCTGACTGCTCTGAGGAGCTTGTTTGGTGAGCCCATTGCGCTGTTCCTCTCCGTTCCTGGCGAGCCTTGACACCAGTACCCTCATCTACAATGACACCCAAACTTCCACCTTGGCCTACAGTATCATGTAAGCAATTTGGAAATTCCTTCCAAAATAAGTTTCTAAAGCCAAGATCCCCATCCAGCAGACAAGGTTCTAGTTCTCAAAGCCTGGGCTAGAAGATCTTAAAGACTTGCCCACTAGGTCTTCCGATGGATACTATGACCACATGGCCTCATTCCTCCTGTGTCATTCATGTCCTCCGGAATGCTAAGATAAAGCCAGGAGAGCAAGAGGCTCACTGGGGAGAGGGAGACACCCGTGGAAGATAAAGGAGGAGACAGCAGAACTGGGAAGGGAGAGCCTAGGATCACAAGACAGATGTGACAGAATCTCAGTCAACTCCACAGGGAGACTTGGAGCAAAGATTGCTCATTTGAGAAGTCCCACATTAGACAGAAATAGCTAGGCCTGCACTCACCATGCTCTGTCATTGGCTAGGGGCTGACCAGGAAGAGCACAGCTCCAGCTTGAAAACTATGGTGGATTCCAAAGGTGCTGTAGCCAGGTACAGTGGCACACACCTGTAATCCCAGCTACTTGAGAGGCTGAGGCAGGAGGATCACTTGAGGCTAGGAGTTTGAGGCTGTGGTGTGCTATGATCACGCCTGTGAATAGCCACTGCATTCTAGCCTGGGCAACATAGCAGGACCTCATCTCTAACAACAACAACAAAATGGTGCTGGAGCTCATTACACTCCTCCCCACTGAATGTCAAGTCCATGGCCACAGCACCTAACACCCACCTTCTTTTCTCTTGGAATACTTGGGATGTAAAGAACTGTATTAAAGAACCCCATTCTGCTCCCGCTCCACCATGGTTATATTCCACAGCGCCTGCTCTGACCTGAATCTATTTGATTTTTTTTTTTTTTTTTTTTTTTGAGACTAAATCTTGCTCTGTTGCCCAGGCTGGAGTGCAATGGCATGATGTCGGCTCACTGCAACCTCCAACTCCCGGGTTCAAGCAATTCTCTTGTCTCAGCCTCCCGAGTAGCTGGGATTACAGGCGCATGCCACCACTCCTGGCCAATTTTGTATTTTTAGTAGAGATGGCGTTTCACCATGTTGGCCAGGCTGGTCTCAAACTCCTGATCTCAAGTGATCCGCCTGCCTCAGCCTCCCAAAGTGCTGGGATTACAGGCGTGAGCCACCGCACCTTGCCCCATTTGATCTGATAGACACAAATGATCCCAAGTCTTCAGAGATATATTAAATATAAAAGATTTGTTCCTCAAAATAATAGTATCAATAATTTTGTTAGAAGCCCCTATTATAAATATTTAATAAAAATTCTAATTCGCTAGCAGAACTCAACTCTTACAAACCTCTGAGACCTCCTCTCTCTTCGGCTAGTTGTATGCCAACATCTAAAGGGATCTCAGCAGCCTATATTTGTGTTCTTGGCCTAGCGACTTCCCAAAATGGCCCCACTATTTCCTGATAGAACAACACATGGGAAGACACTCAAGCTGAATGAAGCCTGAAATGGCCATTCCTTGGTGTGACTGCCTGCCTTATAGTGACTGCCATGTTTCAGTGCCAGTGAATCAAGTTTAGGAGAGAGAACAACTGTTCCTTTTGCAAACCATTATTAAGCCCCTGCTATATGTCAGGCACCATAATAGGTGCTAAAGTTACGGTGGCTGTGGTGGTTTTAAAATACATCTGCAGCCAGGCACGGTGGCTCACATCTGTAATCCCAACACTTTGGGAGGCAGAGGCAGGAGGATCACTTGAGCCCAGGAATTCTAGACCAGCCTGGGCAACACAGTAAGACCCTGTCTCTACAAAAAATAAAAAAGTAGCTAGGCATGGTGGCACACACCTGTAGTTCCAGCTACTTGGGAAGCTGAGGTGGGAGGAATCCTTGAGCCTAGGAGGTTGAGGCTCACTGAGCTGTGTTTGCCCCACTGCACTCCAGCCTGGGCAAAACAGTGAAGCCTTGTCTCAAAAAAATAAAAAATACATCTACAAATTATTTTACAAGTTTCCCTTCAACGATGGAGCCTAATTCCTCTTTCCCTTGAGTATGGGACAGACATAATGACTTACTTCTAACAAATAGAATGTGGCAATAGTGATGATGTATGACCTCTGAGACTAGGTTATAAAAGGCGGTGTGTGTCGTCCTCCTTGCTCTCTCTTGGATCAATTGTTCTGGGGGAAACCAACTACCATATCGTGAGGACACTCAAGCAGCCCTATGGAAAGGTCCATGTCATAAGGAACTGAAGCCTCCTGCCAACAGCCATGTGAGTGTGCCATCTTGGAAGTGGATCCTCCAGCTGCATTCAAGCTTTCAGATGACTACAGCCCAACCAACATCTTGATTGCAACTTCATAAGAGACCCCAAACCACAGCCATCCAGACAAGCTACTTCCAAATCCCTAACTCACAGAAACTGTGAGATCATAAATGCCTACTGTTTTAAGCCACCAAGTTTTGGGGTAATTTGTTATACAGCAATAGACACAGCGGGAGACAAGACAAACACAGTTCCTGTCCTCATTCTTGCAGCAGATAATAACCTGTTATTAAACAAATGTGGAAACAATGTGAGTCAAGTTGTGCCCAGCAAATCTGTGCAAGTGCTAGACTTTCCCACCAACAGGAAATGTGATCAGGAGATTTGTTAGATTATTGCATTGATTGTGACTAGAATATCAGTTTGGTGTCACCAAAAGGTACAGCCTGTCTTTATGCTATGATCAGCAGAGAGACTGCAGTAAATGGTGGTGGGGTCTGATATAAGATCCAGTGGATCTGGGTCAGAATGGGTGCCATGGCAACCCAAACCTCCTGAAACCAGGTGAAGGGAAAGCAGCAGCCCAGGCCCTTACAGAGAAAGCTGGTCTGCAAAGAGTACAGGAGAGCTGAGAGAGGCAAATACAAGAGACCATGTGTGTGTCTCCAGGGAAACAGAGACAAACCACTGTCCATTTCCTGTGGGCTGACAGGACTTCCAGGGTTGTATTCTATGAGGTTTCCTAAACATATATATATTTTTTTCAATCAATCCCCTTTTTACTTGAGCTAACCAGCTGGGTTCAGTCATTACAGTAGAACAATCTCTGAGGTGCTCCACTCCAGCCTCGTAATGGGTCTCTCACCTCCAGTATCTGTCCTCTTCAGTGCACCCCACATGGGAATCCAGGAGTCTTCTTCAATCACTGCTTTAGTCAAGGCACCCTCCCCCTACTTCTCCTACAAACCTTAGTTAGGTCCCCACTCCTATAGGTCAAGCACCTCAGCCAGGTATTTACAGCCCTCCTCAACCTGGCTCCAACTCACCTTTTAAATGATTCCCCACGTATACCCTATCTCCAGATAAGCTAAACTCCCTGAAGTTTGCCATGGGTCTTGGTTTTTCAGCCTCATACCCTTCATCAAGTCACTCTTTCCACTTGGAAGCCCATCGCTACCCTCATCCACCTCACTTTATTCTAGCTATACAGCAAAGATCGTCTTAAGGCTGGGTGCAGTTGCTCATGCCTGTAACCCCAGCACTTTGGGAGGCCAAGGCAAGAGGATCACCTGAGTCAGGAGTTCAAGACCCTATCTCTACAATTTTCCCGGTTTGGTGGCACGCACCTGTAGTCCTAGCTACCTGGGAGGCTGAGGCAGGAAGATTTCTTGAGCCTAGGAGCTCAAGATTGCAGTGAGCCATGATCATGCCACTGTACTGCAGCCTGGGCGATAGAGTGAGACCCTGCCCCACCCCCACCAAAAAAAAAGATGGTCTTAAATGTGTCTCCATGAAGTTGTTGCTAATCCCTTCAGCTGGTATAATGTTTTCCTCCTCCGAATGCATCGTTTATGGTATTGGTAGAGTGTAAGTCCTTTTCTGACTATACTGTAATTACATATGTGCATAGCTCATCACCTCTACACAGCCATAAGCTTCTTGAGGGTGAAAACAAGGTTATTCATCTTGGTATCAGCTTGGTCCTAAGCCCGCTTCTCTGTTCACTCTCTTCTCTCCTTAAATGATCTCATGATTTATGACTTCATCCACTCCATCTAAATGCTGATGCTTCCAGCCCAGACCTCTCGGCTAAGCACCAGATCCTACTCACACCACCTACTCCCATAGCCCCGTGGGTGTCTCCAGGCTCCTCGTGCTCGGTGTGTTCAGTGGGAACTCACCGTGATGCCCCCCACCCAACTCAGGCCTCCTCCAGGTTTCCTTTCTTGGTAAATGCCACCCCCATCCCCTACTGGACATCCAGTTTTGCAAGCCAGAATCGAGGAGTCCTCTTGGAACTCCTCCACCCAGCAACATCTATGTCTACTCCATCACCAGGCCCTGTAAGTTTTACATTTTAAATGGTATTCAAATCCCATAACTTTTCTCCACCTCCACTACACCCCTTAATCCAAGCTGTCCTCATCTCTCACCTTGCCCACATCCTCTGCTGGTATCAAAATAGGCTCCCCACGTCACCTGCAGCCTCACATCTCCAGTCCTAGTTCATATGATTTGAATGTCACTTGTTTTGTTAAACTCAAATCTGGCCAAGTCACGCTACAGGTTTAGAATCTTCTGTGACTTCCCATTGATCTAGGATAAAGACCCAAATCCTTAATATAAACTGACCACAGGGCCCAGCATCATCTGGCCCCTGTTTATGTCTCCAGCCTAATTTTGTGCTACTTTCTTTTTTACTCTCAATATTTCAGTCACAGGGCACTACTTTCAGTTCCTCAAAAGCACTGTGCTCTCTACAGCCCTGGGGCCTTCATGCATGCTGCTGCTTCTCACTCTGGCCACCACCTTTGCCTAATAAACTCCTGTTCATCCTTCTAGTCTCAGAACAGATCTCAGCTCCTCAGAGAAGCCTCCCTGACCAGATCTGGTCACTCAATTACATATCCTCATTGTTCTCTGTATTTTCTTTTATTGTATTTAGATTGTTCCATAATTATAGATTTGTGTAATTATTTGAAGGTAGATGTGGCTATTTTGTTTCAGCACATAGATATAGAAAATTATATTAATGACCAGCTACATTTGGCTGCCAATATTGTCAAGATATGTCAAGTTTTTCCGGAGGCTTATAATTTTCACATTTTCCTCTATTTTCTAGTTGCATCAGTAAAAAAAAAAAAAAAAAATTTGAGACAGAGTCTCACTCTGTCTCACCCAGGCTGGAGTGCAGTGGTGCAATGTTGACTCACTGTAGCCTTCACCTCCCGGGTTCAAGCGATTCTCCTGTCTCAGCCCCCTGAGTAGCTGGGATTACAGGCACGTGCCACCATACCCAGCTAATTTCATATTTTTAGTAGAGATAGGGATTGATTCTTTCTTTCTTTCCTTCTTTCTTTCTTTCTCTCTCTTTCTTTCTTTCTTTCTTTTGAGATGGAGTTTCACTCTGTCACCCAGGCTGGAGTGCAGTGGTGCAATCTCGGCTCACTGCAACCTCTGCCTCCTGGGTTCAAGCGATTCTCCTGCCTCAGCCTCCCAAGTAGCTGGGATTACAGGTGCCTGCCACAATGCCAGCTAATTTTTTGTATTTTTAGTAGAGACAGGGTTTCACCATGTTGGCCAGGCTGATCTTGAACTCCTGACCTCAAGTCATCCACCTGCCTCAGCCTCCCAAAATGCTGGGATTACAGGTGTGAGCCACTGCGCCCGGCCTGCATCAGTTAAAATTTTACTTAGCTGCAAGTCACTGAACATAGTGCTTCACCAAATAGGGTTTTTTCTCTTTTTCTCACATTATAGAAGTCTTGAGGTAGGGCTGAGGCAGCTGCTTACAGAAAACAAGGTCCCAGCCTCCTTGTAACTTTTCTCCGCTACTCTTAATGCCTGACTTTCTTCCTCACAATGGAAAGCTGGGCTGCTGCCCCTCCAGCATGGTGTTCATACTCTACACAGAAAGAAGGGGAGGGGTCAAGGGCAAAACATGTGTACTGATTGGACTTGTCCCTTTTTCTCAGGAAAACAATAGGGCTTTCCTGAAAGCCCCACAGAGGAAGCTTCTACGGATATTTTTTGGCCAGACTTGGGTTGTAGACACTTCAGCTTCAAGGGGCTCTGGGGAGGTATGTGATCTTCCATGGGCAACCTGCTGCCCTAAGCCCAGCTGGAGCCCTGTTAGTGAGGAACAAGGAGAGATTGGAGACCTGGAGGCCAACCAGGGTATCTGCCGCTCTACTGCCACAAACAAGTAGATCAGCTGGGTTCCAAGGCTCTGACTCAGTCTCAGAAGCCTATATGAAAGTAATCCAGATGAGTAAACTTTTTGAGTTTGAAATTTTGAGCAGAGAGACTCAAGCTCTTTAAAGAGAGAGAGAGAGAGAGAGGAGAGGAGAGGACAAGACAGAAGAGGAGAGGAGAGAGAGACTGGGCACGGTGGCTCACATCTGTAATCCCAGCATTTTGGGAGGCTGAGGTAGGTGGATCACTTGAGGTCAGAAGTTCAAGACCAGCCTGGCCAACATGGTGAAACCCCGTTTCTACTGAAAAAAAAAAAAAAAGCAGGACATGGTGGTGGGTGCCTGTAATCCCAGCTACTTGGGAGGCTGAGGTAGGAGAATCGCTTGAACCCGCGAGGCGGAGGTTGCAGTGAGCCAAGATCATCCCACTGCACTCCAGCCTGGGCAACAGAGCGAGACTCCATCTAAAAAATAATAATAATAAAATGGTATTCATGCCTGTGGTAAGAAAGAAAGATTGGGCTCTGCATGTATAGTGCTAAGCCATGCAAGTGAAAAGTGAAGAAGTCCAACAAATACATGGTTGATTTATCTATATAATACTAAATAAATCTGCTTAAACCCAATATATGAAAGCATCCTTCCTCCTTGAAATATTCTTCTCACTGTACACTTCATTTTAAAGATCTACTTTTTTTTTTTTTTTGAGACAGAGTCTTGCTTTTTCACCCAGACTGGAGTGCAGTGGCATGATCACAGCTCAATGCAGCCTCAACCTCCCAGGTTCACGTGATCTCCCCACCTCAGCCTCCCGAGTAGCTGGGATTACAGGTGTGCGCCACTATGCCAAGCTAATTTTTTTTGTGTGTGTATTTTTAGTAGAGATGGAGTTGTGCCATGTCACAAGGCTGGTCTCAGATTCCTGGGCTCAAGAGATCCTCCTGCCTCAACCTCCCAAAATGCTGGGATTACGGGCATGAGCCACTGTACCTGGCCTAAAGATCAACTTTCAAGAAGTTAATTCATCATTAAAATTTGAGCCTACAATTAAGGCATGACATTACTAGACATTGCCCCCTCAGTCACACGGCTTCCTCCATACCCTTCATGCAGGCATGTGTTCAGTCTCTAGGAAGAGAGCAAGTGAGATGCTCTATCCATTCATCAAATGAAAAATGAAAAATAAGCACACCGCCAGTTCAGCCATACCTAAGAACAGGAAAGTCAGACGGCGAAGGAAGAATTAAGAATGCAAGGGATTCATAGAGAGATTGAGCCTATATTAGAGAGAGTTTAGAATGAGGGAAGCAAAGTGATTTGTGTGGGGAATGGCGGGGAGAGTTTTCTTCAACAAGGAGATGACAAGCTGGATAACTCAGGGTCAAGGCCACATGACCTATGGAGCACAGGCAACAAGATAGCAAGCAGGACATGCCCACATGGTGAGAATTTCTTTTTCAATTAGTACTACTGCCTTTAGTTAGTTCAAGTCAACAAGCTTTTTGTTTGTTTGTTTTTGTTTTTGTTTTTTGAGACATAGTCTCACTCTGTCTCCCAGGTTGGAGTGCAGCAATCACAGCTCACTGCAGCCTCGACCTCCTGGGCTCAAGCGATGCTCCCACCTGAGCCTCCTGAGCAGCTAGGACCCCAGGTGTGCACCAACATGCCCAGCTAATTTTTTGTTTATTTTTGTAGAGATGGGGTTTGCCATGTTGCCCAGGCTGGTCTCGAACTCCTGGACTCAAGCAACTTGCCTACCTTGACCTCCCAAAGTGCTGGGATTACAGGTTTGCACCACCACACCCAGCCAACAAGCATTTCTCAGCCATCATCTGTGTGCCAGAGGCTGGTACTGTCCTCTCTCTGCCTTGCAAGAAAGGAGAATAAATATTATCACTAGATGGAACTTTGGAGGACTCAACATTCATTTTAGAGATAAGGATATTAAATGACCCCATAGTCACCCCAGTTAATTAACAACAGAAAGCCATGACAAGATCCAGGGTCTTTCAGGCCTTGAATATTCACCCAAACAAAACCCTGAGGACCTGGATGCAGCCCATCTCTTCAACAGGGCAATTCCTCCGTTTCAGAGGAGATGGAGTTTTGCTGTTGCTGCTGTTGCTTTGTTTGTTTTTTTACAACTGACTTACCATGTACAAAGTCATGCCATTCAAAAATTATCCCTGATTCTCAAACTTACCCTGTTATTTTTCTCTGCTGTCATCAAGCATATATCAGCTGAAACCTGGCTGAAAATGCCTCCCATGAAGCCTGGTTCAACCTACCCAATATTCATTACTTCACTCTGCTCCCCAGCCCTTTTTCCCACATACATCATCCTCTGCCTTCCTTCCCCACTCTTGGGCACCTCCATGCACACCCACCAGATTGATCTGCACTTTTTAATTGATTGTTTCAAGGTGTTCTGATGTCATGTCAGAGGCTAGGTCTCCCAACTACCTTTGTAAAGGCAGGAAAACAAAGGCAATACTACACATCGGCTAATGGTTTGGAATGAGAAGACCTGGATTGCAATTTACTGTTTTGTTTTGATTTTTTTTTAAGACGGGGTTGACCAGGCATGGTGGCTCACACCTGTGATCCCAGATGTTAAACAGTAAATGGGCCAGGGGCGGTGGCTCACGCCTATAATCCCAGCACTTTGGGAGGCTGAGGTGGGCGGATCACTTGAGGTCAGGAGTTTGAGACCAATCTGCCAATATGGTGAAACCTCGTCTCTACTGAAAAAAAGACAAAAATTAGCCAGGCATGGTGGTAGGCACCTGTAATCCCAGCTACTCAGGAGGCTGAAGCAGAAGAATTGCTTGAACCTGGGAGGTGGAGGTTGTAGGTTGTAGTAAGCTGAGATCATGCCACTGCACTCCAGTCTGGGTGACAGAGAGAGACTCTGTCTCAAAAAAAAAAAAAAAAAAAAAAAAAAGATGGGATCTCACTCTGTCACCCAGGCTGGAGTACAGTGGTGCAATCTCAGCTCATTGCAACCTCCAGCTTCCAGTCTCAAGCAATCCTCCCACCTCAGCCTCCTGAGTAGCTGGGACTATAGTCATGCACCACCACACCTGGCTAATTTTTGTATTTTTGGTAGATACAGGGTTTCACTATGTTGGCCAGGGTGGTCTCGAACTCCTGAGTTCAAGTGATCCACCCACCGTGGCCTCTCAAAGTGCTGGGATTATAGGCGTGAGCCACCGCCCCGGCCCATTTACTGTTTAACATCATTGAGCCTCAGGTTCCTCACGTGTATAATGAGGATAACAATACCTGCTTTGTAAGGATGATGCAAAGACTCGATGAGGTAATGCTTCACAAGCACTGAGTGGTATAAAGTTTCATACTGGTATAAAGTCAGGGCTCAATATGTTTATTGTCATTATTTTATTTGTTCCCACTCTCCCATCTCTCCAAGGAAAACCTAACCCATGTCATTGGTCAGACCTGAGTTCAAATCCTAGTTCTTCCACTGACCAGCCATATACAATCTCGAGCAATTCCCATGACCTTCCTGAGCCTCCTGGAACAAAGTCTGGCTATGGGCTATACCCAATATTTGTTGACTGAATAAGATACAGTTTCCTTATGGATGAGACAGAGATAATAAATCTCATCTCACCTGATTGTTACAGCAGTTAAGTGAGATCATGTAAGCCAAGTACCTGCTATATTCTCCTTCTTTAACTCAATTGATGAACCAATTGCCAAGGAAGGCAGTGGATTCATTGGATGGGTTTTTTTTGTTGTTGGTTTTTTTTGTTTTTTGTTTTTTTGTTTTGTTTTGTTTTTGTTTTGAGATAGGGTCTTGCTCTGTAGCCCAGGCTGAAGTGCAATGGTGTGATCTTGGCTCACTGCAGCCTCGACATCCCAGGCTCAAGCAAACCTGCCTCCTCAGCCTCTTGAGTAGCTGAGACTACAGGTGCATGCCACATACCCGGCTAATATATTGTGTTTTTTGGTAGAACAGGGTCACTCTATGTTGTGCAGGCTGGTCTTGAACTCCCGGGCTCAAGCCATCTACCCGCCCAACCTCCCAAAGTATTGAGATTACAGGCATGAGCCAGTGTGCCCAGCCAATTCATTGGATGTTAGATCGAGTCTTTAATTCATATGATGTCTTGATACTTAACTACATTTCTTTATTTCTTTGTTTCTTTTTTATTTTTTTTTATTTTAAGACAGAGTCTCGCTCTGTCACCCAGGCTGGAGTGCAGTGACGCAATCTTGGCTCACTGCAACCTCCACCTCCCAGGTTCAAGCAACTCTCTGCCTCAGCCTCCCGAGTAGCTGGGATTACAGGCGCCTATCACCACGCTTGACTAATTTTTGTATTTTTAGTGGAGACGGGGTTTCACCATGTTGGCCAGGCTGGTCTCGAACTTCTGACCTCAGGTGATCCGCCTGCCTCGGCCTCCCAAAGTGCTGGGATTACAGGCGTGAGCCACTGCACCCGACCCACATTTTTTTCTTTATTTTCCACAATAGCTCTTGGGAGAGGGTGCAGTGAGGATACATAACACTCTCTTCTCCATCTGAGTTCTAGATCAACAGAGAAAGAAGACAAGAGAATAATCAAATAGGGGACAAATATCCCCTTTAATAAGCTGATTTGGAAACTGTGGCTTATATAGGGTCAAGGGTCTCCTCACATTAAACTCCAAAGATAGGCAGACTCACATACTCTGGAGCACTAGAACTCTGAAGGCCTCCCCCAACCTCACCCAACTAGGAAGACCTGCCCCTGGAGGAGCAGAACAAGATGTGTAGTTAAAAGACTAGGCCATGCCTGCCCTTTCTTCTCGCACTCAAGCAACTCGCTCATCTCCCCAGAGGGTGAGTAAAGGTGAGACAGAGGCCAGGGGTATTTGGGGGAAACCCCATCTTTGAAACAAAAAATGGACAAGAAGTATTCGCCATCTAACAACCTCTATATGCAGCATGGATTGAATAAGCACCCTGATTTCCCCACAAGAATTTAGAGGGTACATGAAATAGTGGTGACAAGCCCAACCTGGAGGCAGCTGCTCAGTTTTGAACTCAGGCTCTGCCACTTACTAGCTATGTGACCTTGAGCGAGTTATTTCTCCTTCCTGAGCCTCTGTCTTGTTTTTAAATTGTACATATTTAAGATGTGTAACACGTTTTGCTACACTTATCTTGAGGTACATATACATGCCAAGGTGATTACCATAGTCAAGCAAATTAACATGCCCATCACCTCACAGCTACATTTTTTACTTTTCTTTATTTTATTTTATTATTATTATTATTTTTAAGACAGGGTCTCACTCTGTCACCCAGGCTGGAGTGCAGTGGTACCTTGAACTCCTGGGCTCAAGCAATTCTCCCACCTCAGCCTCCCAAGTAGCTGGGAAGCTGGGACTACAGGCGTGTACCACTGCACCCAGATCTCTCTCTCTCTCTCTCTCTCTCTCTCTTTCTCTGTGTGTGTGTGTGTGTGTGTGTGTGTTTGTGTGTGTATTAAGAGTACCCAAAATCTGCCAGGCATGGTGGCTCATGTCTGTAAACCCAGCACTTTAGGAGGTCGAGGTGGGAGGCTCATTTAAGCCCAGGAAGTCTTGGCTGCGGTGAGCTGAGATTTCACCACTGCACTCCAGCCTGAGTGACAGAGGAAGACCCTGTCTAAAAAAAAAAAAAAAAAAAAAAAAAAAGTACCTAAAATCTTCTCTTTTGGCAAACACCAGTATAGAATACGGTATTATTAACTGTAGTTTTCATATTGTACATTAGCTCTCTACACTTGTTCAGCTTACACAGTCACAACTTCATACCCTTTGTGAGACTCCATCTTGTCATCTGTAAAATGCCAATAATGAATATGCCTCCTTCACAAAGTGGTTGTGAGGATTAAATAAAAGAATGTTTATAAACTACTTAAAGCATTATAAGGTAAGTACAAAACAAATGTGAGTTATTATTATCATGAGGTTGGTAACTTTGTCTTACAAAAACTATAAACTCTTCAATTTAAAAGGTGAAAGAAAATACCATGCTAGCCAAGAATTGCGTACCAATTCTCTCACTTGAACCCAAAACAAAAAATAATTATCGTCAACACCTGATCATACCTGTGATCTTAGGACCATAAAAACCATCTCTCAGTGCCAACACCTCCTGCCCCAACTTCCCACGAAAGACATTTTTCATCCTGTTAAACTGAAGTCTCTTTGATCCCCCCAAATCCCATTAATCAAAAAGACACGTCTTTTCGATTACTGTCCTCTCCTATGGACAGCTGTGGGGAGATTGTCAAAGAGAAAAATCCTTATAAGGTTTTTAAAATATTTTCTTATGTCAGTTTTCTGCTGAGCTATTGAGGTTGGCAGAAAAACCCTTACAAAGTTTTTTAATATACTTATAGCAGTGCTTCTACTGAGCCATGAGGTTGGCAGAGGTTAAAGACCTTGGCTGGGGTGTGGCTTGTGACATGAGTGTGAATTGTGATAATACTGAGAAAAAGTGGCCAGTTAGCTGCACTGCCCAAGAAGGATTCCTATTCATCAGTTATGCATGAAGGCAGTGGGTATTCAAGAAAAGAAAGCTAAAAAAGGTCCCAACTTGGAGGAAGTTGGATATGTTTGAACAGAAGTCTGAGATGTGTGTGGTAGGTCCCCCAGGCCAGGATAGAGACCTAACAGAACAGACTGTTCCCCCAAAACAGGCATGCGTGGTGGTTCCAGGTGTGGGTTTTGTTCTTTTTTTCTTTTTTCTTTTTTCTTTTTTTTTTGAGACACAGTCTTGCTCTGACACCCAGACTGGAGTGCAGCAGTGCAATCTTGGCTCACTGAACCTTGGCCTCCTGGGTTCAAGCGATTCTCCTGCCTCAGCCTCCCGAGTAGCTGGGATTACAGGTGCCTGCCACCATGCCCAGCTAATTTTTGTATTTTTAGTACAGATGGGGTTTCACCATGTTGGCCAGGCTGGTCTCGAACTCTTGACCTCAAGTGATCCACCCACCTTGGCCTCCCAAAGTGCTAGGTTACAGATGTGAGCCACTGCGCATGGCCAGGTGTGGGTTTTGAAGTCAAAAGGCAAGGGTTCAAGCCCTGCTGTACCACTTCTTTATTATATGACCTTGAGTAACTCAAATGTCAGTGTCCCCATGCATAAAACATAATCATACCTCCTTTATGGGGATATAAAGAGAATTCAATAAAGCAATGTAGGTGAAATTCTCAGTACAATGTCCTGCACGTATCTGTGCTTACTAAATGAAAGCTATTAATATTGCTATACACAATCAGAAAAACAATGAATGTACTCCCTGTGAAAAACCTCTTGGTTTATGCTGGAGAGGGCTGTGCAGGTGTTAGTATTCTCTTCGTCATTATGATGAGGTGATCTGCTTAGCTCTAGGAATTAAGTCTAGGAAATAAACCACCTGAAAATTGTTACCAATTCTTCCATTCTCTTCTATTGCTTGCTGGCAAGAAGTCTCTCAAGTCACATTATGTACCCTATAAAGTGTATGCTTTTAACCACCATGCCTTTTTCCTGTGTTGAACTGGCATTCTTACTGCCATCAAACCTGAAGGCACTTTGAATTCCATCCACTGAGTCCATGGGCGACATGGAGAGTACAAATGGTGAGTTTCACACATAATCCAAAATTTCAATTTGACCCAGCTGTTTCAATGATCTCCCTTTCCATTCTCTTTCTAGGTTGGCCAAGAGGGCTTCCTCAAGTTCATGGGATGCCTCTGTAGCTCATGGACCCGTGGCTCCTGGTGTCCACCATGGGAATCTTGGTAGGTAGAAAAAGAGGCCCTTCCTCAAGGCTGGTAGAGCCCCAGGTGGGGCCACCCCTTGGCAAATGGGGCACAAGCAGGATTTCAGCTCCAGCCAGCTCTTCAACCAGATGTCTTTGTGCAGTGCACAAATTGCACAACTGTACACAGAAGACCTGTGTAGCTATCAGAGTAATTTTGAATTACACATCTTGTCCCTTCCTTTGTCCAGTCAGAGATGAAAGCGGTACTGCTCCAGGGTAGTCAGGAAACAGAGGGCAAGGAAAAAAGTAGAGGGGAGTGTCAGAGAAGAAACCTCTAAATAGTGGAGGTGACTATTTTGAACCCTCAGCGTCAGCTGCTCCATCTTACTTTGCTCATTGTAAACCTATGGTCTCAGTTGGAAAGCCAAGAGGATGTTTATATAGGGTGGATCCAACCACAAACTATCTGAATTACTGTTGGAGAACCTGACTCTACTGTGCTCCATAAGAGTAGAGACAATATTTATTTCATTCACTGTTGTCTCCCCAGCTCTTAACATGGTGCTTGATAAATAAAAAAGGGTTCAATAAATGTTTATTGCCAAATTGATTTTTTATTAGGAGAATAATAAAGCCAATTGCTGTTCTTTTTTCACAGGCACTAGAGCACTTGCCCTACAGGTTAGGCACAATAAAAATGTTTCAAACATTTAGAAGTCTGTAGGTATGAAGAAGAAAGGGCAGGTGGGAGAGAAATGTGTTTGATTAAATCTATAAAGAGCAATGTTTGATAGTTCAGAACATGAACTTTGGAGTCCCAGATTTCCACCTACTAAAGTGGGAACACTGCATAAAGTGACTTACACTGTATCAGCGTCCACCTTTCTAAAATAGGGTTATAATACCCACAGCAGAGTTGTTGAGAAGATTAAATAACAACATGTGTAAGAAACATTTAGGCCAGGAGTGGTGGCTCATGCCTAGTAATCCCAGCACTTTGGTAGGCCGAGAGGTCAGGAGTTCGAGACCAGCCTGGCCAACATGGCGAAACCCCGTCTCTACTAAAAATACAAAAAAATTAGCCAGGCATGGTGGCAGGCACCTGTAATTCCAGCTACCCAGGAGGCTGAGGCAGGAGAATCACTTGAACCTGGCAGGCAGAGGTTGCAGTGAGCCGAGATCTCGCCACTGCACACCAGCCTGGGTGACAGAGCGAAACTCTGTCTCAAGAAAGAAAGAAGGAAAGAAAGAAAGAGAGAGAGAGAGAGAGAGAGAAAGAAAGAAAGAAAGAGAAAGAAAGAAAGAAAAAGAAAGAAAGAAACATGTAGCACATTTACTGGCACATAGTAAACACAATGAATGGTAGCTAATGTTTCTGTGCCTTTAGAAGGCTAGGGAAAATTTTAAGTTAAAAAAGGGAAAAAATCATGTAAATGTGGCAAAATCTTGACAATTGGTGAATCTAGGTGATGTGTATATAAAAGCTCGTTGTATTATTCTAATTTTATGTACATTTGAAAATTTTCACACATTTTTAAAGTTAAAAGGCAGGAAACACACAACTGCTTCCAAATCAACCAAATATTCAGTCTAGACTTCATGTATTCCCTCAACAAATATTTATAAAACACTGTGTGCCAGGCCATTGTGTGCCATTGCCATATGGAATGCTAAGTCCCTGTTCTCAGGGAACTTATAGTGTAGTTGGGAGACAAACATTAAGTTATGGAAAATTCTCCAAAAGAAGTGCTGAGAAGGCCAGGCATCATGGCTCACGCCTGTAATCCCAGCACTTTGGGAGGCTAAGGCAGGTAGGTCACTTGAGGACGGGAGTTTGAGACCAGCCTGGCCAACATGGTGAAACCCCGTCTCTACAAGAATACAAAAATTAGCTAGGCATGATGGCGTGTGCTACTTGGGAGGCTGAGGCAAAGAATCCCTTGAACCCAGGAGTTGGAGGTTTCAGCGAGCCAAGGTCACACCATTGCACTCCAGCCTGGGCAACAAAGTGAGACTGTGTTCCCTGCCTCCCCCAAAAAAAGAAGTGCTGAGAGAATAGTGAAGAAAGAAATCAGTTTAGAGAAGGAAGTCAGGAAGGCCCTCTGAGGAAGTGATATGTAAACAAAGACCTGAGGAGCTTACCTGGGCAAAGGAGTCAGCACCCATGTAAAGCAACCATCATGTGCAAAGGTCCTGAGGCAGGAATAGTGGAAAGGCCAGTATGGCTGCAACACAGTATGAAGAAAAGGTGGCTCAAGAGGAGGCTAGAGGCCAGGCATGGTGGCTCACGCCTGTAATCCCAGCACTTTGGGAGGCTGAGGCAGGTGAATCACTTGAGGAGAGGAGTTCAAGACCAGCCTGGCCAACATGGCAAAACTCCGTCTCTACTAAGAATACAAAAATTAGCCAGACATGATGGCTGTGCTACTTGGGAGGCTGAGGCAGGAGAATCTCTTGAACCCAGAGGCGGAGGTTGCAGCAGTGAGCCGAGCCACTGCACTCCAGCCTGGCAACAGAGTGAGACTCCATCTCAAAAAAACAAACACAGAAGAAGAAGAAGAAGAAAGAAGAAGAAGAAGAAGAAGAAGAAGAAGAAGAAGAAGAAGAAGAAGAAGAAGAAGAAGAAGAAGAAGAAGGAGGAGGAGGAGGAGGAGGAGGAGGAGGAGGAGGAGGAGGAGGAGGAGGAGGAGGAGGAAGGGAGGGGGAGGGAGAAGGAGAGGAAGAGGGAGAGGGAGAAGGAGAAGGAGAAGAGCAAAGGGAAATCTTTTTCAAATATTTTTCAATGTTTGCCACAATTTTGCCACCAAGAAATTGGAAACTACAACTTTGTGCTTTCGTATGAGAAATACAAAATGAGCAAAAAACGGGGCTTAGGACAGGTAAGGGATAGGTACTGCCAAGGCTTTGGATCTATGTCCACACATGTTTTTCTCCCACAGTCATCAAATGTCAAAGATTTAATTTATTTCGTGATTCTCCAGCCCTATATTCCCCACCCCCACCCCACTCCCCCAGCACCTGCTAGCTGAGGCACCCTCTTGAACCATATTCTTCACTTCAGCTGTCTTTATAAATTAACTTTCTAAACTGGGAAAGCAATACTCCACACCGCTAAGCAGGGCCAGTTTCACTAAGACAGATGGAAACAAAGAAATAGGACCACATTCACTTGCAGATTTGCATAGGTCCAGACACTGAAAGCTGGGGCCTCTAGAATTCAGACAAGTTGTTCTTACAGCTCCTGAAAAGTCATCCTGCCCTTGGTCCTCAGCCTTATTTGGTGACCTTCCACCCCTTTAGGACTTTAACTGTGTGAACAGGGGCTGAGGACCCACCCCAGGATCAAGCTGCCCAGGTTCAAATCCTCACACTGCCAGTTCGACTCTGGGAACTTGCACAAATTACTTCACTTCACTAAAACTCTATTTCCTCCTCTACAAAATGGGGATAATGTGTGAATTAAATGAGATAATGCATGTGGCATATAGTGGATTAAGTGCTTGCAGAGTGTGAGCTATTTTTAATTTCTGTAATTCTGCCACTTCTTCCTGCCACTTCTCACCTCAAATTTAAACTGCCCCCATTTAGACATGTATTTTTTACTTTCTCTCTCCCTCTCTCTCTCTTATTTTTCATAGAGACAGGGTCTCACTACATTGCCCAGGCTGGTCTTGAACTCTGTGTTTCAAGCAATCCTCCCTCCTTGGCCTCCCAATGTGTTGGGATTATAGGCACAAGCCACTGTGCCTGGCCTAAATGTCTGTGTTTTTTTTTTTCTGTTGTTTGTTTGTTTGTTTGTTTTTGAGACTGAGTCTAGCTCTGTTGACCAGGCTGCAGTGCAGTGGCTCTATCTCAGCTCACTGCAAACTCCGCCTCCCGGGTTCAAGCAATTCTCCTGTCTTAGCCTCCTGAGTAGCTGGGACTATAGGCACCCACCACCACACCCAGCTAATTTTTGTATTATTAGTGGAGACGGGGTTTCACCATGTTGGCCAGACTAGTCTCGAACTCTTGACCTCAGGTGATCCAGCCCCTCAGCCTCCCAAGGTGTTGGGATTACAGGCATGAGCCACTGTGCCCGGCCTAGACATCTGTTTTTAATCAGAGAATATTCATTTTATTTTTGGATAATTTGGGAAATTTTGTCTGGGTTGCCTCTGAGATAGATGTCTGTCACAAACATAAAGGAGAAATAATTCCCTGGTTAATTCACAAGTTGATATTGAACAGTTGCTCAGAACAGAGTTCTGTGGATGAAAAAACAAGAAGGGAGAAGAGGAAGAAGAGAAGGAAGGAGAAGATAGTATAGACCCAAGGTCTTAATGTAGGGAGGACAGATGACAAAGAAGTCAGTGAGGATGGGCCCCCTGGAAGAGCTATGTGTTGAATTGTGTCTTAAATGAGGTGATGGAAAAGAGATCAGCAGAGAGTCATAATAGGCTACTTAAGATTTGAATCTGTACATCCAGGACAGTGGTTCTCAACTGGGGGCAATTTTGTGCCCCAGGAGACATTTGGCAATGTCTACAGATCTTTTTGGTTATCACAATTGTGGGGGTGAGGGGTGCTGCTGGCACCTACTGGGAAAAGGCTACACATCCTACAGTGCACAGGACAGGCACCCCACAACAGAGCCTTATCCAGCCCAAAGTGCCAGTATTTCCAAGGTTGAGAAACCTTGATCTAGAACAAGCTTGTCCAACTCGCGGCCCATGTGCCACACGTGGCCCAGGATGGCTTTAAATGCAGCCCAATGCAAATTCATAAACTTTCTTATAACATTATGAGGTTTTTTTGCAATTTTTTTTTTTAGCTCATCACCTATCATTACTGTGAGTGTATTTTATGTGTGGCCCAAGACAATTTTTCTTCCATCATGGCCCAGGGAAGTGAAAAGATTGGACAACCCTAATCTAGAAGACTTCCACTCTTTGAGAGAACTATGTCCTCGCCATCCTTTGCTCTTTTTTAAAAGATGAGTATTCACTGAAGCCATTATTAGTGCTTTCAAATACTTTTACTCCTGGCAATAAAGATAGTGTTTTCAGGCTCAGCTAGTAATAGCATCCTCTTTTCCTGTCACTGCTGCTGGGTCTCATCCTTACTTCCCTAATACCCCCACCCCACAGACATGTCCTTCCTTTCAAGAAGAAAATCAAAATGCAGGAAAACAGTAGCCACATGTGTTAATGATTACATGATAGTACAGTAAAATCCCAGGCCCAGTAGCCTTCTCATCAGTGCTTCTTTAGATAAGTCAAGACATTTCACCTGAATGGGCTGCTGTCCAAGCAGATTAAATTAAAAGAGCTTGTAGCACACTACAAAAAAAACTTATCAACATAATTAATCAAAAAGAGTTTCCCTGGCTGTTTGTTAATGCATTGCCCCAATCGAACAGCTGAGGAATGTGACTGCTGGCTGTTGACCCTGGTAACCCAACACCACTGTGCTGTGTTGAATTGATAAACTAGTTTAAAAGAATGTTTACCTCCCTTTACTGTATGACCCTCTGCTTGGCATCCTTTTATAAGAGGATGAGCCCCGGTCCCAAGAGTCTAGTGTGTAAGGCAAAGACGGGCTGGAGAGGCTTGTACAAAGAAACTGATCTTACCATGGGAACTTAGTGCCTCATACTCAGGAGGAGACTCCAAAGCCTCTTGAGAGCAAATGGCCACAGTCCCTTGTAAAAACTGTCCCTCTACTTACGTCCACTAAGGGAGGATAACAAAAGCTGTCCACGAAGACATGAATCTCTCTGGTGGGAACAGTAGGACATGCTATCCAATCACACTCCCTTGCAGGACTCCTTGACTTCCGTAGCTACTCCAGGTCTGAGATACACCAAGCAAACACACATGGCATTCCAGACAATCAACCATCACTGACCAGGAGTTTGAGTAAACCAACAGCTTATTGGCATTTGTAAGAGCCAGTGAATGTGTGTAGCAAGGGCTAAGAGGTAGTTCAAGAACTGACTGAAAGAAGTTGACACTGGAGTCAGACTGGATGACTCCATGGCTAACAACGTGCTGCCGCTTATTGAGCATGTATTACGGCCATTGTGCAAGGCACTTTCTCTCCATTGGATCATTTAATCCTCGCAACAGTCTGTGAGGCCAGAATGATTAGACTTCGTTGATTTGCAGATGAGGAAATGGAGCCTCTGAGAGGCTAAGTGACACACTGTCAGCCTTCCTTGGAAGTCTTTGAGGCAGGGTTTAGGAAAAATGCTCACAAAATTAGCATCTATGTGGACCTGAATGAGTGGCAAGTGAGGTGAGGTACAAAGGCCTGAAGAGACTTGTAGAAGACGCTGGGAAAGAATGCAAGACTCCAAAGCTAACAAGGGAGTGGGTGGCTTGGGCATTCAAGGTATTAAGGCCAGAATAGAAGCAGGTAGTCTGATTGGAAGACAATTTGCAAGGATCCAGAGCTCCAAAGAGTGGGATGTGGCTACTTTTAGCATAAGGGATCATTGTAGGCATTAAATAACAATTACTTAAAGAGGTTATTAGCTTTTTTGGTTGCTTGGATTAAATGAAGGAGGAAAAATCTGAGTTTGGTGCTATATGTTTTTAAACTTTAACACTTGAGACTCCTTTTTTTTTTTTTTTTTTTTTTCCCGAGACAGAGTTTCACTCTGTCATCCAGGCTGGAGTGCAGTGGCATGATCTCGGCTCACCGCAACCTCTGCCTCCCAGGTTCAAGTGATTCCCCTGCCTCAGCCTCCCGAGTAGCTGAAACTACAGACATGCACCACCACGCTGAGGTAATTTTTGTATTTTTGGTACAGATGGGGTTTTGCCATGTTGGCCAGGCTGGTCTGGAACTCCTGACATCAAGTGATTCGCCCACCTCAGCCTCTCAAAGTGCTGGGATTACAGGCGTGAGCCACTGTGACCGGCCCCCCTTTATTTTTTTATTAACAAAGAGAAAGCAGGTCTTAGATCAAGATTCTTATTAGGGAATCCAGCTAGAATTTAGGAACACTGCTTTTTGTTTTCACTATGTTAATTTTTATGGTTACCCTCTATGTATGGTAATACTGGTTTTCCATTTATGGTAATAATGTTAAGTACTCTTTAAAAATGAATTTCTTTTCTTTTTTTTGTTTGTTTTTCAAGATGGAATTTCGCTCTTGTCACCCAGGCTGGAGTGCAATGGCGCGATCTTGGCTCACTGCAACCTCTCCCTCCTGGGTTCAAGCGATTCTCCTGCCTCAGTCCCCCAAGTAGCTGGGATTACGGGCATGTACCATCATGCCCGGCTAATTTTGTATTTTTAATAGAGATGGGGCTTCACCATGTTGGTCAGTCTGGTCTCAAACTCCTGACTTCAGGTGATCCAACGGCCTCGGCTTCCCAAAGTGCTGGGATTACAGGCGTGAGCCACCGTGCCTGGCAAAAATAAACTTATTTTCTAAGTGATTTTATGTAAAGAAAGCTGGTTCAATGATAGGAAGGGTGGTACATGGATATGGCAAAAACCAGGAGAGCCATATGGGAATGATTGAAGTTTGGGCAGCGCTGCAGGTATCCAAGAGAGAGAGGTGGCTCCTCAGGAGAAAACTAAGACACTAAGGAAATCAAAGCACATCTGGAGGACTGTGAAGGAAGAAGAGAAAGATTTGATATCAGGTTAGGTATTCACACCAGAGAAGGATAGTAACTAAAGGAAAATCTCACCTTGAATGTGTGCTTGTTTGACTGTGTGACATTGTGAAAAGCAACTTAGCAAAAGTTCTCTTTGTCTTTGCAATGATGACTGGTTAAAAAGTGAAAATCCCAGTCAATTAACTGGCTATTTTGTTTACATAAAGGCAACTCATCACTTTTTTTTTCAACCAACAAACTGACAGGTTAAACACACACACACACACACACACACACACACACACACAAGCCTGAATTGAGCAGTTGTTTTGGCACCATTCTGAATTGCTCTGAACAGAAACTGAACATTATAATGTTGAAATGGAGTTGACCTTTCCATGCAAAAAGGGAGCAGCTTTACACCTAGTAGTTTGCGAGGGTAGTGTACAACTTTCACCCTCCATCAAAATGTCCTCATCACTCACAGGCAGGGGTCTGACGTGTATGCCACTTGGTTTATGAGAAAAAGCAGAAATCGAAATTAAGCCACCATCAACTGTTAATACCTCCAATCAAACTAGCTCCAAGATGAGATCAGGAGCTCTGGAAGAACAGGTCCTTGAGGAAGGGAGGTCTTGGGTGGCTGAAGAACTTGGGAGGGACTGACAGGGGTCTCAAAGAGGGGAGTATAGTCACACAGCTGGAGGGTCCTGAAGGCCATTTTGCCTGCTTACCCATTTTGATCAAGGTCACACCAGCTGGGATTAACATGAACCAATCAGCTGGCATTTATGAATATTAGCTTAGTTTATTGTTGCTGTTGTTGTTATGAAATATTTCAAATATCAAGGAAATTGAAGGAATATCTTAATAGCCAGTTAAATACTCATCACCCAGATTGAATAATATTAACATTTTTTAGCCCTACTTTCATGAGTCATCTTTGTAAAATGTGTTACAAGTGCAGTTCCTTGGGGGCTCTGGAGCAAATCATCTAGCAAACAAGACCTTAGATGTTGTCCAGGGCTATCCCACTGTTACGGACTGAACAGAATTCATATGCTGAAATCTTTACCCCCAGTGTGACGGAATTAGGAGGCAGGGGCTTTGGGAGGTGATTAGATCATGAGAGTAGAGCCCTCAGAAATGGGATTCATGCTTTTCTAAGAAGAGACATGAGAGGTTGCTTCTTGTGTCTCTCTGCTCTCTGCCATGTGAGCACTCAGTGAGAAGACAGCCATCTATGAACCAGAAAGTGGGCCCGCTCCAGACACTGGATCTGTCGGTACCTTGACCTTGGACTTCCAGTCTCCAAAACTGTGTGAAAGAAATGCTTGTTGTTTAAGTACCCAGTCTGTTATATTTGTTCTAGCAGCCCAAACTAAGACACCCACCCTACAATAAGGAAGAGAACAACAGCCAGGAATGGCCAAGTGCTTCATTAGTTAATAATGGTTTTTGTTTGGGTTTTTCTTAAGAATTTAAAAATCTTTTCTTTTTAATTTTTTTTTTAAGAGATGAGGTCTCACCCTGTTGCCCAGGCTGGAGTGCAGTGGCACAATCATAGCTCACTGCAACCTCCAACTCCTGAGTTCAAGTGATTCTCTCTCCTCAGCCCCCTGAGTAGCTAGGACTAAAGGCATGCACCACCACACCTGGCTAATTTTTTCAGGTAGGTGTGTGTGTGTGTGTGTGTGTGTGTGTGTGTGTGTGTGTGTGTGTGTGTAGAAAAAGGATCTTGTTATGTTGCCCAGGCTGGTCTCGAACTCCTGGCCTCAAGCAATTCTTGCACCTCAACCTCCCAAAGTGCTGCGATTACAAGTGGGAACCACCGCACCTGGCCCTCCATAATAATGTTAACAACAACAATAATGACAATAACTGACATTTATTCAATGCTCACTCTGTGCCAGGCCCCCTGCTAAGTGCCTTATGGGCATCATCCATTTCACCCTCACATTGATACTATGGGGTTGTCAGTATGATTCCCATTTTAGAAATAAGCATCGAGGCTTTGAGATTTTAAGACACAACCATGGCACAGCTGGAATGAGCTGGGATGCCACATACTACTGACCCCACTGGAGCATGGGTGGAGCTGATGTGCTTCACCAGCCATTCTTCTCTTATCACTTCTATCTCCCCATGACCTAAACCAAAGGGATTCCCAAGCCTCGCTGTGCACGAGAACCACCTGGGGAGTTTGCTAAAAATAAGATGCTCAGGCCATTCACCTACTGAATCAGAGTGTTCTAAGCTACAGCCCACAAATCTGTACTTCAAACTACCTTTCCAAGTGCTGCTGGTGCGCAGCCGGCTTGGGAAACTGTCTAGAGCTATTGACTTTTCCAGCCACCTGGAGCCAAAGAATCTAGGCTTCAAGACCTCCTGCCCTTCTCCTCCCTTCACAGTGGGCTGCTCATGTAGCTTCGCTTTATATATATTCATCATGTCCTTTGATGAGAGCTAGGACACCGTGTCAGCCCAAGGATGCCTGGCTGTTTAAGAAAATTCAGACCTCTGGGCCCTCCTGCCACCCACCTCCTGTTCAAAAATAGAGTTGTTGCATGCAAGCAGAGGCCAGGTGACCAGGACACAGGGGAAGACATAGCCATCAGCAGCTGCCCCACCCCTCCTTTCCCTGTCCGGCAGCTGAGGAGAGGCAGTTCTTCCCTGTGTAGCCATCAACTCTCCTAGTCAGTTGGTGTCCAGCTGGGCCCTGGGTCAGGAAGTTCACAGCAGTTTAGTCAGTATCATTGAACTGACTTTACAGCATCCCCGGGAGGCAGAACCATGGAAGGTTAGCCAGAGGAGGGACTAAGAGGCCACCTGGTCATTTTACAGATGAGAAACTGAGGTCCAAAGAGGGAAAGGAAGGAGAGGTATCCATATTTTGATCCATATTTATCTGTAAGAAGATTCAAGCTCAAAGGGATGTTGAGGGGCTTACCCAAGTCAAATAGTGTTCAATAGGCAGTAGGTTAGTTAGTTGGTTATCCAGAACAAGGAACAGAATGGCCCACTGGAGTTACCAAATTAGCTCTCTGAACTGTGAGCAGATCTCTGTCTGGTACATATTGATTGGATGGGTTTGGAAATTATGACACCTGCATCAGTAGGTACACAATTATTTGGAAACTCATTCTCAGAAAGCAGTACACATATTGCCCAGGGGGCAGGAAAAGAGAAAGAAAGAAAAGAAAGCCATATGCATATTGCCCCAAAACTTTTTTTTTACAAAAAGCTCCTGCCCATATTCAAAACTAGAACTGATTGAACTGTCGACTCCAGACATGTGATGAGTTCAGGGCTTACCAATACCTTGGCCTGGCTCTTGGCCTTCTTAAATCATTTCTTTTTCCATAACCTTTCATGATTGGTCATTATTAAATGGTTCTTGCACGTTGTCAGTTCAGCTATTAATCAAATCAAATATTTCCTTTTTTTTTACGTTTTAAAATGGTAAACAACCAGTGCCACAAAGTTTCTTGCCTATGCTATAAAAATCTCCAAACATTTCTGGAAAATAATAGCCAAGGTTCAGTGAGCATTTTCTATGTACCAGGCACTATTCTAAGCACTATGTGTGCCTTCTCTTATTGGACTTCTGCAACAACCTTTTGCAGTAGATACTATTCCTATCCTTGCTTTATAACGGAAGGAATCTGAAACTCAGAGAAGCTCTGCAACTCTCCTAAGGTCATACAGCTAGGATTCAAACCCCGTCAGGCTTACTGCAAGACCTGCCCCCTTGACTGTACTGTTCTTCATAATTCTGGAAATAGGATATGAGATATTGAGAACCACCTATTTTATAAACATTTCAATGAACAGTTTTTTAACTCTTTTTGGAGACAGGTCTCACTCTGTCGCCCAGGCTGGAGTGCAGTGGTGCAATCATAGCTCACTACAGCCTCAACCTCCTGGACTCAAGCGATCCTCCCACCTCAGCCTCCTGAGTAGCTCAGACTACTGGTGCCCCCCACCACGCCTGGCTAATTTTTTTAAAAAAAGTTTTGGCTGGGTGCAGTGGCTCATGCCTGTAAGCCTAGCACTTTGAGAGGCTGAGGCGGGTGGATCACGAGGTCAGGAGATCGAGACCATCCTGGCCAACATGGTGAAACCCTGTCTCTACTAAAAATAGAAAAATTAGCCGGGCGTGGTGGCACGAGCTTGTAGTCTCAGCTACTTGGGAGGCTGAGGCAGGAGAATCACTTGAACCTGGGAGGCAGAGGTTGCGGTGAGCTGAGATTGCACCACTGCACTCCAGCCTGGCCACAGAGAGACTCTGTCTCAAAAAAAATTTTTTTTTGCAGAGATGAGATCTTGCTATGTTTCACAGGCTGGTCTCAAACTCCTGGCCTCAAGTGATCCTTCCACCTTGGCCACTGTAAGTACTGGGATTAGGAGTGTGAGCCACCATGCCCAGCCTCAATGAACATTTATCGAGTGCCTTTGATAGTGAAAGTCCTGCAGTATATACAAGGTCAATGTAAGAGATAGCCCTTTCTCTTATAAAGAGTCAGATAGGTATTAAATTAATGTACCAAAAGGCAGAATGTCCTAAGGACTACATTGGAAACAGATAAAGTACAATAAAAACACATAAGAAGGATGGTTAATAGTGAGCAATCAGCAATGACTTCCTGGAGGAGGTGGCATGTGTAAGCTCCTTGAATGACAAATAATGCACCACTGGTAGAGATATAGGAAGGGCAGCTCCCAGCTGCCAGACAGTGTGAAATAGTGAGTGGGGTCAAATCCAGGTTTCATCACTTCCTAGCTACACAGCTTCATCTCTAGCCCTCGGTTTCCTCATCTGGCCAAGTAGAGGGCAATTACATGAACCTGTTCAGGCTGTTGTGGGATAACATCTCTGACAGTTTCAAATAGCGCACAGTAGGGCTCCCTGATGCTCTGTTCCCTTTCAGGTTCACTGAGTCATTTCAGAATCCACTGCTCTAGGGCCACTGTCCAAAAAAGCTTCGTCTGTATTCCTCTGGGAAAACACTCTTGTCAAGGCTACACTTCAGTCAAATATTCAACAGCAGGCCACTTAAACTCACAACAGGATTTGTAAAGGAAATGAGCACTGAAGCTTAACTTCAGTAGTGTGACGAGGAGCTACTGTCATAGAACAAATGGGTTGTTTATCAGCTTTCTATCTGTCCCTAACAAAACCATGTGAAATGAGGCATTCAGCCCCTGTTTTTTTAAAAAGATGACAAACACTAGCTAATTTACTGGAGTAGAACATATTGAGCCAAATGTTTAGTTTTGCATTAAATCTATATCTAGCATTTTCATTAAAGGGGGCAAATTGTAGACTTTACTGATGCTTCAGTGCCCATTTCAGATTAATGCTTAACATTTAAAACTGTGCATGAAATTGCAAATGTATTGGCAAACACATAAGAAGGAGCAGACTAAGTGCTATGTGCTTATTCATAGCCAGCCATTTCTGAGGCTGCCAATGTGTTATTAAGGTGGTTATTTCCCTACACTTGCCTAGGCTGTGAATAGTTAGTACCCCTGATTACTTAGTTAAATACGCTTCTAGATGGAGAGAGGGAAGGCATGGAAGAAATGAGTGATTATCTAAATTTTGTGCAATGAACAATTAAGTCATAATATACTTCTTGATTCATGGTTGATATTTCCAGAGTAATTAGGTTAGTATCCTTCAGAAAAAGCTCTTCACTTCCATAATCATCATACATGGCCACATTTTAGCTGATGTAGTTGAGGAATAAAAAGGACTAAGGATCTTAGAGAAAAAATAATTTTTCAAACAGAACCTTAATTTTTTGCCACCATTAAAACTAGTAAGATGATACTTTTCCCTGTTGTGAGATGAGAACTTTGGTTTATTTTCTGTAATTTTAAACCTTGACTCAGATATTGTCTGACATGTGGTTATCCAAATGACTGGAGAGAAACTCTGTAGTGTATTTCACGATCTAGAGTATTAAAAATTAAATGCAATGAAAAGCAATGTAATTTGGTACCAAGAAGCAAGCTAGAGTAATTTTTATGAAAGTGGGTTTTGGAATCAGACCCTTTGGGTTTGAACCCCAGCTTTGGTCCCTACCAGCAATTATGGACGGGCAGACCCACCTGAATATGGGATGGAGGAGAGAGGTGGTGTCCCATGAGCAAAAATAAAAAGGGTGCAAGGAGCTGAAAACAACAGGTGTCTAGGCTACTTCAAGGGATGGTGATGGAACTGAGGGGCACAGAGCAGAGAGACCAAATGCCCACTCTCAAATCCCTGGGGTAGACCAGGGCCCAGAAGCCAAGGAGTTTTAATTTGAGGCTGAGAAATCATTTACAACTAGGATGAAGATCCACAAAACAGGTTGGCATCCAGCCCTACTATATCATAGCAGCTCCATATTCAGGGTCTGCCCCAACCACAGCAGGGTTGGTGAGCACCAGCCATCGGAGCAAGCCATATAAACACAGGGGCCAGGAAGAGATTTCTTATTGGTTTCAGAGAGTGAGATGGGTGTGTCAGAAAGGAGAGTCCATGGAATGATCTAGAGACTTCCAGACATTTTATTTTGACTTTGTGTCTCATTCATCCAGGTATCCTTTCTGAAGTCTTTTGTTGTTTTTGTTTTTGTTTGTGTTTTGAGATAGAATCTCACTCTGTTGTCCAGGCTGGAGTGCAGTGGTGCAATCTCTGCTCACTGCAACTTCTGCCTCCCGGGTTCAAGCAATTCTCCTGCCTCAGCCTCCCAAGTAGCTGGGATTACAGGTGCCTGCCACCACG